>NC_000005.10:95261322-95564352 GCF_000001405.40 Homo sapiens | reverse complement strand
ATCATTGAATGCTAAGCAAATAACTACTGATTTCCTCAATGATGAGCTAGAAAGGCGAAGACAAAAGTGCATAGTGGCCAGGCACAGTGGCTCATGCCTGTAATCCCAGCTCTTTGGGAGGCTGAGGCAGGCAGATCACCTGAGGTCAGGAGTTCAAAGCCAGTCAGGCCAACATGGTGAAACCTTGTCTCTACTAAAAATACAAAAATTAGCTAGGCGTGGTGGCAGGTGCCTGTGATCCCAGCTACTCGGGAGGCTGAGGCAAGAGAATCACTTGAATCCGGGAAGCAGAGGTTGCAGTGAGCTGAGATGGCGCCACTGCACTCCAGCATGAGTGACAGAGCAAGACTCCATCTCAAAAAAAAAAAAAAAAAAAAAAGTGCATAGCCCTCCCTCATGAGAATTTCTTTAAGCCCTTAAATTCAAATTCTCAGAAATTTATCCTCACAAATTCCAAATGTATATATGTCTTATGGTTACAATCTTTTGAACATGGGGAGATAACAATTTGTGGCCACTGCCTAGAATCTAGACAACCCAGGCTTATCTGGTTGGGGGATGGAGCAGAAGGTCACAAGGTAGAACTGTCTTAAAGGTGCTATATAATTCACATATTGGGATTTGGACTCCAAGTCCTGCAGGCTAGGTTCAAATTGGTGTAACTACCACTGCAAATGACTACTGCAGCATATCAATAACTAATGTGTCAGATTAAAATCGATGTTAGTGATTTCTTGACTCATCTCTATGACTAGTACAGGGACATTATCTGTATCAAAAGCAGGCTGGAAAGCAGGACTCTTTGAAATATAGTGGCAGAGATAACCAGAAAGGGAGGGGGCGACTGCCGTCATGTGGGAAAGTTCCCAACGATTCCATCAGTGAAAGGTGATCTATGTTAAGATTGCTGTCTGAGATATATATAAGGCAGTGAGCGGTATGCAAATATTCAGTGAATGAAATGAAATGAATCTCTAATCCAGAGATTTGTTCAATTTAAAAAAGAAGACAAATTTATGCTCAAAATTCAACAGTGTATTTTTGCAAAGCTTAATAAACTGGATTAAGCATATCAATTGCAAAATTTGGTTCCTAGGAAATATTTAAATTATGATATACATATTCTCAATATCAGAAATATCAATAATACTCTAAACGAAGACCAAAATGTTATTAGAGAAAATATTTAAAAATTTTCTAGAAGTTTTGGTTTTTGACTTCATGTAGTTTTTACACACTAACAAATCATTTAAAAACTAGGCTACTACTAGTACTGCTGATAATGGTATCAATGGGAGACGGTCAGTAGAATATTTCATTCTGAACTGAAAGGCATCTTAACACAGCTGGCTGATGAAAAAGAGAGAAAGTAAGTTTTCCATAGTATGTTAATGTGGTTTACAATGGATAGCCAGTTATAAGTGAAAACACAGTTCTGTCAAATTTAGTTGGCAGAGAAAATCTTGAAAAATGGCTTTTGTTATAACTTCTATAACTTACTAATAGCCCATTTCAATTTTCTCAAGGCCATTCCTATGGTTCAAACAAATTAAGCACTCTAAAATTGGGCATTTAAGAAATAAAAATGACCCATTAATTGGCTTTCTGCAAAAGTTACAGAAATGGTACCAACTGCCTTTAGTTGCTGCATTCTGCTCTTGTTAATTAATTCTCATGGGTCCACACATTTTTCCCCCTTGGGGTGGGTAAGTCTTTTTGTAGATACAATTTTGTGATTTTGATTGCTCCTTCTGAACCATGGCTTGTACTCGGTTCCTTATCATTATGGGCCATGCAGAATCAGAGAAGTTTAGGTTTGAATTAATCATCCTAATAAAAGAATGTAACAGCAACTTTAATTTGCCATGTCAGCATGGCAAGACTGCTTATAGTGTTCTTCCCAGATCTGTCCATCAGACTGAATGAGATTCTCACTAGACTCTCTAGTAAACACTCCTGTACCTACTCTCCCCTGCCACTCCTGAAACCTCAGCAAAACTAAAACTGATACAGGTGCAGTGGCAGGGAGTAGAGGTAGGAGTAGGAGTGGGGATGCAGAAGATGCCTCTGTCCTTTAAGACCCAGGCAGAGATGCTTCTTTTCTATTATTTATTTAATTTTAAATTTTTATTTATTTTTTTTGAGACAGAGACTCACCCTGTCACCAAGGCTGGAGTCCAGTGGCACAATCTCGGTTCACTGCAACCTCTGTATTCTAGGTTTAAGCGATTCTCCTGACTCAGCCTCCCGAGTAGCTGGGCAGGTGCCCACCACCATGCCTGGCTAATTTTTGTATTCTTAGTAGAGATGGGGTTTCACCATGTTGGCCAGGCTGGTCTCGAACTTCTGACCTCAGGTGATCTGCTCGCCGTGGCTTCCCAAAGTGCTGGTATTACAGGTGTGAACCACCGTGCCTAGCCTGTTTTCTGTTCTTTTAAAAATGGGTTTATTAAGATATAATTAACACACTAAACAACTCATCCATTTAAAGTGTACAATTCAATGGTTTTTAGTGTATTCAGAAAGCTGTGCAACCATTACCATAGTCGATTTTAGAATGTTCTCATCATCCCCAAAAGACATTCTGCACTCTTTAGCCATTACTCTCTATTTTCCTGAAGCCTAGGCAACCACTAACCTACTTTCCGGCTCTATGTTTGCTTTTTCTGGACATTTCATATGAATGGAATCATACAATATGTGGTCCTTTTTGACTAGCTTCTTTCATTTAGCATAATCTTTTTAAGTTTCATCTATATTGTAGCATATACCATATTTTTTATTGTTGAATAATATTACCAAATTTTATTTATCCATTTATCAATTGATGGGCATTTGGGTTGTTTATACTGTTTGGCCATTATGTATAATGAACATTATAATGCTATGAACATTCATGTAGAAGTTTTTGTGTAGACTTATATTTTCATTTCCCTTGAATATACACCTAGGAGTAAAACTGCTGGATTATACAGCAACTCTATGGTTAACCATTCGAGAAACTGCCAAACTGATTTCCAATGGCTGCGTGATCCTACCAGCAGGGTATGGGTTGCAATTCCTCCACATTGTTGCCATCTCTAGTTATTGTCTTTTTCATTATAACCATCCCAGTGGGTATAACTGGTGTCTCACTGTGGTTTTGATTTACATTTCCCGAATGATTAATGATGTTGAGCATCTTTTCATGTATTTATTTGTCATCTGCGTATCTTCTATGAAGAAATGTCTATTAAGATCTTTTGGCCGGGCATGGTGGTTCATGCCGGTAATCCCAGCACTTTGGGAGGCCTAGGCGGGTATATCCCAAGGTCAGGAGATCGAGACCATCCTGGCTAATACGGTGAAACCCCATCTCTACTAAAAATAAAAATTAAAAAATTATCTGGGTGTGGTGGCGGGCACCTGTAGTCCCAGCTACTCAGGAGACTGAGGCAGGAGAATGGCTTGAACCTGGGAGGCAGAAGTTGCAGTAAGCCGAGATTGCGCCACTGCACTCCGGCCTGGGTGACAGAGCGAGACTCCATTTCAAAAAAAAAAAAAAAAAAAAGATCTTTTGCCCATCTTTTAATTGCCTAATCCACAATCACAAAGACTTACACCTATGTTTTCTTGTAAGAGTTTTTTAGTTTTACATTTGATTAATCAATCAATTTACTTAAAGTTTTTTTTTGTGTGTTTGTGTATGGTGCAAGGCAGGGTCCAACTTCATTCATATTTTTTTTTTCCAGCACCATTTGTTTAAAAGATCATTCTTTCCCTATTAAATGGTCTTGGCACCCTTGTTAAAAAATCAATTTACTATAAATATGAGAGTTTATTTCTGGACTTTAGATCCTATTCCATTGATCTGTATGTCACCTATCCTTAAGCCAATAACATACTACATTGATTGGTGTAGTTAAGATATAAGCTTTAAAATTGGGAGGTGTATGTCTTTCAACTTTGTTCTTTTTATTTCAAGATTTATTTTTGGCTATTCTGGGTCCCTTGAATTACCATATGAATTTTAGGATGGGTTTTTCCATCTCTGCAGAAAAAAAAAAAGGTTCTAGGGATTTTGACAGGCATTGAATTGAATCTGTAGATCATTTTGGTGAGTACTGCTATATTAACAATATTAAATCTTCTGATCCATGAAAAGGGGATGTCTGTTCATTTATTTAAATGTTCTTTTATTTCTTTCAACAATGTTTTGTAGTTTTCGGAGTATAAGAACTATATTTCCTTGATTAGATTTATTTTAAGTATTTCATCCATTCTGATGTTACTTTAAATGGAACTGTTTTCTTAATTTGACTATAAGTGTGTTAATCAATTAAGTATATAAAATACAATTTATTTTTGTACACTGATCTGGTATACAGCCTTACTAATTTATTAGTTCAATAGTTTTGTAGTGGAGCCGTAGAATCCTACATACAAGATTACTGCAAGTATAGATACTTTTACTTCTTCCTTTCCAATGTGAATGCCTTTTATTTAATCTTTTTTCTAATTCTGTGGCTAGAACCCCCAGTACAATGCTGTATAGCAGTGGTGAGAACACACATCCTTGTCTTCTTCCTGATCTTAGTCAGAAAACTGATTTTTTTTTTCTTTTAACCATTCAGTGTAAAGTTCTGGCTTTTTTTGTAGATGCCTTTTAGTTCCCTTCTATTTCTAGCCAGTTGAATGCATAAGGATTGTCAAATCTTCTCAAATGCTTTTTCTGCATCTATTGAGATGATCACATGGGTTTTGTCCTTTATTCAGTCAACATGATGTATTACATTAATTGATTTTCAGATATTAAACTCACTGTACATTTTGGGGACAAATTCCACTTGGTAATGGTGAATAATCCTTCTTACATACTAATGAATTTGGTTTCCTAGTACATTTGTCCCTTGGTATCTGCAGGGGATTGTTTCCAGGACCTCCCAAGGATACCAAATCTTTGCGGGCTCAAGTCCCACAGTCAGCCCTGTGGAACCCATGGATAGGAAAAGTCAAGTTCTGTGAGTTCCACATCCCATAAATACCATATATTTTTATCTGAGATTGGTGGAATCTGCGGATTCAGAACCTGTGAATATGGAGGGCCAAATCCATTTTGTTGAGGATCTTTGCTCTTATATTCCTAAGGGATACTGGTCTGTGGGTTTCTTTCCTTGTGATGTATTCGTGGCTTTGGAATCAGGCATGAACTGTTTTTTTGTTTTTGTTTTTTGAGATGGAGTCTTGCTCTTTTGTCCATGCTGGAGTGCAATGGCACGTCTCGGCTCACTGCAACCTCTGCCTCCTGGGTTCAAGCAATTCTCCCTGCCTCAGCCTCCCGAGTAGCTGGGATTACAGGTGCCTGCCACCACGCCTGGCTAATTTTTGTATTTTTAGTAGAGACAGGGTTTCGCCATGTTGGCCAGGCTGGTCTCGAACTCCTGATCTCAGGTGATCCACCCACCTCGGTCTCCCAAAGTGCTGGGATTACAGGTGTGAGCCACCGCGCCCGGCCAAACTGGTCTTATAGTTTGGAAGTGTTCTCTCCTAATTTTTGGAAGAGTAGATGAAGAATTAGTATTAATTATTCTTTAAGTATTTGGTAGAATTTATCAGTGAAACCGTTTGGGTCTGTGCTTCTCTTTGTTGGTAGTTTTAAAATTACCAGTTTACCCTCTTTACTTCTTATAGGTCTATTCAGATTGCCTATTTCTTCTTGAGTCAGTTTCAGTAGTTTCTGCCTTCCTAGCAATTTGTCCATTTCATTTATCTAATTTGATGACATACAGTTGTTGTATGTAAGTATTCCCTTGTAATTCTTTTATTTCTTAAGATAATGTAACCATTCTCTTTCATGATTTTAGTCATCTAGCTCTTTTGTCTTTTTTCTTGTTCAGTATAGCTAAGGTTTGTCAATTTTGCTGATTTTGTCTAAGAACCAATTTTTGGTCTCATTGATTTTCTCTACTATTTTTCCATCCTCTGTTTCTTTAATTTCTGCCCTAATCCTTATTATTTCCTCCATTCTGCTTGCTTTGCAGAAGCTTGTTTGGTCTTCTCAGCTTGTCTCTCCTGGTATGGAACCTCTGTCCTACTAGAGAGCTAGGGCCAGGGCAATTAGGGCCCTAGGATTCTCAACTTTCCGCACTTGGCATAAAGCCTCTGTCCTGTAAGTGGGGGCTGACTGAAGTAAGGGAGCCCTCAACTTCTCAGCTGCATTCATTAGGAATTTAACCTCTCCAACTTGGATTAGGAGAAGATGAGAAATCTCACAGCCTGTCCCTTTTGGTGAGATACCATAACTGGTGATTGGGAGCCGAGGGGGAGTAGTCCTATCTTCTTGGCCACACCCACCTGAGTGAAACCTCTGTCAAAACTATAGTTCACTGCCACAGACCCTTCTTGCTATTCTTACCAAGTTTTCATAGATTTTCTTGAATAAATGTTTCTTCATTTGGTGTATGACCTTAGGACAGTTTCCAGACACTTTAAGTGTTTCAAATATTTAATAGTTTTTATGTATAGTTTAAAAAAGAGTTTTCATTTGGTTTGCTTGTTTTCTTGGGAGTTGATCTACAAAGCTCTTGCGTTGTTATCCTGAAAGTAAAACCAATTTGCTATTTTCTTCCTACAATTATTATCCAGCTTAACTGCTCTATCTTAGCCTGCAGAGTTTTAGAAATGATAAATCACAGTGTCAAGAATCTAACAGCATACCAAACTGGTATAATCATAGAGAGAGGAATTATTTTAAGTTTAAAGACCAACATTTTTACTATATAGTTGAATATACCTAAAACAAAAACTTCAAAGAAACTGTAAGCTGCACTCAGGACTAGCATTATTTCTAGTAATATTACAGTCTTATTTTCAAACACATTGATATATACATATTATATGTTTGGATAAAGCAAATAAGTAATTGCATTAATGCATTTAGACCAAAATATTTGGCATAAAACAAAAAAGATATAAGTATAAAAATCAAAGAATAAACTTGTAATCTTAAATTTGAATGGAAAGTATCAGTATGATCTCACAATTTATTTTTCTCATTCTAAAATATTATATACTTTCTAGATTTGTCCACTGGAAAGGTCTAGATGCAATGAACACCCTAACACTCAGACTGTGGTCTCTAAATACAAGATGGGACAGGAAATATGTATTGTGGACATGGAACTCTGTTAAAGCAAGCTGTCAAATACTAATGGGGATGGGTCAAAAGGACTCAGAACCACCTGAAGGGGCTTCCACTGGCCAAAGATAGGACAGTTTGAATATTAACAAGTATGTGAATGCAAAAATTTTTTTTATTTTTTATTTTTTAAAAATTTTTTTATTTTTATTTTTATTTTTTTTTCGAGACGGACTCTCGCTCCGTCGCCCAGGCTGGAGTGCAGTGGTGCGATATCAGGTCACTGCAAGCTCCGCCTCCCAGGTTCACGCCATTCTCCTGCTTCAGCCTCCCGAGTAGCTGGGACTACAGGCGCCCGAAACCACGCCCGGCTAATTTTTTTGTATTTTTAGTAGAGACGGGGTTTCACTGTGTTAGCCAGGATGGTCTTGATCTCTTGACCTCGTGATCCGCCCACCTCGGCCTCCCAAAGTGCTGGGATTACAGGCGTGAGCCACCGCGCCCGGCCGTGAATGCAAAAAATTTAAGCACAAATATAGAAAAATCTATGCATTCATACTACACTAAAAAAAATAACAAACCTATATATCTCAGTCATCTTTGGAAGTTTCTGGGATGTTGTGATCCACATTCGGATTCCCTTTTAGGAATGAACAATTGCCTCTGCTGAAGACAGCTGCTTTGCCCAACACCATGCCCCATTCTAGGAGCAGCCCACAACCAGTGGCCATCCAACATGCAGGTGGAAAGGTCTGTTCTCCTCACTCCTATTGGAAAGCAGCTCTGAAGCACCATACTAGTTTGAGAACTGTCATTCATAAGATGGCAACAAAATTCAGCTTCTCCTCTGCACAATCCTGCTTCCTTCATTTGCCTTTGATTACAAGAGCACTCTGTAATAAAATGCCATCTAGTCAATTTCCAGTACTGCCCATTCTCTAAGTTTAAATCACAAAGATAACTTTAAGTAATATTTTCAAAAAATCCCATGGGCACATCCAGACTATGTAATTTTAATCATCAGGAATCTACGAGAAAGGAAATACAACATATGATTACAAACACTCTTTAGTGCCAGATATGCTTAACACCAACATCTGTGTGACCACAGTAACACCGAGTGATAATAAACTAATATTACAATTAATAACCAAACAATTGTCTAAGCAGCACTTTTTAAAACATGGATCATCCTAAAAGCATCGCGTAAGGTTGACAGTAGCACCTTTGGCTTGGGAAAGTTTCAAAAACTGTTTAAGTTTGGGATTCAGCCACATTACCAACACACACACATACACACAATTTCTCTGGAATACGGGGGAGTGAATCAAGTTATACCAACGATTCCATTTGAATCAGCACTAACAGGATTATCACAGACCTGGGTAATAAAAATAAACTTTCTTCACTTCTCACCCAAACATGAATTCCTGCAAACTTGAGGTGAACTGGAAAATGACTTTTGGAAAGCTAACACGCTTTTATGGAGATGCAGAATGTTATTTTACCACACAATTAAACCAAACGGGGGTATGGACTGAAAGTTCATTAGTCGTGGTAAAATAATTTAGCGAATCGAGGTCAGTATTAAAAAAAAAAGATCTGCAAAGATGTTTTCAGTGTTTCACTATTGTTTTACATGTTTGCATAGGTATGTGGTGTACGTGTGAGTACACGGGGCCTCACATAAAATGTATTTCTTTCTTTGCATCGGGGTAAAAGGTGTTTGAAAATGTCTCAGGTTCTGCTCCCCAAAGCCTGCAGCACAGGCGGCGGCGGTGAGGTCGCCGATCCCCAGCGGGGCGCCCCTCCCCTGCCTCGCGGTACTTACGAAGGAGTCGCTCACGACCAGCACCACATTGGGCGCTTTGGCTGCTCTCCGCCTCTGCTCCCCTGCTCCGGGGGCCAGTACCGCCAGCGCCAAGGCTGCGACCACCGACACCCACAGCAGTAGCATCGCCGGTAGCGGTTCTGAGAGCCTGCCGCCGGGCCAGCCGCCTCCCTCTGGCGTTCTCTCCCTAGCAGAGCAGGGCAGGGACAGCGAACAACTCCCAAAGCTTGCAGTTTGGTTGCTTGATAGTAACGCCGAGCTTCACCCGCAGAACTACAACTCCTATCAGGCGGAGAGCGCGCACATGCGCAACAGAGAAATTCCCGCTTTTACCCACGTTAAGACCTTTTAATCAAATACCGAGCAAATCAGAACCCAGCCACTTCCAGTCACGTGAATGAGTCCTGGGAAAGGCGCATGCGCTCTCATTGCAGCCTCGGCGTTTGTAGAAGAGGAGCATCTGCTCCAGGTGGGTTTGGATTTCTGTCGGTTTTGCACAAGGGATCCTAAAGGCGATTGAAATGGTACTTAGAGAAAGAAAGGATCGGGGCCGGGGCTGTTCATTTTGGGCCGCGCAAGCGTGGCTGAGTGTTCGGCGAGAGCGTGAACTGGGCGGCGATGAGGTGGCGGCGCGGCTGTCACTTAAGTTGAATAGGGCGGTGCCTTGTGGGGCCTCTGGGTGGACCGCCTCAGGTGCGCCGTGAATGCCTTAGACCCCCCCGAATACCTTCCCAGGGAAATCTCTAGCCTGTCTCATCTTATTGCTTCTCTTACCCCGTGCAGTCAGGATTTACTGTGCTCCCATGGGGCGAGGAGCGGGGCCTAGTAAGAAGTTTCAGGCTGTAGGCAGGGGAAAGCATAGCTGTTCCTTGCCTTCAGAGAGCAAAGGAGATAAGCGAAACTGGAGGGGGAAATGGGCTGTGTGACATGTTCAGTTAGTTGACGTAGGTTCAGAATATCATTGTTTTGCTGCAGAATAAAAACCGGTCTCTTTTGACTGTTGAATTCCTTTGGAGAGTTCTGGAAGAAGCAGATTTCTGTCCCAAAGCCAAATTCCAATTTCTGTATCTAGTTTCGGGTATATAATTTGCACATCACACTAGTAGTTTTAATATTCTGACAGTTAAAAGAGGAGTTATACTACTTACTTAAGTCAACTGAATACTAATATCTGGCAGGTTTTTTTTTGCCTAAGATAATTGTAGTAAGGAACAGATTTGTTTATTTAATACTCACATGGCACTTAGGTGCTGAGCGTTATACTAAGCATTTACTGAGCATCTGCTGCGTGCCACGTACTTTTATATGGAATATTTTCTATAATCCTCACTTTCACCATATTGCAGATAGGAAAACAGGCTTAGAGAGGTTAAATGACTGGCCTGAGTTTACACAGGGAGCCAGTCAGAGCACGACTGAAAATTGAAGAGTCTGTGCCGTAACTCACTAAATGCTCTGTCTGCAGTTAGTTTATCTGTTAGTGTAGCAGAATTGTTACTCAAGCAGCATGATAAAGATCTGCGGGAGCATGCAAAAACGTAAACAGTGTTGGGCGCGGTGGCTCACGCCTGTAATCCCAGCACTTTGGGAAGCCGAGACGGGCGGATCACCGAAGGTTAGGGGTTCGAGACCAGCCTGGCCAGCATGGTGAAACCCCGTCTCTACGAAAAATACGCAAAATACTGGGCGTGGTGGCGGGCGCCTGTAATCCCAGCTACTAGGGAGGCTGAGGCAGGAGAATCACTTGAACCCAGGAGGTGGAGGTTGCAGTGAGCTGAGATCGCACCTTTGCACTCCGCCTGGGCAACAAGAGCAAAACTCCATCTCAAAAAAAAAACAAAAACAAAAAAACCCCTAAACAATAGTCTCAGTTTACATGAGTTTAGATTTCAGGGAAGCAAAACCAAGCATACATGAAATAATAATACAGCACGGAAGGTAATACAAGTGGGCTCTCTCATAAAAACAAATTTGTTTTGAGTTAATTTGGAATGTAGAACGTATTTTCTACCATAGTGACAATATTGACTGACATTTAAATTCATAAAAGTTATATTTAATTTTGTGTCTGATTCCATAAACTGTGCTTACTCTCTACAGCCTTGTTTCCACAGGACATGTACTCTGATGACAGGCTTACAAGAATACATCTTTTTCTTCTTTCTCCCCTTGGCAGTGTCAATAGGAGCAGGTGCTGCAGTGATTTGGAGCAAGACAGATATTTTAGAGCCTTAGAGACGTTGTGCTGGAAGAATCTAAGAGGCTTCTAGTCCTACTTCCCATCTGACATTCAGTTTATCCTAAAACATTCCTGCTGAGTGGATTGTCCAGCCTGTGCTTTTTCATCTCCAGTGATGGGAAACACTTCCATTGAGTACCTCATTCCACATTTATATAGGTCTCATTAAAAGTTCCTATTTTAAGTTGAAGTTAATCTTCCTCTATTTTTAACCATTCATTAGTGCATTTTTCTTCACTTTTACATGGATAATCTCTCCCTTTCAACAGTCCTTCCCCCAACTCCCTCGCCACCATTTATTTATTTTTCCTAGTCCCCAGTTTCTTCAGCTAGTTCTCATAATTTCAGGTTTCCTCATTGTTTTGATTACTCTTTTGTGAACGTACAACATTTTTGCTAATCAGTAATTCTATGCTATCAGAAAAGGTACTCAAGAGAATGTAACCATTTGCCTCACTGCCTACTTCCCTCCCGCCATTTTTCACTCCTGCATGCTCTCCTCTAGAATACTGAGTTCCGAAAGCCCTCTTTGGAAAGTGTGGGTCACAGATGCTTCTGTGGCTTGTTTTTCCCCAGGCGTGTGCTCAAAGTGTGGCTCAATAAACATCTACTGATTGAGACACTTCCCTCAGTCACTCATTTTTTTGTTAACACTGGTAAGCCTTGGAAGCTGGAAGATCATTAGCTATTTATTGAATATGTATTATCCAGTAAGTGTTGGGTATATAAGAAGCTCTGAAAATATAAGACTTACGTCTAAGAATTTATTGAATTGGGAGACATAATTGAATTATGTCTATATAGGATAATAAAAATAATATTTGTTAAGTTGCAGTTGAGTAGCTCAGTTTGGAGGTTTGGAGGAGGGAGTGATCCCTGTTGTAGGCTGTACTCTAGTATTCATGTAGTGTAGTAACTAATATGAAGAGGGTACTCATGTTTGATGATAGCTGTCTTGAGGAATACAGATGCTTCTTATGGTGGGTTACACCATGATAAACCCATTTTAACTTGAAAATATTGTACGTCAAAATGCATTTAATATGCTGATAAGCCCATCGTAAAGTCAAAAAATTGTAAGTTCAACCATTTGTAAGTCAGGGGCCGTTTGTATAGGTAAGAAGTTTACTTCTTGAGAGAGCAAGGAAGAAGGAGGTTGCAGGACGGTTGGGGATTTGAATGTGTAGGGAAAATTTTTAACACTGAGTTATCACACTAGTTGTTTTAGGAATGGCAAGTAGCAAAGTTGATTGAGAGAATAATAGTAGATAGGACATTATTAGTATAGATTATGTCCAAGTACTCCATCTATGTGTGTATCAGGTAAGTGATGTAATTCTTACTTTACCAGTGAGGAAATGGGCTTTGAGTAATGAAGTCATGTACCCAAGGCCTAATGGCTTTGATCCTAGATCCATTTGATTTCCTAAGCTCACTCTCAACTAGGGTAAGCCTTGGTGGGTGGATATGACAGAGTAAAGGGGCTGACAGGATCTAGGGTACTTTGTAAGAACAGAGTTGAAGTGACTGAGTGATAAAACTAGATTGGGTGAGGAGGGCAGCCAAGTGTTAGCAGGGCTAAAGAAGCCAGTGAAATAGTCAAGTTTGTACTTTTTTTTCTTTTTTAACTATTATCTTACTTTCCTAAACATTGTTTGGATTACCATACTTTCTTTTCTTACCAGTAAGACTTTCTACTGTTGGAGTGACACTTCTATTTCGGTAGATCACTAATGAGTGTTTTGGTTAGGGAAACTTTTCATTCCTTGTTCATCCCTACCTGCCTCACCTAAACATTGTTTACTTCCTAGTTCTGAAGTAGCATGTTTTTTTTCACTTTATTCAGTTTTTCAAAACCACTTCCATTCTCTGCAGGGACCATTCTAGATTGTTTTTTGTTTGACAGAAGCCACTTCAGGGATGCTATCAAAATATCCTTAGAATTTGTAGATGTGTAGTTGTGTTACTATTTTTAATGACTATTTAAATGCATTGTTAACATTAAAAAAATTTCTCTGTTTTCATTAGATTACAAACTAATATAATTGTATTATATTATACTCCTTATGTTCCTTAGAGAAAAGTTCTATTCTAATATAATTAGGCTGCAAATTGGGTGTAAATAAGTACCCTTAGTTGTCTGTAGATGTCCTTGATTCAAAGCAAAAATGGCACAGAAATAGTAGATATTCTTCTTTGGCTCTATTTTTTTATATTGACATCAGTGTATTTTGGGTTTCTGAAATGGTTTCTCAAAATCCTTCTGATCTCTTGTAGAAGTTTCCTTTTATCATCTGAGGCCCAGGAATATAGTTTAGACCAATTCAGAAGTTTGGAGATTAAGAATAGTGTCTCTCTGGGAAAGAATAAAAATACTAAAAATTATACATAATTATTTCTCATGTTTTAAATTATGAATTATGAAAATTGATGCGTTAAAAAGTTTAGAAGGTTTTGGGTTGTGGGTGTCATCCTTTTTATATGATTGTCTCATACTTGTTTTTGTTTAATTTAGATGGAAAATGGGTAAGGAACAATCAAATTCAATTCGGGAAGAATATAGAGGTGGTAATAATTGGTAAAAGGTAAGTGTCTACAATGCTAAATAATAAATTGGAATCTATTTTTACTTAATGATTGTTTTTACTCATTCCTTTCAGAAGAAAGATTTAATGGCATAGTTTTTTTTTTTTTTTTAATGTCAGACTATGGGTCATTACAAAATACCTTTTGTTATTAGATTTAAAGATATCGTTTTTTTTCCTTTCTGTAATTAGCTTCCGTTGTCATTATCATTACTATTTATTATTATTGTTGTTTTAGCTTTGTGGAATCTTTGTATGAGCATATTGGAATATTATTTAAGGTTTCATAGCCTCAACTGGGGACATATATATCATACCTATATATGTTGTCCTTGAGGAATATCATTGCCTTTATGGCATGACTGTCACTTTCTAACTCTTTTTAAGTGCAGTTGTTGCCACTTTTTATTCTTGATTTATGTTGGATAAAAATATTTTGGGTTGGTAGTAGAAAAACTTGAGTGAAAACGTACAAAATGAATACTCTTATTTAAAAAAAGACAGTTGAGATTGAGGAGAATAGTGGGAGGAGAGGTATAAGGCGGAAAGAATTAATAGGGAGTTATATTGTGGAAGAATATTAAAGACATCTCCCTCTCTTGCAAGAGAGCTAGATGTTTCTTTGACGTGTTAGAAATCCTTACAATGAAGGGAAATATCCAAAATAGAGGAGTATGGGGTTACGTGGAATCATTTTGGGTAGTAGGTTTTTACCCTCGGAAGGAAAATGGGTTTAAGTGGTACCTAGTAGATGGTTGGATCTCAATAAGGGTTTGTTTAGAAAATTGGTGAATGGACGTTTCCCTTTCCCCTCAAAAATAAAAATAAAAATTAAAAAAAAAGGAAGTAGTAGTTTTTAGGGTTGAAAAGGGGCAGATTATTTTGTCTTTTTACAAATTAAACTTCTGAAACTTACGTACATATATGTGTGTATGCATGAGTGAGAGAGGACCTCAGTGCTAGCGTATTGTGTTAAATGTTGCATCAAATGAAGAAGGAATTGGAAGAGAATAGAGGGTTCCATTGTAGCATGAAGAATTGTAATTACATATGGAGACATACAGATACTGAAGGACATTTAATATTAGAATTGATTACCAAGAGAAAAATGGTGTTTGTTTCTATATAGTGGTCTTTAAAAACAACCTACTTAAAAATTACTAATGGCTTCCTATTTGCTGCTGTATTTAACTTCACACTTGTCTGTTTGACTTTCAGGATCTGTAATCTGAGGCTCTATTTACCTACCCAACCTAATTTTCTTCTGTTTAATAAGTCCCTTCTGATCCATTCAGCCTGGCTTTCTCACTGTTTCCTATACTTGCCACAACTCATTCCCACTTCTGTCACTTTGCTAATGCATTTGCCTCTGAGTAGAGCAATTTTCCTTCTTCACTCCATTTTTAAGTCTTGTCATCTTCTATTAATAGAAGCCATTAATAACATCACACCACACACCTTTCCTTCTCTAAATTCCTATTGCACTTCCACTCATTACCCTTAGTTTAGCATTTGATTATTGAATGACTTATATGTCTTAAGTCTTTCTCTTGATTTAGATTATATTCTTTATATATTTTTTATATCGTGCACAGCAAATAGCTTGGGGGCTGCATGTAGTTTAGTAGTGGTTGGTCCTGCCTTGTTTGTATACATACCCTCATGAATGTTGGGTGATAGAAGAGATGGTGAACTTCCTCCTTATGTAATGGTTGTGGTCTTTTGTTTGTTTTTAATTTGAGACTGTTTTTGTTCCTTTTCAATTTGGACATCTTTTGATTTTTTTACTTGAGTGTCTCTTTTTGTCTCTTTTTATTGATCTAGATCAGTTGTCATCATCCTTGATGTTATTTTCTTCTTTTTAGTCTGCAGGGTTTTTTTTAACCAAAGGAAACTGGTTTGAGAAAATTGTGAAATCAGCATTGAAATTTGTTACCTACTCCAATCAAGATTTGCAAACTACAAAAAAATCATTCTGAAGCTTTCACCTATAAATATATACCAAGATAATTTCAGATAAGGTAGTAGTTTCTAAAGCAAGAACATATGAAATATGGTGCTTTAAATTATATAATTATTGTAACTAGGCAAAAAAGTTACTTATCTGCCTATTTAGGGAATCTGGTTCTAGCTGTAGATAAATTGATTTTATGGTATCTTAATTTTTCTATTATTTTGAATCCTAACATTTTTTAAGTCAAAAAGATTAAAAAATATGTATCTAACTTCTCAAACTTCTTTGGTCTCATACTTCTGTGTTAGCTTCTTCTTTGGATATAAAGGACTGTCAGTGTACCATGTCAGTGATTCATCTTTTTGGTACATTTTACTCCCTTGAGCATCTGAAGCCTATAAATACTTAATATTTACCCCAGCTTTGTTTTACCTTTCTATGAGATTAGAGGAGCTGACAGAAAATACAAATATTTCTTTTTTTCAACATTGAATTATGATTGAATTAGACTTGTTTATAGGTAAGCCAGAATAAGTTGTGTAATCTTAAAATATGCTAATTTATTTAAAATTAATATATCTTAAGACTAAATGAAGAAATACTTTCTCTACTAATTAAAATATCTTTTTATGGCTGAAATTAGTATACAACCCTTTTGCATTATCCATTGCTTCCATTCAAGTTTAAACATTGTTTTTCTTTAGAAAAAGTACAGGTAATAAACCTACAGTAATCCTTATTGTGAAGAAAGTTAATATCTTGATTTATGTTTCACAGAAACTAGCATTAAAACAATGCTTTCTTAAACTTTCATATCACAGTCACTGAAATTATTTGTGTTAGTGTTTTATCTGTGACTTGGGCTTATTCTACTGGATCTAGCTTTGTATAGAGTGGGAGAGTTGGATTGAGATTGGTATGTGTTTTGAGTCCTGATCAACAAGATCATTTGTATTTTAGCCAAAATATATAGAGAATGAATGTAAATAAAATATAACTCAATTTCAACACTTATTAATTGATCATCTATAATTTAAGATACTAGGTCCTGGGGATGCGGCAGTGAAAAAAAAAATTCTTGCCTGCATGGAACTTAGCTTCTTGTGGGGTTGGGACCCAGAAAATAAACAGGATAAATAAGTAGAATATATAGTATATTAAATGTGACAAATGCTTTCAAGAAAAATAAAGCAATGGAAGGGGTTCCGGAAATAATGGGTTGTTGAGAGTAGGGGGATGGCAAGATTAAAATGTTAAATAGCATGTCAAAGGAAGGTTTCATTGAGGAAGTGACATTTGAGTACAGATCTGAAGAGGTTAAGGAATAAACTGTGTATATTCTAGAGGGAAGACTGTTCCAGAGAGAAGGAGTCTTTTCCTTTTCCAGGGTCCCTTTTCAGATGGCTAAGTTTGTTGGAACATTTACGATTGGGTAGGTATTACTGTAGATTTACTCAGGCTTTCTGCCTTGACAGAATGTCCAGCAAGGAAGTGAAGACTGCTCTAAAAAGTGCTAGAGATGCAATCAGAAACAAAGAATACAAAGAAGCTTTGAAACACTGTAAGGTAACCAGTATTTTTTTCTTCCACAATGAAAGTATGTTACCCATTTATAAACATTGTTGATTTGTAATATGTGAATTATTTCCTGTCCAAACAGCAAAAGTGGTAAGGCCATTTAGTAGAACCATTAGAATGGTTGGACTTTTAACCTCTAGTTAGCAGGATAAACTACCTCTGCCAAACTTAACTTTCTCTGTATTGGTAACTTAACAAAACCAAGTTCTTAAAACCTGAATATCCCATAAATATCTTTTGATGGTTGTATCGTGGAATGCTACTGTATCTTAAAGTTTTCATTGTTTAATGGCATGTTAGTGTTCTATTTCTATTTGGTTTGTGGATGAGAGGACCAAGATTATAAAGCTTATTTTTATGCTGATGGGTATGATTCCATTCAGAGGGAGAAATTGGACTCGGGGGAGAGACAGAGGGTAGTGGTAGGAGTGAAGTCATCAGTAGGTGAGAGACACACTGGGATCCAGAGCTTGAGGGAGCCCTTTAATCCTTCTTCCATCTTAGCAGGAGAGAAGATAGGTGCCCATCCATACAGTGTTGGGCTTATAGATTTGGTGTTGGGAAAAGCTTTCTTCTCTAATGGCTTCTATTTTCTTGGCAAAGTATAAGATGAGACTGGGAGAAGACTTGGTTATTGGTTAGGAGGTTTGAGATAGCAGAAGGTATGAAATAGTTTCTTTCTTTGTTTTTTTTTTTGTTTTTTTTTTTTCTCATGGTGGGAAAAGAAACTTGCTAGTAAGGATTGGAAAGATTAGCAGGCCCTAGTGATTGCCCATTTGAAGTTTCAAGCTATTAAAGTGAAATTAGTGAACTCCGCTGTAGTTTTTCTCTTTGTATTCAGTTTCTCAGGTTTGGAGATGGGCATGATGGGGTTCAAGTATGGATGGAGAGAAAGAAGAAAGGAAAGACATGCAAAGGAAAGACATGACAAGGGAGTGATGACAGTGGTGAGCCCTGGAGTCTAAGCTGGGTAAAGAGGAATGAGAAATGAGAGGTGGGCTGATAGGCAATGGAAAAAGCGTTTAGGATAGAAAAAATTAGAGAAACCAAAGGTTAAAGATTTGTTACCATGGGACCACTACAGTAATTGAACTGGGACGGTTAGAGAGGAGCAGAATAGTACTGTGCTGGAAATTCAGATTTTGGATGGGTGAGTAGTGTGGTGGTCACATAACTGAGAGGCCAGAGTGTTCAACGGGATATCAACATGAATACAGGCACTGAGGTGGAAAAGAAGGATACAGAATTTTCACTGAAGGAAAGGGGAATTAGGAAGGTGGTAGACTGTAGCAACAAGAAGGCTATTTTTAGTAGTATAGTTGGATGGCCTGAGCTTCAAAGGTAGTGGGGTTGCTGAAGGAGGAAGGAGCAGTAGAGGACTGTAGGTGACAGACAGTGTGAGCAAGAAGCAGTTTCTCACCTTCTAGGCCTGTGGCATGTGAGCTGTAAAAGAAGTCATCTGCAATCTGTAGGATGTATAGGGGAATTAGCCATGTTTTCATTGAGGCAGAACTTGGTGTGGTTAAAAGAAAGGTTAAAAATATGGAAGGAACTTGGCTGACCCAGATTGGGAGTTCCAGAGGGCACAATGAAGAATTTAGGAGAGTGGTAGGGAGGGAATTGGGCAAGACTGGGCAGTATACATGGCAATATGAGGATGAGTCTAAGGAGTAAACAGGTAAAGGATACCCTTGTGAGGTTTAGGTTTCTGGTGGTGACTGATGGAGCCCAGCAGGGATGCAAGGACGTGATAGTATTAATCTTGATATAGAAGAAGGTGGGCAGTGTGTTCCAAGTGGGGACAGGTTGTGGATGGAATACAAGAAGGGAAGAAGGACTGTTTCCTTCAGCACTAGGTTTATCTAATTGATGCACGTTTCAGTTATATACAGCACCACCATAGCTGTCTTCTTCCTGTAGACTTTCTGCAAAATTCAGATATTAATTCCACCAAATAGTTAATAATTTATACTAGAGAGACCCAATTAGAAAATGCAAATGGATAGCTAATCAGTTATAAATGCCTGATTACTAATGTGTAGTAACCCAGAATATTGGTTGAGACTAAATGAATTTTTGAGTAAAGGAATGTTGCATTTGCTGTGGTTTTGTCTGATCATCACCTTGTCTGCCTGTGGCGCTTTATCACATGGTATGAGTATCCCTTCAGGGAAGCCTTCTCCAGTTTATGCAGAGTTCGGTACTTTTTTCTCTATGTTCTTTCAGAATCTCATACCTGCCTTCACCACATTGTTGATAATCATTTTCTTAAACATCCATTTTGGATTCTGAAAACCTGGTCATCAGGCAGATAGTCAGTACTTAACTAATTGCTGGTTGAGTATGGCATTTTGTTCAGCTGTTAAGTGCCAGCCATTGTACCTGGTGTTGGGAACATAAGCATTAATAAGGCCCCAGTGTTTAGAGCTTAACTTTGGTAGTTACATCATTGTTGTGGTTTGTTAGGAGGCAGCATTATTATGTTGAAGTCAAAATAAATAATTTTATTTTGGGAAACAAGAATTGCAATTTGGGGCATACACACACAGGCTAAGTGGTCTTTTGTATGTCTGAAGAACAAAGAGAAGATTGGCCATTTTATTGGAAAGAAAAATGTTATGTATTATTTTGAAAGAAAGCTCACTGGTACTAGAGAAGCTTTTGGGAGCTGGCAGGCTCTGATTGGTGAGTGACGATGGTAGGTAAAACTAGACTTAGAGTCATGGCAGCTACTGGGGAAAACTGGTCTTAGGGTTACAGCAGGCCCTCTCAGCAGCCGGGCTTTTGGAAAATTTAAATCTTGGAGCAGGTGCTATGAGGCCTGAGTGCCTTTTCCCCCTGGTGCTCCCTTTACTCTGACTTAGGTGACAAGAATGACCCAATTTGTGTAATCAGTGTGTTCACAGATAGAATGGAGCTTGTACTGCATATTAGGGACAGATTATTAGGAGTGTTGTGTGGAAACACTCAAGTCTAATAATATGACTCGCTTAACTCATGGAAATGTTCTTATTTTCTCTGGAATAATGTAAAACCTTAAGAGGCTAATTTCATTTTGGCTACTGGTTTTGTTTTTCTTTCCCTAGAACATACTTGCTAACTGCTTCAAGCTGTTTTATTTTACCTTTAGCAAGTAGCTGTTATTTCTGAAAGCAATTATCTCTACATATAATTTTTATTCCAGTTGGCAGGTGTTGTTTAAACATCATTGCCACTATTTATTTTGAACATATTTGGTATAATCGCACTGGGGTGAATCTACTTTCCTAGTCTTAATCTTGAGAAAAATCCATGTGTCTAATATGGGGAAACTATCATGGTGAAGGAAAATATGAGAGTTGGATTAAGTGAAATGAGATGGAGAACAGCTTTGTGAATTTGACCAGTAGCAGTATGGAGACAGGCAGGATGATTGAGTAGTTATTGTTCTTTTTATACCCAGTATTCTCAAAGAGCATGGGGAGGCATTTGGTGGAGGTGTCAGTATCCCTCGGGCAGCTTTAAAAGAAACCACCTGTTATTTCAAAGCCATTATGGTCACTCCTACAGTCCAACTCCTTCCCCTGAGGAAACTGAAACCAGATAGGTTAAATGGCATTCTGAAGTTTGCCCTGTTAAGTGGTAGATATAGATTTCCTGACTCATGCTAGACTTTCTGTTATTGTTAGTTCATTTGCTTCGAAAATTTACTAACCTACTCTTTTAATTTTTTTTAAATCAGACAGTGTTAAAGCAAGAGAAAAATAACTATAATGCCTGGGTTTTTATTGGCGTTGCTGCAGCTGAACTAGAACAACCTGATCAGGCCCAGAGTGCCTATAAAAAAGCTGCTGAATTAGAGCCAGACCAATTACTAGCTTGGCAGGTATGTAGAAATTTTTTTTTTCTGTATTATGGAAATGGATTTTTTTTTGCATTTTTCAAAATACAGGTTTCAACATTAAACTAAGCATTTAAACCTACATTTGCCCCATGTAAGAAAAAATTTAAATTTATTGGTTTTCTAAACCTAAAAGTTAGTTTAGAAAAAAAGTGGTGCAAAGGATGTTGTTTAACACTATTTAATATCCTACCTAATGGATTATTTCTAATGTGAGCACTCAAATATAAATCTCTACCTTAGTTATATGTGCATATAAAAGACTTCTCCACAATATTATTCTTTATGCTTACCTGAGGAAAAAGAAATGTTTTTTAATGTTTCCTAAAAATAAAATAATATAAAAATGTTAATGTTTCTATCTTTGAGTGCAAGTTAAATTCTTTTTTCTTACTTAGTGGCCTTAATGTTTTTACTTAGATTCTCCAACTTTTTCACATTTAATAACTTTGTTTGGTATCTCAGTCACACCTTTGAAACTGATTAATACGATGTAGTAGGCCCTGGAGGGTGTGAACCTGTTTGTCTCAGGTTCATGTGAATAAGAACTTGAGGATATCTGGTAACACAGTTAGAGAAATTGCTGCTTTTATAATGGACTGAGTGGTTTAGGATATCTGATCGTTCTTTAATGCAAAAATGACAATTTTCACAGACTACTTGATTTTTTTTTGTTTGATCATATCATAAAGGTAGTGTCACATAGATCTTAAAATTAAATCTTCTCACCTCTCCCCTGCCTCCCCCGCCACCAGTGGTAACTACGTAGCATGGTTATGTTAGTTAGCTTGATTATGGTGGTCATTTCACAGTGAATACATATATCAAAACATCAAGTTGTACACCTTAAAAACATACAATTTTTATATGTCAATGATATCACAATAAAATACTTTAGATCACATGCTGAAATTGAAAAAAATAATGTCATATAGTAATCTTAGATGGTAAGATTGTAGAATAGCCATTAAAAGTGTTTATTATTGTGAAGCACTTCTAATGAATTTTCGAAAGAAAAGGGAATGATATACCTCTTTATTCCTGTCACCCATACTCAACAATATCCACTTTACCTGTGCCCTCCGACCCCCAGCTATTATATTTAGAGGCAAATCTCAGACAGATCATTTCATTTGTAAATTATAATAATCCTTTTTCAGAAATAATCTTTATAGATTATCATATTATTTAGCAAAATAAATGAATGTGAGAACAGCAAATGTTTTAGGAAAAAGAATAATCATGAGTACTTCTTCTTTTAGGGGTTAGCAAACTTGTATGAGAAATATAATCACATAAATGCTAAGGATGACTTGCCTGGTGTTTACCAAAAGCTCCTGGATCTTTATGAGAGGTAAGAAATGTATGAGGAAAGTCCAGTTTCTTTCAAAGCTTGAATTTTAATAAACTGATTAAAAATCATGTAGAAGTATTCCAGCATTTACTGGGAATTGCGAAGCTTTTTTTTTTTTTCAAACATTTGTCGTAGAATCTTTTGTGATTAAAATAGAATCAAAACACTACTAGTAAGAGGATTGACTAATTTTGGAACTTTGACATTATTTTCAGTCAATATAATAGAAGATAATATTTCTTAAACCTTTTCTTTTTTATGAGGAGCTCATTTTAGAAAATTTTACTGTAGTATGAAAGAAGATATGTTCTAATTTAAAATAGTACCTGAAATTATTATTGGAATACTTAAATTTTAGTGTTTTAAGTCCTTGGTTATTTTTATTAATCAGATTCAAAATCCTTTTGTGTGTGTGTGTTTTGTTTTGTTCTAAGTGTTGACAAGCAGAAGTGGTGTGATGTCTGCAAGAAACTTGTGGATCTATATTACCAAGAAAAGAAACACCTAGAGGTTGGTGAATGATTTTCTGACTTCTTTTAATAATAGATGGGCTGGGCGCGGTGACTCACACCTGTAATCCCAGCACTTTGGGAGGCTGAGGCAGGCAGATCACCTGAGGTCGGGAGTTCGAGACCAGCCAGACCAACATGGAGAAACCCTGTCTCTACTAAAAATACAAAATTAGCTGGGCATGGTGGCGCATGCCTGTAATACCAGCTACTCAGGAGGCTGAGGCAGGAGAATTGCTTCAACCCAGGAGGCAGATGTTGTGGTAAGCCGAGATTGTGCCATTGCATTCCAGCCTGGGAAACAAGAGCAAAACTCCGTCTCAAAAAAATAAAATAAAATAAAATAGATGGGGTTCTATGCTTTTGCTATTTTTATATATTAACAAATTAAAAATGTTTTTATTTGCAGATTTTACATTTTTATTGGCATTTTTACATTTTGGACAAAATAATTTAAAATCTCCTTCTTTAATAGGTGGCTCGAACATGGCACAAGTTGATAAAAACACGGCAGGAACAAGGTGCAGAAAATGAAGAGCTTCATCAACTATGGAGAAAATTGACTCAGTTCCTGGCTGAAAGTACAGAGGACCAGAATAATGAAACTCAGCAATTGGTATTGACTCATTTATTCCTCAAGTTTGTTCATGAAAATTGATCATTTAATTGAATTTAGAAAATGGAAACATAATTGATCATTGTCATTTTAATTTCCATTTCCATAGTAATGTTGAACATCTTTTCATGTGTTCATTTGCACCTGTATATTTTCTTTGGTGAAGTGTGTGTTCAGATCTTTGCTCATTTTTTATTGGGTTTGTTTCTTTTTATGGAGTTTTTTTTTTAATTTTTAATTTTCATAAGTTTTTGAGGAACAGGTGGTATTTGGTCACGAGTAAGTTCTTTAGTAGTGATTTGTGAGATTTTGGTGCACCCATCACCCGAGTAGTGTACACTGAACCCAATTTATAGTCTTTTGTCCCTCACCTTCCCCCAAGTCCCCGAAGTCCATTGTATTATTCTTATGCCTTTGTGTCCTCATAGCTTAGAGTGAGAACATACAATGTTCTTATCATATGTTCACGTATGAGTGAGAACATACGATGTTTGGTTTATCATTCCTGAGTTACTTCACTTAGAATAATAGTCTCCAGTTCCATCCAGGTTGCTGCGAATGCTATTAATTCATTCCTTTTTATAGCTGAGTAGTATTCCATTGTGTGTGTATGTGTGTGTCTGTGTCTATCTATATGTATATATATCACAATTTCTTTATCCACTCATTGATTGATGGGCATTTGGGCTAGTTCTGTATTTTTGCAGTTGTGACTTGTGCCGCTATAAACATGCATGTGCAAGTATCTTTTTTGTATAATGACTTCTTTTCCTCTGGGTAGATACCTAGTAGAGGGATTACTGGATCAAATCGTAGTTCTACTTTTAGTTCTTTTTTTTTTTTTTTGAGGCAGAGTGTCACTCTGTTGCCCAGGCTGGAGTGCAGTGGTGCAATCTCGGCTCACTGCAACCTCTGCCTCCTAGGTTCAAGCAATTCTCCTGCCTCAGCCTCACAAGTAGCTGGGATTACAGGCATGTGCCACGATGCCTGGCTAATTTTTGTATTTTCAGTATAGATGGGGTTTCACCATGTTGGCCAGGCTGATCTCAAACTCCTGACCTCAAGTGACCCGCCCACTTCAGCCCCCCAAAGTGTTGGGATTACAGGCGTGAGCCACTGAGCCCAGCCTACTTTTAGTTCTTTAAGGAGTCTCCGCACTGTTTTCCATAATGGTTGTACTAGTTTACACTCCCACCAGCAGTGTAGAAGTGTTTCCTTTTTACCACATCCACACCAACATCTATTTTTTTTATTTTTTGATTATGGTCATTCTTGCAGGAGTAAGGTGGTATTGCATTGTGGTTTTGATTTGCATTTCCCTGATCATTAGTGATGTTGAGCATTTTTTCATGTTTGTCAGCCATTTGTATATCTTCTTTTGAGAATTTTCTGTTCATGTCCTTAGCCAACTTTTTGATGGGATTGTTGTTTTTTTTTCTTGCTAATTTGTTTAAGCTCCTTATTGATTCTGGATATTAGTCCATGAATTACATTGGAAATAGGACATTCAATGATAATTCAATGGATGCTCAAAAAAAAAGGATTGTATGTTAGACTAGGTGTTTTGTAAATGTACAATTTTAAATTCACAGAGGCTCTTCTAGATAAAGTCAGAATTATTGGCCTGTAGTCTCATACGGAGTCTGGATGGAGTGGAATTGGTACTCATGGTATCAGAATTTCATTCTCTTGTGTTCATAAGAATCTGCAATACATCAGTAACTTAATCACTGTAAAAAAGAAACTGAATTGGCTTTCACAAAACTGCTTATGGTGTCTAAGAAGTTATACTTTTAAAGGTGTGTTTCTTTACACTTCTGAACTAAGAGTACTGAATTACTTTGAGGTTTAACAATTCCACTGTTTAGAGTATTTATATTTAGTATTTAGAGTAAATTTAGTATTTAGTATATTTATATTTAGTATTTTTCACCTAGAAAAAAAGTCTTTATGGTGCAGATTTTAAAGTAATTGAAGAGAATTTTTGTAAGACTAAAAAATAATTGGTTTTGAACCACATTTGGAAAATATGTCTATCATTCTCCTTTTTTTATTTGTAACTTTAAAAGTCAACTTAATGTCTTATTATAGTAAATAGCTACTTAATGTACACTTGTTAAATTGAGTGGAATTTTTAAATAAACAAATATAGACTCTATATAGGATAGGAAGTTCATTTCTTTGTGTTCATTTGTTCATTTGTTCATGTGTTCATTTGTTCACTCATTAATTTGTTTATTCAGAAAATATTTATTGACTACCTATTATGTGTCAGGCAGGGTCCTAAGAGCTGGGGATAAAAATGTGAGAATAAGATTTCTTTTTTGTGTGTGATAACATGATTTATCTGTGCATAGATTCAATTGTGGAAAAAATTGAGCAGTGACAAAATTAGGTAGCTTAGCAGTTTCTCTTAAATTGTATAATATCATAATATAACTTTATTATTTTCCTTAAAATAATGTAGGTTACCAGAATATCAAACACATTTCAAAATAAGTAAAATAAC
This sequence comes from Homo sapiens, assembly GCF_000001405.40. Classification (NCBI taxonomy): domain Eukaryota; kingdom Metazoa; phylum Chordata; class Mammalia; order Primates; family Hominidae; genus Homo; species Homo sapiens. The sequence goes on along the minus strand of NC_000005.10, from coordinate 95,538,180 downwards.
TTTTTGGATGGTCTATCCCACCCTCCTCCATGACAGAGAATTAATTGTACTTAAGATTTTAAGAATCGATTTCTAACTGTTAGTAATAGATAAAAGGATGAGGGGATTTATTGTTACCTACCTTGAATACTGAGTATTTAGAAAAAAATGTATTACAGATTTTTCATTTGGAATAATTTTATTACTGTTTTTAAAAATCTTTTATGCTAGACTGTTTTGAGGTATGTTCCTTCTTTGTAAGATTGTTAACTTTATCAGGGCAGCAAAATTTTACTTATTTACATAGACTTTATACCATACTTTCCAAAGAAAATTTGAGATATTGAATTACATTATGGCTTTTTGGTATTAAGTCATGAGTATTCATTTTAAAATGCAGAACGTGTAGCCAGCTGAGTGGTATGAAGTGCTTTATACCACTTGCCTTGGATTCTAGTATTGCTGTTCTTATTCCAGACATATTTAGAAGGCCTGTTGGCCTTCAAAGCCAGTTAATACTGCATAAGAGAAGTGATGGAATGTTCTTCAGAGTCAGCTAATACTGCATAAGAGAAGTGATTTCATAACAGTTCAGTCATATCTCTGCTTTTCTTTTACCAAAAGTATCACCCAACTTTATAACTGCTTTTTAAAGGTTGAAGATTTGCTATCATTGAAGATACTTCAAAGAACGTGCTAGTGATTTCAGAATTGTTTTAAAAATGATATGTGAGCAGTAGCAGCTATACTAGCATATAAGACTATACTCTGGTTGACTACTTTGTAGGAGACAGCAGGCACTTGGAAGTGCGTTTTGTTAAATTAATGTTGTTAATGTATAGTTGTTACTTACCAGTTGAGTGCAGTTTGCTGGCCAGTTGGAGTTAGAATGCATTCCAAAACTTACATGTACATTTTTTTCCTCGTTGAAGTTGTCAGGGTTAGACTGTAGAATACATTTGCAGTTAATTGAACGTGTAGTTTGTGTAAGAGAGTCTTATACATTTAATCATTTGTCATTTAAGTATGATACAGATGATAGCTTTTTTATTTGTTTCAGCTTTTTACTGCTTTTGAGAATGCACTGGGATTATCAGATAAGATTCCTAGTGAAGATCACCAAGTACTTTATAGGCATTTCATTCAGAGTTTATCCAAAGTAAGTTGATTTTTTAAATCTCTAATGTGACTTGTATGTATTTCTAATTAGGAAAGTGTTCATAAATACATTTTACTACTACTAGAATGTAGTGTATTTTGCTTTTATATTTTCAAGTTTCCTCATGAGTCTGCTAGATTGAAGAAGGCCTGTGAAGGAATGATAAACATCTATCCTACTGTACAGTATCCATTAGAAGTGCTTTGTTTGCATTTAATTGAATCAGGTAATTTCTTCCTTATTATAGTGTGTGTCCTAGAGGTGTGTGATTATGTGAGTGATGTTATTAATCAAAAAATGTTTTAGTGTCTACCATGTTTAAGGTGTTGTTTCTGTGTTTCTGGACATAAAAAGAAGTATAATGTGTAGTCTTTGTGTATATGAAAAGACTAATAAATATAGGAAAGTACAGTAATACAGAAGAATTATGAGTTGCCAGATTTATTGTTAGTCAGTGAAATCTTTTTAATGGTGGAAATTGGAGGGGGTCTTGAATTTTTTATAGAAACTAGGTAAACAGGAGTAGGTGAAATATATTCCAGCTGGCATGAGCAGAGATGTGGAGCTAGGTGCATTTTTTAGGAATGGTAAAATAGGTTTGCTTGTTATAGTGGAAGAAATAACTAAGATATATTTTGGCTAAATAGGTCAGGCTATATTACACAGAGCTATGAATATCACAGAAAGGATTTTTGGAAAGTTTAGCTGCCTCAGTGTTGATGTTATGTCACAGTGTCATAAGAACACTGTTATGAATACTGTAATATTATAAAGTAATTAAATTCCTGAATCTCCTTTTTTAATGAAATAGAGCATATTCAAATGGGAGAATTTGTCTCTGTGTATGCTTCATGCTCTTGTATCTTCATGTACTTTGTTTGGGAGGAAGAGAGAACTGATGACAACTAGCTTGCTGGGAGTTGGGTAACCTGTAGCTGTGGAAGTCTTGTGTCCAGGGCTGGTATTCCACCAGTTAACAAGAGGTTGGCTGTATTGGTTTTTCCACCAGCCTCTTTCCTTTTGGTCAGTATCTGTGCTGAATAGATTTTTTTTTTTAATAACCTGAATTTCATGCCCTACTCTCTTGAGGTGAACAAATTCACAGAAGTCAGTCACTGAAATAGAAATATTAGTACGTACACCAGTGTGGTAGTGATTGTCAATTATTGTGGAGCTTTACTAATCCATTTAATTTTTTTCACTTTGTTGCTAAATGAGTATATACATGAGAATGCTTTGTATGTGAATGACCCTCACATGTGTCATAGTGAAAAAAGGGTTGAAAACTACTGCTAAAGATAACTGTGAAGGAAAATTCCTTGGTAGAAAATGACCATTGCACCTATCTCAGTTCTCCTCATTTTAACTCTCCTTTAAAGTCCTCTTTTACTTTTTTTTTTTTCCTGGTGTCTGAATTAAAAAATGCTGTTACTGGCCGGGCGCGGTGGCTCACACCTGTAATCCCAGCACTTTGGGAGGCCGAGGCAGGCGGATCACGAGGTCAGGAGATCGAGACCATCCTGGCTAACACGGTGAAACCGCGTCTCTACTAAAAATACAAAAAATTAGCCGGGCGCGGTGGCGGGCGCCTGTAATCCCAGCTACTCAGGAGGCTGAGGCAGGAGAATCGCGTGAACCCGGGAGGCGGAGGTTGCAGTGAGCCGAGATAGCGCCACTGCACTCCGGCCTGGGCGAAAGAGCGAGACTCCTCAAAAAAAAAAAAAAAAAAAAAAAATTGCTGTTACCTTCAGCTCTGGTTTTGGTAGAAGCAGATGCCCTTTGCCTTACTTTAACTGAGTCAAAGATAGACTTAGGAGAGTACTTTTTACTACCATAAGAAGAAAGAGAACATAAAAAGTATAGTGAGTGGAGTATAAAGTCTTAAACTAACATGGTGTGCAGGACAGATTGTATAGAAGGTGGACTAGCTCCAGTACACTAGGTGACAGTAGGTTTGAATGAACGAGGAGTATGATAGTGAAGATAGAAAGGAACAGATGAATGAAAAAATGAAAGTGATTTCTTAGACGGAGAGACAAAAATCAATTTTAACTTTCACCTCTCCTGAAAAGTTGGCCCAATATGGCATGATGATTTGTATGAAATGTAGGTTATTGAGAGGAGATGTTAATGGGGCAGTTAATGAGAAATGCCCATCAGTGGTTTGCAGATGAGAGATCAATACTAAGCGTAGACATATGGTTTGGAAGTCATTTGCATGTAGGTGAAAATGACGTGGAATGGTTACCATCAGAGGAGGACTAAAGGGAAAAATACTGAGAACTGTACTTTGGGCAGTGCTGGCTGGCTTGGAGGGAAAGAGATGAAAAAGAGAAAGGGAGTAAGTGAAGGAAGAGAAGGGATGAGGTCAGAGAAGAAGGTGGACTCTGACGAGAAGCAACACAAGACGACAGGGAAAGAGCATTTCAGAAGTGAGATTATTATGGTCTGTCTTGACAGATTGAGCCAACTGAGTTTATGATTGTGAGGCTTTTTATTAAGGCTATCTTTTTAAATGAAAGTGATTGAATTAGAGCTTAGATTACAGTGATGGGGAAAGAATAGGAAAAAGCAGGTATACAAAGGAAAGTGGACTAAGTGCATTAGGGAGTAGTAGGATGAGAAAGTGAAGCCCGCAGAGGGGATAGTAAGCTTTTAGAGGGGTGGGAGAAGAACTGCAATAGCTGCCTGGCAGGAGTGGTGTAAGAAGAAATAGTTAGTAGGTGAGATAGTTAACATTATGAGAGTGTTGCACTGAGGCTGAGGAGGATGAGGTACATCAAGCACAAGGAGCATACTTAGGAAGTCTTGTGATTTTTTTTTTTTTTTCCTGATAGGAAGCTGAGTTCTAAAATCACCCAGATCCTTCCAATTTTAATATAAGACTCAGTGTGTTCCAAAGATAAGTAGGCTGATTTTCTTTATTGTATGGCCCCTGGTACCAATTCTTTTTCCCTATTCTGCTGTTACTGTTGTTATTGAAAAATTAATGGCTGGTGTTCACTCTTTTCTCTTTATTTCCTATTCAGCTATTTATGGTTTTCACCATTACCTCAGCCTTGGCCTTGCTCACATGCCAAATGACACAGTGAATACTTTGAAAATTCTTTTTGAGGACTGACAGAATGCTTTCTCAATAAGCATAAATGTACCTATAATGTAGACTTGTCCTTATATTCTAAAAAGCCTACAAAATAATAGAAAAAAATAGGATCAACAATAGTCTACAGAGTTTTGCACATAAATTCAGTGGTTGACAAAGTGCTCTGATAAAGACATAGTGAAGGGATTATACTGATTGATTAGAAAGTGTCTTGGTTTAAATGAAAAAAATCATTTTTGAGTAAGGTTCTGGATTTGTATTATGTAGAATGGAAAGAAAAGAAGGTCTATATCACAGCAAAAAGAGTGTATATGTGGATATTTACAGATATGGTAAAATCAGGGAAGAGTTCTTTCCCTTCTGAATTGTTGGTTGCAGGAATTTGTGGAACTGAGAAATTCAGGTTTGGGTACATTTCAAGTTAAAGTAGTATTCTTGAGGTGGAAGTTCAATAGTTAATGTAGGACAATAGGAATCTGTGCTTTTTTCTTTTTACTGCTCCTCTAAACCCGACTTTCAGTGTATTGAGAACTTCTGAGAATCTGTAAGGTCTCTGAAGTCTGAGCCGCCCTCCCACAAAGTACTTCAGTATGTACAGAATTTGCTACTTCACAGCAGTTAATCACTGGGTTCTCCTCCACTGAGAACAAATGTATTTCATTCTCCTTTGTCCTGCTTTGCCTGTTGAGAATTGAAAATTCATTTTCAAAATGACTCAGTTTATAAAGCTTCATGTAACAAGTAGTGAATGGCTTTCACAGTTGTCATCTGTTGAAATTTTTTTTCATGCTAAATGACTTTTTTATTTATCTTATTTTGCTTTGTTACTGAAATGGGGGAGGATAAAAAAGCTTGGTTCTTCAAATTCAAGCAGAAAAGAGCTGGATTAAGATTTTCTGCTTTAAAACTATTAGAAAATCCAGGTGAAGATAAATATGAATGCCACCAAATTGTACATGGTTTTTTTCCCCCCTCAAGCTAAGTTTATTTAAAAGAAAAATTAGATAGTATTGATCAGCTTTTTTTGGGATGTCAGAAATTAATTTTTTAAAAACCGACTTTTTGTAGTAAACTTTAAGAAACAGAATTTCATAGTTATTACTCAGCATCCAACACGGACCTCTTCAGAATACCCTCTACCCTTGGAATTTGAGCATTCATCAGCCCCAAATCTGGCTTGCGTTTTTGAGAAATAAAAATAATATTGTCTAACTGTTTTAAAGTTGTTAAATGTGGAACCTTAGAATCCTTTAAATGTTAAAAAGAGCAGTTAAGTAAATGATTTTCTATTCATTTGCAATGAATAAGATTCAAAAGCAATGAATTCTATTTCCTCTGTTTTTGTCCTCCACCAAGGTATTTATTTAGCTAGTATTCTCAACAAGAATAAGTATGAATAAGAGAAGGATTGATAGTTGAAGCTGAAATATTCCTTGTCTCTTTATACAAGGATCATTAGTGTTGTTATTACTGTTGCTAGTTTTGGGAACACTATAGAAAATTCCTCTCAGTGCCGCTTGGTCATATGCAGAGAATTGTTACCCAGGGCCGAACATGAACATAGTCTCCCCAGATCTTATTTTGTTTTTATTGTTATGCTCCCAGGCTTTAGCAAAGGAAATATGTTAGGAAGGTTTACCTTGTTTTAAAAGTCGTTTATGTTCATCTCAGCCTTTTGGAAACTATTTTCGTGTACCAACCCACACTTTGATTACCTGTGTGTTGTTTAAGCTACCCTAAATATGGATGTTCACTGGAGAGATGCATGATTTTTCTTAACTATTTTCATCCCAGGTATATTTCCTGTAATACAGGCAGTTTATGTAGTCAAGGTAGTCTGTCATAAATTATGTTTCTATGGAGGCAGGGTGTTTAGACTGAGATGGGTAGAGATAAAAGATAAGAGTTTGGTAGCTATTTTTTTTTAGGATGGTGAAGATTTTTAATTTTTTGTAGTAATTTTCAGCTGTTACCTATTAACAGACTAAGCCTTTTTGAATATCAGTTCATAATGGTATTTTTAAAGGATCGTCACAAGATTTAATGAACACCTACCACATATCAGATGCCATGCTGGTCTGTACTCTCCAGAGGTTACCATTTAGCCACAGAGGCAATAAGGGCAGAATATACATGTTATAAGACTAATAGTAAAGGTCATATATGGTATTAGCAAATATTGTAGACCTGTGGTCTTTAAGTATGATATCTGGACCAGTAGCATCAGCATCACCTGGTAACTTCTTAGAAATGCAAATTCTTAGGTCTTAAACAGACCTACTGAACCATAAACTTCAGGGATAGGGCTCAGCAGACTGTGTTTTAACAAGTCTTCCAAGTGATTCTGATAGTGCAGACAATGTCTAGTTTAGACAATACCACTGGATCAAAAGGGAAAAAGCTGCTAGTTTTCTTGGGAGGGTATAGGGTGTATGGAACTAGACATATCTATTTTTGGAATTCATATTTATGGAAGCTATGGTGAGAAAATATTGACAAGGAAGTTCATGCCTGGAAGCATAATAGTAGCAGGCTTGTGTCTTTTTCACTGGCTTACTAATCAAAGTAGTATTTCTTCCAATTTGTTTTCATATTTTGCCAAATATACTGAAGTTTTAACTCTTTAGCCATTATTAATTCTTTTCATTTTTGGTGCCAACTTGGATTTCTAAATCAGTATATAACATATTACTACATATTACTAATGGATTATACATTGGTTTGCAAATGGTTTTTAAAATTTGAAATATATGAGCTACATGGTATTATGCAAATAATTTACCTTTGACATCTGTAACTGAAACAGTGGTTCTACATGTGGTTTGGGCTTCTATGTTTTATATAGTTATTAAAGCATCGGGTCTTTTTTTTTCAGGAATTTTTTTTGTTTCCCATATTTATTGCTTCAAGTTGTAGTTTGTCTTTTTAAGAATTCTCCTATGTGATTAAATGATTTATTAAACTTGTGAATGCTATTCACAATTTATTCTAAAACAGAAATTACAATTTTTTGTTTGTTTTGATGCTTTTGTGGGATTGAGATTGGGGAAAATGGAAATATTACAAAATATATAATGTTTTCTAAACTATTTTACCAAAATAAATTTGAAAATAAAATAAATGTAGGCATTGGATGACTATCTCATAAGTGTCACAATTCACTTATATAGAAAAAGATAGTTTTAGAAAAATGTGGAAATGTACTGGTAAATTTGTAGACTTAAGAGGAATGTGACTAAGTCTTTGTGCAGTGTCCTGATGAGTAACCCGCCTATCTTGTGATCCTTGGATGCTGGAAGAGTCTGCTGGATCTGACTAACATGTCTCTAGCAGCGCATGGTTGCCCAGGAAGAGAACTTGAGGAAGACACTCTGCTTTGACAAGGGCTCCTTCATTTGACAACCAAATTGTTACAGCTGGCAAGCAGTAGGCTATGTGGCTTAGTCTACTGGCAAGTAGCAGGTTTCTTGTCTGAAATCCTAAAGTGGTTTCTACTTCCAGTATTTAAGAAGATGAAAAATCATAATTATTTAAATTAAATGTTAATATTTTCTGCATTTGCTGGTCTATTTAAATTTTGAATTTCTGGAGTCAGCATGTGGTGAAGAATGCATAAGAATATAAAGGCAGATTTTGAGATTTAAGAATATGGGTTTGGGCATTTAGAAACTCGATATATGTATACTAATAACCTTTCCTTTTAATTCCAGGAAATCTTACTGATGAGGGGCAGCAGTATTGTTGTAGATTAGTGGAAATGGATTCAAAAAGTGGTCCAGGCCTCATTGGCTTAGGCATTAAAGCATTACAAGACAAAAAGTATGAAGATGCTGTTAGGAACCTAACAGAAGGTAAATGTACAGTGTATGGCATGTAACGTGAAGTATAATTATTATTCAGTCAGTAGGCATTTATCTTTGAGCCTTTCTTTAAGGAATGTCTATCTAAGGTGGAAGGGAAAAAATGTACCTGCATACCTTGGACTCTGCTTAGGTTTGAACTCTGACTCTGCTTATCACTAATTTCAAGACCTCAGAAGAGTTAAACTTACTGTGTGTCAGTGTTTTCATTTGTAAAATAGGTATATCTATATAGAAAGAGAGAAAAAAGAAAAGAAAGAAAGCAAAGCAAAAAGTAAATTGGGAGGGAGAGGGAGGGAGGGAGGGAGGGAGGAAGGCAGACATGTAGATATATATGCATTAGGAACTTAGGCTTTAACTTAGTCTTACTAGGTATGATGTTTCTGGAAGAACCTACATTCAAATTATAGATCTGAATGGTAAATACAAGCCAGGTAGGTGGTTGAAGGGAATGGGAAGAACATTTTAGGCAGAGATGAATCTGTGAAATAGCCTGAGCTAAGAGGAAAACTGTTGTTCAGAGAACTGCAGGTAGTTCACCAGGGTTTGAGAATGAAGTGTATGTACAGGAGGGGACAAGAAGTGAGATTGTAGAAGGGCCTAGCAAGACTTGGTAAGGAGTTTGCACAGTATCCTGACAACAGTGGGGAATCAGTAAAAGATTTTTAGCAGGGGAATTTTATAATCTGATTTGTCTTTTTAGAGATATTCTAGCTACAGTGTAAAGAATGCATTGGGGTGGATGGCAAGCACTTGTAGTGATTTGGGATAAAGATGGTGGAGGTCTGAACTGACGTGGAGATGGAGAAAAATGTATGGTGGGGAATGAATTGAGGCAGAGAATCAGTGTGACTTTGTGACTGATGAGATATGAGAGATGAAGAGGGGAGGAGTCTGATTTGGAGAGTAGGCATTGGTGCTGTTCATCTATGTAGTCACAGAAACCTTGTTTTTTGTGATTGTTTTTATCCTTTTAGGGTTAAAGGAAAGCCCTGTCTGCACAAGTGGATGGTATCATCTGGCAGAAGCCCAAGTCAAAATGCATAGACCTAAAGAAGCTGTTCTTTCATGCAGTCAAGGTATTTTTGATACTTTTTGGGTTGACATATAAGGGTGACCAACCCTATTTGTTTTTATCTTAAAGGACAAAGATAGTGATTTTTAAAAACCAAAATGCTATATTTTGTATTTTAAATTGCTAATTTTAATTTCAATAAGTTTAAATAAAAGTCTGCATGCATGTGTACTAGTGTGTTTATTTTTAAACTGACAATGAATGTTTAGCAAAATTTTCCTGCATTTGGAATATTGACATAGTCAGTTTAGGCTTGGGTGTGGAGGTCCTCTGTCTTTGTAACAAGGAAGTTTCTGGTGTGTCCAAGACACATGAGTTCTTAATTTCTCTCATATAGAGAGGGGAAACCTTAGGCATCTTGGAGCCTATTTGAATGTGACAGGGTGAGGGGTGGGGATAGGAAATCATGAAAGTGGTTCACTGTTTCTGACCCACCTGGTAGCTTGCTCCCTGTAACTAAGAAACAGTTCACCTTGGTCCATTCTAATTCAGCTGCTTTCCCCTTCCAGTATCCTTAATTTCTTATATTTGTTACAGGTGCTTTGGTTGTGGGCTAACCTTTATTGTTTAGCAAATATAGATAGCCATTGTCGTTTTTTAGGATATTCAGTTTTATTATATGTTGTGTGAAGATAGAGGTTTTAAATTCAGATATGTTCTGTTTTAAATTCAGGTCTTTCCATAAGGAAGTCAGGGAAGAATTTATATTTAGCTTTGAGTTATTCTTCATGTATATTGTTTTGGAAATTTATGCTTATTGTATCTGCAATTTATTATATGTCATCCTTAAAAAAGAAAAAATAAACAGAAGTGATATGGCTGTCTTCATTTGGATACCCTTAATTTTGTCAGCTCTGAAGATCGTAGATAATCTTGGTGCGTCTGGTAACAGTCTTTATCAGAGGAATCTTTGTCTTCATTTGAAAGCAGAGGCTTTGATTAAACTCTCAGATTATGACTCTTCAGAGGAAGCAATTCGTACGCTTGATCAGGTAGACTTGTCAAGTTTTTTTCTTCAACTCTAGTTAGTTTCCAATCAACCAGGCAACAACCATTCTCTGCCTACCACAAAATTTACTTATATGGATTTTGTGTTAGAGGTATGAATTCACCACATCTGCACTTTTATAAGTCATTCATACATTTGGGAACTTCTAAAGTTATTTGTTTGCTTTTTGATTAAGGACTTATAGTACTCATCATATAAGACTATTTCGTTAGTTCTAGACTTCATTCTCGTTTCTTCCTTTTGCCCTCTTAGGTTATTACTACTTGATTATTATTAATTTGAGATTCCAAATTTTTTCCTTCAGGAAGTGTTCTGCAGATTTGACAAGAATAATTAAGGACACTGTTAGCTTCATGGTAGAGAATGTTTATTTGTTTCATTCAAAGAAAGATTCATATTTCATAATGAAACCGATTTCTTAGTGTTTTGAGTTAAAGCAATTTGAAAGTCCATAGTGAAAAAAACTATAACTGGTAAATTATGAATTATAGCATTATGCCCTAAAGATTTTTGTCAGGTAAAGACTATTACTGGTCTAAATTAAAATTGAGTTTTTAAATCAGTTTTATGTATTTCAAAGGGCTTTGTATTTCATAATATTTCTTTAAAATCAGAACCGTTGTCAGCATCTTTCAACAATTAATATTTTCTTGTTTTCTTTTTGCCATCCCACCAATAATGTGTTTTGTGTGAATGCTTTATAAAGGTTTTTCAAATAATGTTTTCACAAAAAAACAAATGACTGCTATTTTGGAGAACTAGCAGAGTCCAGGTCTGAGATAGAAAATGTACAAGATGAACCAAGAACACCTTGTCATGCTAGAAAGCAAGAAACTATAAAAGGGCTCAGACTACAAAAGGGCTCAAGAGCTAGCATAAAGAGATTCTTACTGGCTAAAAAGGGCGTTACTAATGTGGTATGTTGAAACAGATCAAATATTTTAAATCCATGTGTTCATGATGATTCAGAAAACTCAGCAAATGTCCTCAAGAAAACAAATGTTTGGGGGGATGCTAAGAACCCAACTATGAAGAATAAAGGCATTTATCCTGCCTTTATCTGAATCATTCCTCAGGATAATGAAATAACGAAGGTAGGAGAAATTTGCCTTTGTTGAAGTATTCTGTCTAATAAGAGAAAATGACAGAAAATCACCATTTTGCAATCCCCAGTGAATTAATAGATCTAGGCATCAAGGGTTAATGGCTACTAACATCACACAAAGGCAATCAGGCTGGGCACAGTGGCTCATGCCTCTAACACTTTGGGAGGCCGAGGCAGGTGGATCACTTGAGGTCAGGAGTTTGAGACCAGCCAATATGGTGAAACTCTGTCTCTACTAAAAATAGAAAAATTAGTCTGGCTTGGTGGTATGCACCTGTAATCCCAGCTACTTGGGAGGCTGAGGCAGGAGAATCGCTTGAAGCCAGAAAGCAGAGGTTGCAGTGAGTCAAGATCAGACCATTGCACTCTAGCCTGGGCATCGAAGCGAGACTCTTGTCTCTCCAAAAAACAAAAAAAAAAAGACAGTCAGACACAACCAAGTGCAAATACACCTGAAGACCTGAAGTATCCTTGGGAATCTTCAAACCTCTGAACCCAACTACTAATATACAGAAAATACAGGGAACCAAGGAACATGTTAAACACCTTGAGAATACGTTTAGCAAAATCCAGACTCTGAGAAACTGTGACAAATAGGCCATATTTTTCAACAGTTAAATTGTAAGGAAGAAAAAAAAAAGAGAAGGAGGGGGACCTTATTGATTAAAAGAGACAAGGCATTATCATTAAGTTCAAATGTATGTGTCTTATTTAGATTTTGATTTTTAAAATTGTTAAAATATGAGACAACTGAGAAATTTGATAGTGTTAAGGATGTTGTTTTTGTTTAGGTATGATAATGGTAATGTGGTTATGCAACTTAGAAATGAACTTTTAGATATAGATACTGAAGTATTACAGGTAAAAAGTTACAATATCTGGGATTTGTGTCAAAATCATCTGAGCAGAAGTGTGGTAAAATTAGTGGAGGTATAGATGAAAAAAATGATTGCTTGTGAGTTTGTGGTTTTGTAGCTGGATGATGGGTACATGTGGGTTTATTATACTAGTTTCTGTAATTTTTTTATGTATATGAGATTTTCCTTAATAAAAAGGTTATGAAGAGTGAAGATGTGTTATTAGTGATAGAAATCAGGACCTCTATTTCTTTATTCTATTAGGACCATGCTTTTCTGTGTTCGTTCGTTAATTAAAGCAAACATTGCTGTGGTTGTGTTGAAGGAGATTTATAGCAGTTCTTTACAATTATTTTCTAGATTTCTGATGCAGATAATATCCCAGGACTTTTGGTTCTCAAAAGCTTGGCCTATCGGAACAAAGGTTCATTTGATGAAGCTGCAAAGGTTGGCTTTTTTATTCAAACTGAGCATTTTTTGAGTTAAAAGCATTTTTATTTGGCTATAGAATTGACAGGTGTCTACTTTATAGATTATGGAAGACCTTCTCTCTTCTTACCCTGACCTAGCTGAAGTTCATGCCCTTGAGGCTTTGATTCATTTCACCAAAAAGGACTATCTACAAGCAGAAAAATGGTAAGGATATATAAATTGCTCATAGAACCATTTACATCTTAGTTCTTTATATTTCTGAAAAATTCAAAATGAGTAGGCTTGATGAAGATTTGATTTTTCATGAATTTGATCTTTGTAGGCTTTAAGTTTTAGTATTTTAAAGAAATGTATTTAGCATGTAGTACAGTAGCTATAAAAAATTATATGATGGGTTTCAAATCTAATTAGCTGATCTTGGCCGGGCGTGGTGGCTCACACCTGTAATCTCAGTACTTTGGGAGGCCAAGGCAGGTGATCTCTTGAGCGCAGGAATTCAAGACCAGCCTGGGCAACACGATGAAACCCCATCTCTACTAAAAATACAAAAAGTAGCTGGGCGTGGTGGCACATGCCTGTAGTCCCTGCTTCTCAGGAGGCTGAGGCACGAGAATTGCTTGAACCTGGGGGGTGGAGGTTGCAGTGAGCCAGGACCATTCCACTGTACTCCAGCCTGGATGACAGAGCAAGACTCGGACTCAAAAAATAAAAAAAAAAATCTAATCAGCTGATCATAATGTTCACTAAGCAGATGTAATGTTCAGTATAGTCTGAACACTTAGCACATGGTAGTGCTAAAAGGCCACTGTGCTTTTTTAAGATCCTCTTCTTCAAAAACAAATCACTTTTTTCCTTATGATAATATAAATCCTAAAGTGATGATTGGTTTCTAATTTGGCACCTCTGAATCACTCAAACTTTGATTGTTCCAACTAGGAGTCTCCTATATTGCGTGTGGGTGTGTGTGTATTTGTTTTACTATTTCTTTTTATTACCCTTTGGTGGCTTAGTTTTCAGAGAGCTCTTGAGAAAGATACCGAAGTTGCAGAATATCATTACCAACTTGGATTAACATACTGGTTCATGGGTGAAGAGACAAGAAAAGATAAAACAAAGGCTCTTACCCACTTTCTGAAGGTAAAGCAAGTGCTACAATTCAATTCCTAGTTGAAATGGCATTATAAAATCATAAATAATAATCATATACATTAGTTACAATTACTCTTTACTGAACTGTTTTTTGTGCTTTATCTTTCATATGTCAGGTTTTGTGATGGTGTTATATGGGTTTTCAAGGAAAAAATTAAAACATAAAATGTGAAAGTTACTTTTTGAAAAGCATGTGTTGTAGAAAACGAGACATAATTATCTCTTGTAAACAATACTTTTAAGGTAATTTTCACTGTAGTTTTATGAGCATACAAGTTAGATGTTTAAATTCCTGTTTTTTTAGATGTTTAACATCTATAAGTCCTACATTCTTATCTTGACTTGTAAGAGCAGATTAATTCAGTAGCAGCTCTAATTTCACATTTCCTTTACCAAAAAACAAAATATTTTTATATTTCCTTTTACTTTCTATAAGCAGTGAGGGACAGCTTTCCTGTCTGTTTTAAATCTTACATCAAAGGATTTTTTGGCATATTTTTGTATGTTTAATGAAATTATTTCTTTTTTCTTTAATCTGTGTATTTATCTTCTGTATTTGTAAAGATACTCATTAAATGAACTTTTAATGTTCTGTTATTATCAATATTTATTTCAAAGGCTGCAAGACTGGATACATATATGGGCAAAGTTTTCTGCTATTTAGGTCATTATTATAGAGACGTAGTGGGAGATAAAAACAGAGCTCGTGGATGTTATAGGAAAGCCTTTGAATTAGATGACACTGATGCTGAATCTGGAGCTGCAGCAGTTGACCTAAGTGTGGAGCTTGAAGATATGGTATGTCTAATAATCACTTTTGCTTTTTGTTTTTTTTATCCTGAGTATATAAATGAAAATATTTTTATATATGTATACTTGAAAGTTATCATTAGTTTTTTTTCTATAGGTGCAATATAAATATTTTTGCCTCTGTAAGTGAAGTTTTTTTCCATTGGCAGATATTAAATTACTAACCACTTATTGTTGAAACTGTAATTTGATGTATACCAGTGTAAGTTTAAAAAATCAGAAGTGAGAAATGAAAATATGTTTGTGTACTTTACATGAGCGTTCTGTCTTTTTATAATGTTCAATATATCTAATATTAGTATTTTCTTATTATTAGGAAATGGCTTTAGCTATCCTAACAACAGTAACTCAAAAGGCAAGTGCTGGAACGGCAAAATGGGCCTGGCTTAGGCGAGGACTATACTATTTGAAAGCTGGTCAGCATTCTCAAGCAGTGGCTGAGTAAGGCACCTTATTGTATTTAAACTATGTTAGACAAGCATAACGGTTCCTTAAATTAAGCATTTTAATTGTCTCTTACCAGGTTGTATTTTGAGAGAAGAAATAACAAAATTACTTTATGATTGATTGGTGTTTATTGTTTGCAGGGCAGTGGAATTGCAGAGATGGATTAAATGGTGTCCTGTTGTTGAGGAGATAGCCAGATTAGTGAATTGAAGTCTTAATACATATGTATAGTAGTTCTCAATAGAAATTTTAGTGATGAGAAGCTGAGGTACATATCTTTGTTGTTCTGCTGACACACATTGTTTTTGGCAAGGGAGACATTTGGCAGCTTAAAGGGCATTGGGAGCAGCTCATATATGATCAATTTGAGTCATTTGATTTGAACAGTACTTAAATGTAAATAAATGTATTTGAATCAAAATAAAATTGTTTCTGGTTTATGTTAGTATCTAGAGTACAGGCATTTTCACGGAAATGGAATTTGATCAGATATTTAAAGCATGCCTATTGTTTCCATATTTTAACTGTGGTATTTCTGTTTGGTAAAAGGATTGCTGGTGGGGGATTATGGGCTGATGTGACAAACTGAGATGGACACCTGTCCTGGTAGGATAGAAAACTCGAGTTCTTCAAGATAATCAAGGAAAAGAAATTTTGTTCAGCACTTTTTCAAAAAAAGCATTTTATTCTTATTCTGAAATTAAAATAACATTTCTTAGCATTAAAAAAATCATAAAAGGAACAAATTTATCTGCTTTAAATAGCACTTTTATAAGTAGAAGGAGCCACAGATATATATGTTTACTTGAATTATTTATTTTATATTTTCCTTTCAGATTTGGAGATAGTTCCATACTTTTAGTTCTCTTACGGTTTTTTAAATTTTAGTTTACAGGCAGCATTAAGAGCAGACCCAAAGGACTTCAATTGTTGGGAATCGTTAGGAGAAGCATACTTAAGCAGAGGAGGCTACACAACAGCCTTGAAGTCCTTCACAAAAGCCAGTGAGCTGAACCCAGAATCCATATACAGTGTGTTTAAGGTTGCAGCAATACAGCAAATCCTAGGCAAATATAAGGAGGCTGTAGCTCAATACCAGATGATCATTAAAAAGAAAGAAGATTATGTGCCTGCTTTAAAAGGTAATTTATTTTTAGTAGCTCCTTTGACTTTTATGATCCTGAAGTATAAAATCCTTGAGTAGATTTCCTGCCTAAATGTATTGAATAACTTGAAAAGGACTTCTTTAGTCAACAGCAAGCATCCATATGAACCTCTTACAGTATAGCTTATATAAATTTGAATATAAAAAGATCAAATCTTGTTTCACAAGTTAATAAATAGTAATGTGACAGAGATTTAACTTTTAGACAAACAGTATGATAACTATTAGATCTAAAAATTGATCTCTAAAACATGTTTCCCTACTCTTACATTTTGATAATTAATTCATCATGTCTCCAGAATATCTTAATACCTTTAATTACTTTGTAAGTTATACAAGCTCATTAAATTTTTTTTAAACTTCAGAGACAACTTGCATTGTTTTGTAGTTATCTAAGTTATTTTTGGTAATATAAAATAAAATACCACCATCCATATATAACCTACATTTGTAATGATTGTATTAAAAAAGCTGGGAGCTCATTATATATGCTTACTTTCTTCCATTTCCTTCTTTCTCCTTTTTAAAGAAACTGGTTTTTTTTTTCTGTTTGTTTTTCTTAAGGAATGCTTTATGAATTTTTGTGTCATCCTTGCTCAGTAGCCATGCTAATCTTCTTTTTATCATTCCGGTTTTGGTATATGTGCTGCTGAAGTGAGCACATAAATAGTATATTGTATATGACATATAACTTAGGGCTTGAAACTTTTTTTTTAATTTTGTAAAACTCTTTCCTCAAGAGAAGGAGAACTCACATTTAAGAAATCTTTACTAGGAACTTTAGGTAATCACTATTTCATTTAATTCTTATAGTATAGCTTGCTATACAGATTTTAATATAAAAAGATCATATCTTGTTTCACAATAGTTAATAAGTAGTAATATCATGGAGAGTAACATATAGATAATATCCACATTTTTTGTAGCCAAAGTTTTAGCAGGTAAGTAACTTGCCCAAAGTCAAGGAAATTCTTGGGTTCTGTAGATAACTTTTTTATAACTTCTAGTGCATGTTTACTCCAACAGAATTCTTCCATTTGAATTTCTTATTGAGTGAATGTAGGATCATGCTTTAAGATAATTTTATAACACACCGTTAAGTTTTATTTTCTGGAAAGTGCTTTAAAATAACACCAATAACTTTATTTGAAGTTCATTTTAAGTGTTTATTTTATATGTTTTAATAACAGTGACAAACTTACCTGATTTTAGGTTTGGGTGAATGCCATCTTATGATGGCAAAAGCAGCTCTAGTTGATTATCTTGATGGAAAAGCCGTAGACTACATAGAAAAAGCACTGGAATATTTTACTTGGTTCGTATTATTCTTATTATTTATTGTTTATTTTTGTAATATTAAAATGAAGCCAAATTTAGAAGATCATTTTATGTATTCTGCTAGATATAGCAATTGCTCAGAATGTCAAACATAAAGAATAACAGACAAGCCAATTCTATAACATACATGTTGTATTAATTTTGCACTTGGGGAAACAGATATAATTTCTTCTGCTCTTAGTAGTGGCTGGCATCCTAGATGCATAGGAAAGAATAGGAAGGAAGGAGCAGTCTGCTAGTGGAACAGCAGCTCTGACACCATGTGTTAGTGTTCTCTTTCAGTAGGCCTGGAAATGAGTATCTTTAATTGGAACCGATTGGGAAATAGGGCTTCAGGTGCTCAATATGCTGTACATTCAGTGGTAAGAGCCAATTGTAGGATTATTAGTAGGTCTTGAAGGTAAGGGGAAATGACAATCTGATTGCTCCTGAGGAGAAACTGTGAAGGAAAAAAGTGATGTGTCTAATAACAAGAAAGGAATCAGAAAATTTTGAGTAGATTTGGCATTTTATAGAACTGTGAATTCATTGGTTAGGTCAGAAAAAGTGTTATCTGTGGTAGAAGACTTCCAAAAGTCCACAAGTTAGATGTACATTTGAATTTTTTGTAACTCTTAAACATCTTTCTTCTACTTCCCCTCTTTTCCTGCTTGGTTTCTCCTCTGTTTTGTATTTATTGGTTGTTCCAGAATTGCTTTTCATATGAACCAAATATGAAATGAAAACCTAACCCTTTTTTATCTCACTGAATTTTATTGCTACTTTTCAAGTCTCACATAATGTAGTTCTTTCTAAAGGGAAAGTTACTGTGTAAAGGGCATGCTTTATTTGAACTGCTATTTAAGAGTAAATGTGAACCTTTGGGTGACAGTACCTTAGCTATAAATACTGCCTCTCTGAGCCTAGGAAATGTTATTCTGGATAACATGTAACATAACCCATTAGAAGGTGGCATATAAAACAATTATAATCTCCAAATGTATATTTACTTCCAGACTTACAAGGCGTTAATACTATCACAATTATTGTGTAAGGGTGATATAAGTTACTTCAATTTATAGATATTTTATTTTTATTGAACTCAAAATAAGAATTTAGGCTCTTAAAATCGCCTGTTTCACTTTTTTCCTCTCTTCTCATTTTTTGCTGTCAATTTTAGAAATTTTGCTAAGATATTTAGGCAAAGGAACTCCAAATCATATTGCCCTTCTTTCAGATTCTCAGTGGGCTTTTAGTTATGACCACAATAATTAATATTATTTCTTAGGAAGACATTGGAAAATTATTTTTGGCTGGACTCCATGAGTAGAAAAGGCTATGAAAAATGTTCCATCTGCTTTTCCATCTGCCAGTAACATAGCAGCTTGTGATAGCTGATTATTGAGACTTGGCTTAAATGAAATTGCCATGTGTTATTTATAAGATCTCGAGAAGAGAAAAATGAAGAAAAATGTATAGCTGAAGTTTTTCTCATTCTAAAAGGAATTGCCCTCTGTCACCATAATTAATATTTCTCTTTGCTTTTTGAGCTTGTTCATTCAGTCTGCTCTTGTTTCGGTAAATGTAGTTCTTCAGATTTTTATGTTTAGATTTTTGTTTTTTTTTTTTGGTCTCAGGGTATTAATGTTCAACATCACCAATCATCAGGAAAATGCAAATCAAAACCACAGTAAGGTATCATGTCACCCCAGTTAGGATGTCTGTTATTCAAAAGACAAAAAATAAAGGCTGGCAAGGATGTGGAGAAGAGAGAACTCTTATATGGTTTATGGGAATGCAAACTAGTGTAGCCACTGTGGAGAACAGTATGGAGTTTTCTCAAAAAACTGCAAATAGAACTACCGTATGATCCAGCAACCCCACCACTGGGAACTTATCCAAAGGAAAGAAAATCATTATATCAAAGAGACATCTGTACCCTCATGTTTATTGCAGCACTATTCACAATAGTCGAGATATGGAATCAACCTAGATATTCAACAACAGATGAATGGATAAAGAAAATGTGGTATTTATATGCAATGGAATACTATTCAGCCATAAAAAAGAATGAAATGCTATCATTTAAGGCAATTTGGATAGAACTGGAGGACATTATGTTAAGTGAAATAAGCCAGGAACAGAAAGTTAACCACCATATGTGCTTACTCATATGTGGAAGCTAAAAAAAAAATTGATCTCATAGAAGTAAAAAGTAGAACAGAGGATACTAGAAGCTGGGAAGGGTAGGGGGAAAGGATATATGGGTAATACTTGTTAAAGGACACAAAATTACGCTAGATAGGAGGAATAAGTTCTAGTGTTCTGTAGCATTGTAGGATGACTGTAGTTAACAATAATATATAGTTTCAAATAGCTAGAAGGAGGATAGTGAACATTCCTAACACAAAGAAATTATAAATGTTTGAGATGATTAATATGCTAATTACCCTGATCTGATCACAATACATTATATGTATCAAAACATCTCTGTACCTCATCAATATATATAGTTATGCCAATTAAAAAATAAAATTTACAAAAATCTTTCAGATCTTACCAAATATATTTGGTATATTTTATTTGAGGTGTCTTCATCAATTTTTTGCTGCCATAACAGAATACCATGGACTGGTTAATTTACAAAGAACAGAAGTTTATTTGACTTGGTTCTGGAGGCTGATAAGTCCAGGAGCATGGTGCTGGCATCTTGGTGAGGGTCATCCTATGGCAGAAGGGCAGAATGCAAGAGAAAAAAAATGGGACTGAACCTACCCTTTTATCAGGAGCTGACTCCTGTGACAACTAACCCATTCCTACAATAACAGTATTAATCCATTTAGGGAGGCAGAGCCCTCATGACATCATCACCTCTTAAAGGTCCTACTTCTCAACATTGTTGTCCTGGAGATTGAGTTCCCAACTCATGAGCTTTGTGGGGATGTAGTCAAAACTACACAGCATGAGAGAAGATCTAAAAGCAAAAACCTGAGTTTACAACTGTCAGTTGTAAGAGAGTTACAAACTTTACTGCCTTGGTCATTGCTTAAACACAAAAAGCATAGTTTTAACATTTTAATATTAAAAGGAAATTGGTCCTGGAAAACTTATTTATTTATTTGCGTGATTGCTGCTACTTCTAATAAAAATGGTGAAGAGTAACAAAAAAAAGTGTCCACAAAATTTCTGGCACTTAAAGTAATCCCTTCCTCCTTCCCTTTCTCCTTTTCTTCTTCCCTTCCTATTAGGGAGGTGATATGATATGATTCAGTTAGGAGGAGACTAGTAAAGTACTTAATGTACAGTTTTTCTGTTTTAAGTAATAATCAGGGAGATAAACTTCATGCTTTTTATAAATAATTTGTAAGAATCACAATGTTTCTTTTTTTAGTGCTCTACAGCATCGAGCTGATGTGTCCTGCCTCTGGAAGCTAGCTGGGGATGCTTGTACCTGTCTGTATGCTGTCGCACCATCTAAAGTGAATGTTCATGTTTTAGGAGTCCTTCTAGGTCAGAAAGAAGGAAAACAAGTATTAAAGAAAAATGAGCTCCTCCACCTTGGAGGAAGGTAATTTGCAAAGATTGCCAGTTAATAACATTTGAATTGAATTAAGGCATTGTAACAAAAAACATTCACTTTTATATTCCCGTAGGTGTTATGGTCGTGCATTAAAACTGATGTCTACATCTAATACATGGTGTGACCTTGGAATTAATTATTATCGCCAAGCACAACATCTAGCAGAAACAGGCAGCAACATGAATGATCTTAAGGAGTTGCTGGAGAAATCTTTACATGTATGGTATAAATAAATTTTTTATAAACCTTTTCAAAAACATAATGCTTTTCTCGAAGTTGTTTTGGATGAAGTAAATAGTGTTTTCACATAAAACCACATATATCTTGATATACATGCTGCTATTCCAAGAAATAAAAATTAATCTAATTTAACTTCTTTTCAGTGTCTGAAAAAAGCAGTGAGACTCGACAGTAATAATCACTTATACTGGAATGCTCTTGGTGTGGTTGCATGTTACAGTGGTGAGAATTGAGTAACACTTCAATATTTTTAGAAGATTGTGTATTTCAAACAAAGTTCAGTTTCATCAGGTTTTGTATTTTTCAGGTATTGGAAATTATGCCCTTGCTCAGCACTGTTTCATCAAATCAATCCAGTCAGAACAAATTGTGAGTATTCTATGTGTCTATGAAAAAGAACTTCAAAATTTAGTATTACTAATTTTCTGAGACTTTCAACTAGACAAGGGGCCTATTTTAAGAAAAAAAATGTTATGTTTTTTAGAATGCTGTTGCATGGACCAACTTGGGAGTGTTATACCTCACAAATGAAAACATTGAGGTAAATATGTTGCCTGTCTGTCATATTTAAAACAAAGAATGTTTTCTATATTATTGTCTCCTCAATAGCTCAGCTTCTTGTGGAGAAATGTTTTTGCACATCGTTATCTAGCCAGTATGCTCTCCAGTATGCTAGTTAATTGATGATATTCAATTTATGTCGAATAATTAATGTGTAAGATTTATTTTCCTTTTTATGACCTTCAAGAAACTTCTGGTTTTGTGATTATGTTGGTTTTTCATTTAGAGATTAAAACAGTTTGATTCTGAATCAATTCAGCATTTTTTTAAATCTGTACACATGTAAGAGAAGTCCTATGTAGATAGTGTTGGAGGTGGAGTGGATGAGCACAAGGGAGACAGTTAGTACTCTCTAGCAGCTTAAATTTAACCTTTCTTGGATGCTTTACATTTTGGCTTTAGTAGATATTAATCTCTTTAAATAGCAAGTGTAATTTGTCATACTTGAGCAATTATACATTAGGCAATTAGAACTAAAGTGACTGGGAGTATGTTTATAGGTCATGTTTGGAAAGTTTCCATAAATCTATAGGTAATACCATGTCTGAACTGTTTTGTGTTTCAGCTGGTATATTGAATCTCATCCCAAAAAGCTTTCTCAATATTCTCAAGGATACATTAAGTCCCTGCAAAAAAGACTGGATTTAGAAAATTGTAAATAGATTGAAGAAAATATTAATTTGGATTTTAAAATACGTGAACTTTTTTTAATTTAAATAAAACAATGTCTTAATAAGCTATGGATGTGGTTTTATTGTAGCATGGGATAGTTTTTGCCCATGAGCTTACTTTTTAAAAATAGGAAAAATAAGACTGTTTCCTGCCATACATAGATTGTTGAGAAAATAGTATAAAGCAGTATGTAATAAAAAGTTATTTTTTGTAGCAGAAAAAAAAGCATCCAAGTTAATGTGTCCAAATTAGATATTTTTGAAGTTTCCTGATTGCTTAATGCAGAATTATGTTGTTGATCACTCCTTCTCTGGTAGCAGGTATACACATGTCTAGGACTTCATTGGTTAGGACTTCATTGGTTGTGAGTTCTTATCCTCCCAGTTAAGCTAAAAGGGGAATAGATAGCCTTATTTAATCATTGCCTTCAAACCTATGGCTATCTAATGGATGGATGATTGGTTGGTTAAAAGTTCTGCAGATGACAAGGTAGAACCCTTTTTTGCTAGGGTTCAGAACTCCTAACCTGGGGAGAAATCTGTTGCACCCAGGAGTGTTCCAGAACTGTGTAGTTAAAACACTGCTTTAAGCATTGCTAATTATGCTTAAACAGTGAAATTTTATGTTCATACATATTTATGATGAGAGGTTTGACTTATTTTATGCTTTTTAAACATAAGCGGTTTAATAAGTTTATAAAATGACTTGCTGTAATATTTTTTGCCTTTTTTTCCTAGCAAGCTCATGAGGCTTTCAAAATGGCTCAATCCCTTGATCCATCTTATTTAATGTGCTGGATTGGACAAGTAAGAAATATAACATATAGTTACTAATAAGCTTGTTGATATCAATAACTGACTAATATGCATAACAGTGATAATAATGGTAACGGATAGCATTTGAGGGCTTACTTTGTGCCAGTCACTGTGCTTAGCTCTTTGTATACACTATTTCAGTTAATCTATCAATCATCAATTCTTTGAGATATGGTTGATGTTATACTCTCTTTATAGTTGTGGAAATAGAAACTCAGAGCTCCTAAGTGTCATTCCTAAGGCCACGTAGCTTGTAAGGATTTAACTCTGACTTGGGGGGCCTTTGAACACTTACCAGTCTGACATTACTGTGCCTAAAAAATAAACCCAGAACTCTATTGTTTAACTCACATGTACAAAGAAAATGCACATTTACAAAGATCATTTTGAATATTATGTTTCTGTAAAATCTTCATATTTGGTTTGTCACTTGTTTATGAGTGTTCTTTCCTCCCCCAAATTCAGATTTTTGTACTGCCAAATAGGAATCAGGATACTTTGTTACTAGTCTGAGTCTGTTACCTACTGATTTTTTTTTCTTTTTTTACCTTAGCATATCACTTTTCTGGATTTTAATTTTCTCACCTGAAAAAGAAGGGGATTAGACTGAGTGGCCTCGAAGTTCTTGCCTGGTTGAGAAATTATAATGAATTAGTAAGCAGTCAGTTGCTTATCAGAAAATTATTAATCAGGGTTTAGAGATCTTTTGTTGTATTTTAGACTCTTGGGCCTAATTCTAGTTAATTGGTGAAGCAAGCAGAGCTAGAAAGGCAAACTCCTGTTCCCATTCACTGTGGTAGCATTTGGGAGCAGTGGCGTTACTGTGCTAGCCTCTGTGTCAGCCATTGAACCCAGGGAGTCCAAGAATTTGCATTCTAACTGCTCCCAAGTGATGATTATGAGGCTGGTCCAAGGGACCTCACTTCGCGTAGTACTGCTCTAGCTCAGTAGATCTTAGATGATTATCAGAATCACTTTTTAATTTTTATTTTAAAAGTATTTTTGGTTTTAAAAATAATTTATTTTAGCAGGTAACTGGAAGATTTAGTTAAAATAATAACAATAGAAGTGAAAAACTTAGGTTAACTTTGCTTTTAAGCTCAGCTAGTAAACCTTTGGTTCTTCTAGACAGTTTCATTTTGTATTATTATTGTTACTGTCTTTTAAACACATTAAGAGTCTGTTTTTTTCCTTTTATAGGCTCTTATTGCTGAGGCAGTTGGAAGTTATGACACCATGGATCTCTTCAGGCACACTACAGAACTAAATATGCATGTAAGAATCTGAACATTCTTCTTGAGGATTCATTAATGAGAAAAGTGTTATCCTTGTTAAGGGAATGAATAGATATTGGGCTAGGCATAGTGGCTTATGCCTGTAATCCCAGTGATTTGGGATGCCAAGGCAGGAGGATTGCTTGAGGCCAGCCTGGACAATATAGCAAGACCCTGTCTCTTAAAAAAAAAAATTAAAAATTAGCCAGGTATGATGGTGTATACCTGTAGTCCTAGCTACTCAGGAGGCTGAGGCAGGAGGATTGAGTCCTGGAGTTTCAGGATACAGTGAGCTATGATCATGCCATTGCACTCCAGCCTGGGCAACAGAGCAAGATTCTGTCTCTAAGAAAAGGAAAAAGAAAATGAATAGATAGTGGTATTAGATGTTAATGACATCAGTTGTTTTTATTCTTTATTCTTTCTTAGAAACAGATTAGTTTTCTCGAATTAAAGAACTACCATTTTTCTTTTTTCTACAACTTTCAAGAGCTGGTGAAGAAATGATGTTTAGATTTAATAGATATAGTAGCAGTCATATATTAATAGAATAGAAACTGAGACTCTAGGAAAAAGATAGACATGAGATAAGGAGTAGGCATGGTAGACATTTCTAGATTATTTATGAAAATGTTGTAGAATTCATTTTTTTTTTTGGTCTGACCTTTGGCAATGGTGCTGAGGAAGGGAAAGCCAGCCCATCAGGCAAGGCTCTGTTTTCTGCATTTTATCCCGTTTGATTCTTCTCGTTAGGATTGGAGCAAATAATTTCAATATGTTCTTCGCTGTGTTTTATCATAGTGACCCTTCATTTAAAGGTACTTTTAACAATTGACTTAAAGAACACTGAGATGTGATATTTATTGTATTGAAGTGCATTGTTTTACTTCTTATTATAATTTTTATTGACACATTTATTATCCTATGTCTGCTTAACGTTGGCTTTTTTAAAGACTGAAGGAGCATTAGGTTATGCGTATTGGGTCTGCACAACATTGCAAGATAAAAGCAACAGAGAAACAGAGCTGTACCAGTACAACATCCTCCAGATGAATGCTATTCCAGCAGCACAAGTTATTTTGAATAAATATGTAGGTAAGGTACCTGTTATATAATAGCAAGATATTTGAGCAACTATTGAAATAATTTAAATAATTTTTAAAATTAATTCATGTCAAATTAAATATTGGTATTCTTTAAGACATGAATTTGCCTTCTTTTTGCAACAGCGAAGCAGTCTTTACTTTGTAAACTTTAATAAAGGCTTTTGAAGAAAGATAAAAATTGTTACCTAATGATGCAAGAAAAAAGTAATTTCCTTGTTATAGTGTAGAGTGTATTAGGCTTTAATACACTCTCCACTATACACTATACACTAGAACAGTTGCTGCTGTTCTCGCTTTGCCTTTAACTTTCTCTGCAGTCTTAGGCCAAGTGTTTTACCACCCTTAACTTCTGTTTACTCCCTGGATAGTGGATATAACAATACCTGGATTGTAGAGTTGTGAGAACTAGATGAGATAATATA
Organism: Homo sapiens; assembly: GCF_000001405.40. Classification (NCBI taxonomy): domain Eukaryota; kingdom Metazoa; phylum Chordata; class Mammalia; order Primates; family Hominidae; genus Homo; species Homo sapiens. The sequence continues at coordinate 95,512,043 of NC_000005.10, read as the reverse complement.
AATGAAGTGCCAAACCCAGTGCCTTTAGCTTCCCCACTTAACACCTGATTTTTCTTGAAGATATTGGAAAGATACATTTAGGTTTAGGAAGTTGACAGAGTGGTGAAATTTTATTAACCATCTGTTGTAATAATTCCGTCTTTTTTAATAAAACTACCATTGGGTTTTAATCTCTGCTCCACCACTTAGTAGCCTTGACTGAAACCTTGGGCATGCTACCAAAATTCTCAACAGGAAAGTGTTTATTGCTTAGTGTTTAAACAAGATGATTTGTACAAAATGTTATGCAGGGTGCCTGGCATATCCTAGATGCTCAAGAAATGTTAGTTTCATTAACTTTTGACAAAATGCTAATAAAGAAGCAAGGAGTTTAAGCAAGAGTACTGAAAACAGTAAATATTGGCAGTCAAATAATATAAAGAATCAGATAAATTGTGAAAAACAGGAGAGAAAATGCCTCACTGTAGATATTGTGGGGATTGTGGCACTCTGCATGCATTTAGCCTGAGGCACTAGACTAGGCAATTAATTTACAAACATCAGCACTTGGGGGGGTTTGCCTTAGGGTGGGTGTGGCATGTGAAGGCATGGATCTCCTCATGCTTATTTTGTATTTATTTATTTATTTTTTGAGACGGAGTCTCGCTCTGTCACCCAGGCTAGAGTGCAGTGGCGCAATCTCGGCTCACTGCAACTTCACCTCCCAGGTTTAAGCCATTCTCTTGCCTTAGCCTTCCGATTAGCAGGTAGGCGTTACAGGTGTGTGCCACCACGCCCGGCTAATTTTTTGTATTTTTAGTAGAGGTGGGGTTTCACGGTATTAGCCAGGATGGTCTCAATCTCCTGACCTGGTGATCCACCCGCCTCGGACTCCCAAAGTGTTGGGATTACAGGCGTGAGCCACTGTGCCTGGCCCTCATGCTTATTATGACTCAATTTTGTTGACTCTTTCTTTTGTGACTTTAAGGATTTTTCAAGAATAACTTTGACTATTTGATTTTAACCTTAGTTGTTGATCTTAGAACCTAGCAATCACAAAAGATATGGTTACAGTGTACTTTGTTAAATAATCTAAAGGATTTGAAGGCTTACTTTCCACTACTACTTTTAAGTACATTAGATCAGATACATTTCTTTTTCTACATTTTACCTTCATAGATAGGTAATCACCCAATGGGTTCACTTTGCCCGCTGCCTAGACAGAGCCAATATATCAAGACAGGGGAATTGCAATAGAAAAAGAGAAATTCATGCAGAGCCGGCTGTGTGGAGGACTAGAGTTTTATTATTACCGAAATCAGTCTCCCCGAACAAGCATTTGGGGATCAGCATTTTTAAGAATAATTTGGTGGATGGTGGTGGGCAGGCAGTGAGTAGGGAGTGCTGATTAGTTGGGTTGGAGATGAAATCATAGGGAGTTGAAGCTGTCTTCTTGCGCAGTCAGTTCCTGGGTGGGGGCCACAAGATCAGATGAGCCAGTTTATCAATCTGGGTGATGCCAGCTGATCCATCAAGTGCAGGCTCTGAATAGTGATGTTATCCCCAGGAACAATTTGGGGAGGGTCAGAATCTTGTAGCCTCCAGCTGTATGACTCCTAAACCATAATTAATCTTTTGACTAATTCAGTAGTCCTGCAAAGGCAGGTCTAGTCGCTAGGCAAGAAGGGGGTTTGTTTTGGGAAAGGGCTGTTGTCATCTTTGTTTCAAACTATAAACTATAAACCAAGTTCCTCCCAAAGTTAGTTTAGCCTGTGCCCAGGAATGAACGAGGACAGCATGGAGGTTAGAAGCAAGATGGAGTTAGGTTGGATTTCTGTCACTGTCTCAGTTATAATTTTGAAATGGTGGTTTCAGATACATTATGTTTTTTGACATTAAAATTTCAAAATACTGCACCGAAAGTACCAAACTTACCTTCTGTTTCTAGTGTACAATACTGACTTTGTTATTTTTTTTAAATACGTACATGTTGGAACAGAACCGCCAAGAGAAATTATTGCTAAATTTAATCACAGGAAGGCTTAAGTAATTAGCCAAAGAACTGAATATCTTTATAAATCTCATGACTGGTTTTAACAAGAACTATAATTTCAAGTTATTATACCTTTGGGCATAAAATGTTTAAATTCTAAAATACAACTAAAAATCAAATATAACTATTAAACATTATTCAGTAATTAGAGTTAATAAAGTTTTTACTGACATTATATTCAAGATAAAATCAGGCCACTATTCTTAACAGTGTGAGTGATCTCAAGAGGTAATCTGATATTTAAGATACTGAAAAAATAAAACGAATATTTTGTTAATACCATCAGTAGGCATATTTAAAATGAAGATATTTCTCATTTTCTAGAAAGAATTCAGAATTATGCCCCAGCTTTCACAATGTTGGGTTACTTAAACGAACATCTACAACTGAAAAAGGAAGCAGCAAATGCATACCAAAGGTAAACTACATTTAATTGTGATAGATGCAGGAGGAAGATGAGGGGAAGGGTTCCTGGAGAATCTCTGACTGGCCTGTGCGTTGGGAGAACCGGGTGAAGCCAGGGGATGTTCACGCCATTTGCAGGTGGGGAGGAGCCTGGCCTCTTCAGTTCTTGGGTGCGTGGCCTGGAATCAATCTGTGAGATGTGGGCCTGTTAGCAGGAACCCCTCTCGCTTTGCTGAGAGGTTTTTTTTCTTTTTTCCTTTTCACCCAATAAATCCATTCCCCTCACCCTTCAGTGTGTCTGCGTGCCTAACTTTTCCTGGTTGTGTGACAAGGACCCGGTTTTAGCTGAACTAAGGAACAAAGTTCTACATCAATTGCAATGTTATCATTGTTTATCGGTTATCTTTTCAAATGTTAGTTTCATTCTCGGGAAGAAGGTACTAAATAATTGTTTTGACTCCTTTCCTGATGTTTCATTGTATACTATTATTACATCTTAGAAGATGAAAAGATGTGTTCCCAAATTTTCAGCTATATTTTGGTTTTTGTTGCTCATCTTAAGGAGGTGGGGTGGAGAAATTGAGAGAGAGAAATCGATAGAAAAGAAAGATGAAACAAAACAAAAATCTTCTCAGATTTTTAGAAAAGTCTGTCTTTTAAGAACTTGTCTAGCTTTATTAGATTTGAACATGTGTTCAATGAGACAAGAAATGAGAACATTGTGATGTGTTTGTTTGAATGACTTTAATATCTACTATGTATTTATTTATTCATTTAATAAATATTTTTTGACTACTGCGTGCCAAGCAGTGTTCTTGGCACTGATTATTTTGCAGTAAATTAAAAAAGACAAAGGCCCTGTTCTCATGGAGCATGTGTTCTGTGGCTGAAGAGACATGATAAGCTAATAAACATCTGTGATGATAGTAATTGCTAAGAAAGAAAATTAAAGTAGGGAAAAGGGCCAGAGAATGCAGGGCAGGAAGTGACATTTCAGGTGAGTTTAAGAATGGATAGATTTACTAAGGAGGCAGTTGAGGCCTGACTTCAGTGAACTGAGGCCACAAGCCACTTGTTTATCTAGGCAGGACCATTCTAGGCAGAAGGAACAGCAAGAGAAGTGGAGAAGTGGAGGAGTGGATTTGGCATGTTTACAAAATAAGAAAGCCAGTGTGCTACAATGGAATGACCAGCTGGAGAGTGGTAGGAAATGAAATCTACATAAATTTCTATGTAAATTAATGGATAGGTGATAAGAAAATAACTATTGATCTCATGACCAACTACTAGGTGAAAAGTAAAAAGACCTGGTTGCCTAATCTCTGAGGCACATTATTGCCCTAAATCTAAATAAATATTTACAAGAAGCCTTGTCAGGTAAAAAATAATTGAGGTGTCCTGAATGCTTTGCCATATGCTTTTATGGATCTCTCCGTAGTTCAAAGGAGTAATCACTAGATGGTACTGGAGCCTGTGTAATCAAGAAGTTATTTTTCCAGGTGTGTATGGAAAGAAGTATATGAAAATGAGTGTATATGAAAAACCACTATTTTGCTTCTTTCAAAGCCAACAAACTTACCAGTAAACTGTATAAATATGACAGACTGCAATAGTGAGCAAGATTTTTAAACAGAGAAAACTAGGCAGCTAGGGTGTTTGCTATTTTTTTTTTTTTTGGTATGTATCGTTATTATTGCAGATATTGTGAATCTAACATTGGTTACACCTTAGGCTTAAAATGGCATCTCCACAGTCACTTGGGTGTATGTACCACTTTCTTGACTGATCATCACTGCTGTTTTCTGCTTTAAACAACTATTTGATGGTTGAAGCCACAAATTAGGCATAAATCTAAATAAGGGTATAGTTTTTCATCTCTATAATACTGTCTTTAGGCTTCTCTAGCAAATTCTTGTTTTTCATGCAACATCAGGGAGATAAAAAATCTTTCTTGGCTATTTCTCCCTAGCCAGTCGTCTTTAAATGGGAAAGAAAATAAAAACCAAAAATCTTGTTAAATATCCAACTCTTTTTAGTCGTTAAGACATTTCCCTGCCTGCCCATAGGGAACTGAGCATGAGAAGGAAATACACGTTGTCAGCAGGTTATTTATTCCAATCCTTGAGGGACTTCTAGTGACTAGTCCCCTTCCCTCAACTTACTTTTCTTTAAATATTTTTCTGTATGTACAAGCAAGGGCACATGAAAGCATTCAATTTCCTGGCTTCCTAACTCAAACTACTAATATATAAATAGTTTCAAGGGTGTTTTCTATAAACTCCAAATATGTCAAAACTTTAAACTGTGACATAGTCATTTCCTATATTTAGATTTTTGGAATATTTAGAACTCAAATGTCATATATGATTTCACTTACTAAGAGGTTATTTAGATGTTATTTTCCTGAAAGTCTAAAATCTAAATATATATAAGTGCTTTTGTGGTACCAACTTAATAAAATATGAATAAGCTATTGTAACTAGCACCAAAGAATTAGTAGAATTAAATGAACAAAAATCTGTGGATTCAGCTAAAGAGGAAGGTAACAGAATGCTATTGCACAGAGATAAATTAAAATACCTTTTTTTTTTTAAGGGCAATTTTGTTGTTACAGACTGCAGAAGACCAAGATACTTACAATGTTGCAATAAGAAATTACGGCAGATTGTTATGGTAAGCGTATTTTTTCTCCATTAATTCTGTCAATTGATTGTATTTTTCTGGTGAAAGCTATGGGACTGCTGATATGCTGACTAGTTCCTAGAATACTGGTACATGTAGGATACATAATTTCCATAGAAACAGGCTCTGTTAACAGTTTCCTATACCTATAATGGTAACCAACCCCAGTGTGCTTTATGTGGAGCAGAGTTAGAACTCATGGTTTGTTGACTGGAGATGAGAACATTTGGAAGAGAGGTAGTGACTGTCTCTAACAGTAGAAGCCTCGTTAATTGGAAGAGGAATTAGATTTATTCTGATTTGCTATATATTATTAAACCGGGGAGGGACATTAGGGGTCCAGTAACCCCTTTGAAACAGTACACAAAAATTGTTGTGTGGGTACCTTTTGGGGATGGGGAATGAGCTCTATATCTTTCCTCAGTTTTTCAGAGACTTCTAACTCTAAAAAAGAATAAAAGAAAGAAAGATTAAGAACCAGTTGTTTTAGAGGGTAGAACTAGGACCAGAGAATAGAAGTATTGTAGGAGGAAGGTTTTTGATTCAAGTTAAGGCAGCATCCTAGAGCTGCCCTAAAGTTGAATGGTACAGTTTGAAAAACACTGTTAGAACTATACTTTGATGTCTTAGGATTAGTGCTACATCTTTTAAGGAGCTACCTGGCAGACCTTAGGTAGCCAGTTATTTTCTTTTATAATTGTGTACCTGAATTATATCCAAAATTGGAAGATTGAACTGTTCTGACTGCCTCTCCTTTCAATTATTTTAAACTGTTAAATTTAAAAGTTGAAAAAAATACTTAAAAGTTGATAGAGCTGTCAGTTCCAAGATTTTGTTGAAGCAGAGGACAGATATTGTGTAGAATAAAGTATCTGTTCTTTTTAGTTTTGATGTTTTATATAATCTAAGTACTAATGTAAGTATTTTAGAAGAAAATATATACCTTCCATTGAAAACAGATTTTTTTTAAGTTTACTTTTATTATGAAATGTATGAAATGTGCAAACATGCAGTAAGTAATAGAATCATTTAATGAAAAGTCACCAATCAAATTATATCTTAAAATTCTGTCAGCTTGCTTCAGGTTACTTTTTCTTTTTTTTTTTTTTGGGGGGACAGAGTCTCGCGCTGTTGCCCAAGCTGGAGTGCAGTGGCGCGATCTTGGCTCACTGCAACCTCCACCTCTGGGGTTCAAGAGATTCTCCTGCCTCAGCCTCCCGAGTAGCTGGAATTACAGGTGCCCACCACCACGCCCAGCTAATTTTTTGTATTTTTAGTAGAGACGGAGTTTCACCGTGTTGGCCAGGCTGGTCTCGAACTCCTGACCTCGTGATTCGCCCGCCTTGGCCTCCCAAGGTGCTGGAATTACAGGCGTGAGCCACCGTGCCCGGCCTTCAGGTTACTTTTTCCAAAAAAATTTCAGATAGATTTGTGGAAGCACCCACATTCCCTTCTGTAGTTCCATTATTTTCTCCACAAAAGCACGCACATCTTAGAAGATAGTGTTTATTTAAAGAAATACTTTTAATATATATGTATGTATCCAAAAACAATCTAAGGTAGTCCTCTTTCCTTTATCAAAATTTGAGTATTGATTTTATAATTCCTTTCACCTTTAGAAAACTTATTTAGAAGTGAAGGTTGCCTATATTTTTAGCCCCCATTCATATCCTCCAAGATTAAAAAGATTTTATAAAAAGATTTCCACAACACATTAAAAATAAAAACAGATTCAGGTTATAGTGATGGATACCAGAAAGAAGAATCTCAAAGATATAGTGTTTCTCTTCAGATGATGGCAGTTGAGCTTATACAAGTTCCTTTTATCTTTAGGCAAAAACAAGTTATTTTTCTGTTATTAATAAGTATTGCACTTTAGTATATATTACAGTTTATATTTTCCTCCCTCTTTTTTTTTTAAGATGGAGTTTCTCTCTTGTCACCCAGGCTGGAGTGCAGTGATGCAATCTCGGCTCATTGCAACCTCCGCCTCCCGGGTTCAAGTGATTCTCCTGCCTCAGCCTCTCCAGTAGCTGGAATTACAGGCACCCACCACCATGCCCGGGTAATTTTTGTATTTTTTTTTATTAGAGACGGGGTTTCATCATGTTGGCCAGGTTGGTCTTGAACTCCTGACCTCAAGTGATGCCCCTGTCTTGGCCTCCCAAAGTGCTGGGATTACAGGTGTGAGCCACTGTGCCCGGCTTCCTCTCCCTTAAACACAAAAAAGAATAATATTTTGTTTGTGGAATTTTAGTGTATCTGTATGCCCTCCAAAAAAGAAAAAAAAAATGTGCAGATAAACAGTTTACACAAAAGATAGGTTTGATTCTGACTAGGCATTTTATGACTTGTTAAGCTTGGCAAAGATGCTAGAATCATACTCATAGGGTAATATTTAATTAAGTATTCAGCTTAAAAAAATTAGAGATCCATATTAAAGTCAACTTGAAATTATTTTTATAATTTGGGATTTTAATTAAAGCTTGTTAAGAAAAAAAAGAGACACTTCGTAATTTAGTAGACCACTATAAAAAAGGAAGTACACATGAAATTATCAAAAGAAACTTAGTGTAAATTTTTTTTTTGAGACCAGTCTTGTTCTGTCTTGCCCAGGCTGGAGTGCAGTGGTGCAATCTCGGCTCACTACAACCTCTGCCTCCTGGGTTTAAGCAATTCTCCTGCCTCAGCCTCCTGAGCAGCTAGGATTATTGGCATGTGCCACCACGTCCGGCTAATTTTTGTATTTTTAGTAGAGACGGGGTTTCACCATGTTGGCCAGGCTGGTCTCGAGCTCCTGACCTTGTGATCCACCCCCTCCCCCCACCCCCCACCCCCACCCCCCGCCTGGGCCTCCCAAAGTGCTGGGATTACAGATGTGAGCCACCGCGTCCGGCCCAACTTAGTGTAATTATATCTCAGTATTTTGATGATACACACCAGAATTACTTTTGATATTAAAAGTAAGTTGTGCTTTACTTCTTAGTTCCACTGGTGAATATGATAAAGCTATCCAGGCTTTTAAGTCAACACCCCTTGAAGTGTTAGAAGACATCATAGGTTTTGCATTGGCTTTATTCATGAAGGGGCTTTATAAAGAGAGCAGCAAAGGTAAGTATATTGCTCTGAAGCTAAGGACACATTTAGAGTCGAGTTTAATCATGATGAGCACACATACAGAAAGATGTAATAATGAGATGGGGTGGGGGTTGCAATGTTTATTAAAATCTGACTAGGAGTCAGCAGCAATACTAGGCACTTTTTTATCTGTTACCTCATTTAGAATGTTATTATGATGAATAGTCTTTATAGTAGTGTTATGAGCTGAGTATTCATTATACAGATGAGGAAACTGGGGCCCAAGATCACTTATGGCAAATAATGTGACTTAGCATTTGAAAACAAATGTTTACTACTCTACACTGCTTAGATGTTAATTTCTGATAAATGAAGACCTCAACCATTGTTAGTAATAGATTTTGATTTCTCCAAATATGTTATATGATGCATTTTCACATATATGGGCTTAGCCCACATGTGTATAGAGCATTGAAATATCTACTGCTTGATGGAGTTGCTGGGCTGCACGTGGGAGTTTTGGTGATATCTCAGTGGCTGCAGGCCTCTGCTTCTGACCCAAATTGGCTCGTAAAGACAGTGACCTAGATCCCCATATAGATTCCGAACGTAGAAGTTAGGGATTGTCACATAATAATCCTAATGATACTTCAGAATCACCTTGGAACAGTGAAAACAAGTTAGATTATTATAAATTTTTATTCTATCTGCTTGAGAACAGGAGAATACAAAGATATAATTGTATTTAGACCTTTCTAAAAAATTTGGAAAGGAAAAATCCCATGCTTCATCAATCAGGATGGCTTTTATATTGTTTTGTTTGTTTTCACTTCTATGTAACAGCCTATGAGAGAGCCTTGTCTATTGTTGAATCGGAGCAAGACAAAGCCCATATCTTGACAGCTCTGGCAATAACTGAATATAAACAAGGAAAAACGGATGTAGCCAAGACATTGCTATTTAAATGGTATGTATAGTTGACATCAACACTTAACATGACCAGATACTTAGATATTTGGGTTGAGAATTGGAGAAAGCGTAAGTTCTTCATGTTTTAGGAACTTTTGGGTGAACAAAAGGGATTGGGCCCACCTGGTTCTGAATTGATAGTCACAGGTGGAGCTACAGATTGTGATTTAATTCTTATCCCTTGATCTATTGGATTCTTCGAAACTGTCCATTACTCTGTTGCATATTATTTGTTTTTTTAAAAGAGAAACTGATCACCTGATAATTAGTATCTTAAAATTTTAATGAAGATAGTTGTAATGAAGCCTTGTCTTTTGGCTTCTTGGATTCCCAAAGAGATATTTTCTTCTTTCCTTTTCAAGATAACCTGTTAAAAGGTTCATTTAAAGGTAAATCTTTTTAAAAATGTGTAACAAAACTTAAAACTATTTCTGTGTTTTTGGAGTAGGTTAATAAAATAACGACCTGTGTTATTTGTGGTTACTTATATAATACTATTTAACTTCACTGAAGATTAGTTTTTTGAAAAGTGACCTGAATTCCTTCACAAGCAGTAGTGATTAATGTATGCTATTAAACAGTGGCCTCAGTGAGTGTTTTATTGGCATTTTTGAGTGATACCAATCTTCATGGTACAGAGATATCCTCCCATTGCAAAAAGCTTATATCCTTGCCTCCCACCCACTAAGTGCTAATATTAGCACTCCTCAGTCATTGTGACATCAAAAAAATTGCCTCTGTAACTACCCCATCTCCAAAGGTGGGGGGATGGAGATGGTTAGATGGTACTGGTTGAGAACCAGTTCTATAGGATAAACTTTACATTTGTTTATTTGATGTAATGCCTTTGTCCTATCCTGTGCCATTACAGTCATTTCCTTGTCTAATAAATAAGCAATTTTTTTCTTCCTCTTTGCTGGTTAGGAAAAGCCAACCCATTTAAAAGAAAATCCTGTCACTTTACATGGCTATATCATTTTAACATGTATCTATCGTTATATATAACATGTTCCAAGAACTTAAATTTGCAAATGGCTTGGTGACAAGAATCATAGATACTCATGATTACTGCAGTTATCAAGGGCAAAAGTAACCCCATATTAGAGTCATTAGATTAGTCTTTGGTTATTGCTTAAGACAGGAAATGAAAGTGGGAAAAAATATATATATATACAATCTTTTTTTTCTTTTTTTCCCCTTCTCCTATGTGAAGGCAAACCTTTACCCCGATGTTTTATGTTGTTGGATCCAAGCCTAGGTTTTTTGTTTTTTATGTTTCTTTCTTTGTTTTTGATTTTCTGCCTGTCTTCACCCAAACTTGACACTACCAACTGCTTCCACCTCTACCCATTGGCATTATTTTGTTTGATTTTCATTCTATGAAAAAGTTCAGTTCCTTAGTCTATATTGCTGTTGTTTGGCATTCATATGTTGTGAACTGAGCAGTGTACTAGACACTGATTTAAGGGGAATAGGATTAAGTTCATTATGGGAAAAAAGTCTGGTTACCAACTTTATAGACTGTGATAATAAGTAACCATGTGTAAAATCCTTAGAACATGGTAAAAGACAACATACAGATATTGAGCATTCAGCACGTGTTTGCTTAATACTAGAATGTAGTCATTTCAGTCATAATTTAGATTTTGTTTATTAGTAAGTATTAAAGTAGGTAGATTTTTTTTCCTTTGAGCAAGGCACAAAGTAGAATTCCTTTTTTTTGTTATCAATATTGAAATTTATATTTTACTATCTGCTTTTTGGCTTTTTTAGTTGTACCCATTAGCCATGTGGTTATTTGCTAGACATGACACTGACTGACATACTTCCATATTTGGACACATATGTATTAACTCTTATTGTAAAAAGAGTTACTATAGATACTTTAAGTAAGCTGTTTACTTCAGAACTGCCTCAGAAAATTCATGATTTGATACTTGTTTGTCAAAATGAAGTACAAAACTTTTAATTTCCCCCTTCCAAAAATAGTCCAAAGACGTAATGGTAGATATGTGACATTTTATAATGTTATAAATATTTCTGTTATATTTCAGTGAGCATTGTTTAAAACTTAGACCTGCTAAATTATTAATTTGTTATATAAGGTCATTTAAATGAAAAGTGATTAAAATATATCTTTCCTACATTGCCATCTACAAAACATCAGATATTAACGGATGTTAGATTGCATCTCAGTGTTAAATCTTCACCGATAGATGTACTTATGTAAATCATGAAAATTCTACTTATAACTATAGAAGTGAATTGTGGACGTAAAATGGTTATGCCGTTTGGATAATGGTACTAGGCAGCATTTGTATAATAACTAATGGCAAAAATTCATGGTTAGTGATGTATAAAATAAAATGTTCTTTGAGTAAAATATTCCCTTTATTAATGTTAAAGAAGGGGGGATACAACAAGGAACTAACGATTTGTATGACAGTGTCAGATATTATTTTGATTTTAGTATTTCCTGTTTTGGTTTATTTGCATCTTAGAAGAGCATAATGACATTGTTTGATGAAGCCTAATTATGCTGGACTGTTTTGACCTGGTTTAACCCTTCTGGTAGGAATTTAGGGATGAAAACCAAATAGTCTTTGTCTCTAGTGATACTACACTCTAGAATTTCCGCTTTGGAGAATACTCAGTTCTAACTTGTGATTCCTGGTACAACAAACTTTATTTTTCTAGCCTAGCAATGATCTAGAAGCAGAGGAATCCCAGCGCCTTTTAAAAGTTATTATGTGGTTTTCTTTTAAAAAGCTCCCGTTTTTGGAAAGTAGAATTTATGGGTACAACATCTGTTCATTATTTGCCCATAAAATAAAACTACTTAAGTTAAAAAAAAAAGTTTTTAAAAAAATTCCTTTATTTTTATTACAGTATAAAATTCATAATAATTCTTATAAGTTTGGTTGTTAGTGGAGAGCTAAGATTTTCTTTATTTAAATTAACTGGGATTCCTAAACATTAATGAATTTTCCTCCATAAGGCTAAGTCAGATTTTATAGTTGAAAGAGGAAAAAAAATGCTAGATGTTTACCTATAAAATGTAAATTATCCTTAAATTATAAAAATACTCGTTTGGAGTATAGTGGATATAGAGACAATTTGTACTTATTATGTAAAGTGCTGGTTTCAATACCATAGAGCAAATAGGACAAATCTTTATCAGAAAGATAAAAATCATATTTTAATTGAAGAGTTTTTTTTATTATTTATACCTTCTAAGATTTTATTGGAACTCAACATTTTAGCAAAATTGTGCTAATTACTTACCTGGAGCTGAAACTCAAAGAAGCTAATTTATATTTGTTTCTAAAACTTAGTGTATTAGTTCTCACACTGCTATAAGAAATACCTGAGACTGGGTAATTTACAGAGAAAAGAGGTTAAATTGGCTCAAGGTTCTGCAGGCTGCACAGGAAGTATGGCAGCATTGCTTCTGGGGCGGCCTCAGGAAACTTACAATCATGACAGGAAGTGAAGGGGAAGCAGGCATGTTTTACATGGCCAGAGCAGGAGGAAGAGAAAAGTGCTGCACACTTTTAAACAACCAGATCACGTGAGAATTCACTATACAGTACCAAATGGAGGTGGTGCTAAACCATTCATGAGAACTCTGCCTCATGATCCAATCACCTCCCACTAGACCCACCGCCAACACTGGGGATTACAATTCAACATGGAATTTGGGCAGAGACACAGGTCCAAACCATATCACTTAGGTGTAATGACCAGAAAATAAGTTTGGCTTTTGTTGGTCTGTGAAAAGTCATTGATGCTTTTAACTGCTTCAGTCAGGGAAATTGCTATCTCTTAACCACCAAGAAATTTGCTTTTATATTAATCTTAAAGTTGAGTTTAGTTTGGTGACTCTTTACGTAAATTGCTTGTTATACTAAATAATGTTTTGATAGTTACAGATAAAGACTACTCTAGTCATAGGCTGGGCGCGGTGGCTCACGCCTGTAATCCCAGCACTTTGGGAGGCCGAGATGGGCGGATCACGAGGTCAGGAGATTGAGACCATCCTAGCTAACATGGTGAAACCCCGTCTCTACTAAAAATACAAAAATTTAGCCGGGCCTGATGGCGGGCGCCTGTAGTCCCAGCTACTCGGGAGGCTGAGGCAGGAGAATGGCGTGAACCTGGGAGGCGGAGCTTGCAGTGAGCCGAGATGGTGCCACTGCACTCCAGCCTGGGCGACAGAGCGAGACTCCGTCTCAAAAAAAAAAAAAAAAGACTAACTAATGGGTAATTTTAAAATATCTTTACAGCTCTATCTTAAAGGAACCAACCACAGAAAGCCTTCAAGCCCTGTGTGCTCTAGGGTTGGCAATGCAGGATGCTACACTGTCAAAAGCAGCACTTAATGAGTTACTGAAGCACATCAAACACAAAGACAGTAATTATCAGAGGTGCCTTCTTACATCAGCGATTTATGCACTCCAAGGCCGCAGTGTGGCTGTGCAAAAACAAATATCTAAAGCTGTTCACAGGTAAATTCTGTATTTGTGAACCTGGAACCTAATTATACTTGATATGGTTGCATTTGACATTGGGACTTTATTAATACTATAAAATAAGGTAAGAATATACATTTGAAAACCAAACCCTGGTTTTATGAAATTTTACACAGGACCAGGTAACTGACTGTATATATTATTTTACCTATAAGGATTGTGTTTTTTTAATTCAATTGATAAATTTGGCCCTTAGTCAGGTTAAGGCCCAAACTTTGTTTTACTATTAAAGCTCTTAATTCCCAAGTTTGTAATATTCTTAGTCTGTTGTCTGGTACTGTCTAGATTGATGGTTTTAGTAATTTTCAGCCGTTTAAAGATTCATTAATTTCTTCAAAAGTTTAATAAAAGGAAGCTGTCATTAGTAGCAGTGGTTAATTATTATGTTTTATTTTTAGCAGTAAAGTGTCATGTCTGTAGTCTCTTTTCCTTTTAGAGTTCATTTTTGTTAACAATCTTTGCTGGGTTTTTTTTTAGTTATTTTAATATAAAGCTTATTCCTTATGTCATTTTTATTAGTAGTCATCTTCCTGCCATGCAGTATTACTTATCCTATAATTTTTAATCTCTTTGTGTTTGAACACAGTGTGTTAAATTTCCTTAACTTTTCTTAATTATCTCATGACTTTATAATCATCCATTGTTGATTTTTTTCTTCTTATTTTCATAAAGACTGTTGGTGTATATAGGTGATATAAAGTATGTTTTCTAAAAATACTTTCAACCAAACATGCGCAATTAATATGAACTTGTTTTAGATATTAAGAAAAGTTTTAAACTTAATAAATTGTTGGTTGCTTGTACATTTTGTGGTTAAAGTAACTTGTCCCTAAGCCTGCTACTTTTGATTCCTTTAGCAACCCTGGTGACCCTGCTCTTTGGTCTCTGTTGTCTCGAGTTGTTGCACAGTATGCTCAACGAAATGCAAAGGTAAAGTAACGTTTCAAATTCTAGCAAAGAGATAAAATAACTTGTGATATGGTAAATATGATAATTTTAAACTATGGCATTATTCTTCTGCAAGATAATTTGTACAATGAAGAAAGTTCTGTTATTAACTAAATTTTCCATTAGTCATTCAACGAATACTAGACTGAGTTTTCTCCATATACGGTTGTGCTGTTCTAGATGTTGTGGGAGCTACAAAGACGTACAAAGAAGTGGGAGCTACAAAGAAGTATGAAGATCTCTTTGAACACATGCAGATTATGTTAATGATATGTGATAAAGTAATGTAACACTGCCACATAGTAATCATTAGCTATGTGTTTTTGAATCCCAAAATATAATTTTATTTAAAATCAGCTTAAAGATAAGGCAGTAAGAACTAGAACACTGCTAATATACAAAAATGTAATTATAAATATGAAGTCACTGACACTCTATGAAGGATTATATACTATATTTTAGTTTGTAGCATCCAGATATTTTCAGGAGTCTATTCTTCTATTAACTTCTGTGGTTAATATATCCTCTCATAGTTCACTTCACTAGTTGGTAAACATAATGGTAATAGCTAATGTTTTGAACACTTGCCACGACTAATAATTCCAACATCTGAAGTCTGCAAGACCCACAGACTTGTTTGACATCTGTGAGTCTTGTTCGTTATTCCTACTGATTTTCATTCTTGGTGGCTTTGTTTCTTTGTTTACCCAATTGTGTGTACTTGAAAATTATTTGTAGGAATAATTTGAGGCCTAGAATTAAGGTGCCTTTCTACAGAAATAATTTGTACTTGCTTCTGCTGGGTGCTTGGGAGGTCCATCAATCTGGGACTACGTTATACAAAGTTTAGAACTTGGGGTTTTTGGACAAAGCAGGCTACTTTGTGCTTGGGTTGCTAGTTCTTGAGACCTGGAGTAATTCTGATTCACCTTGAACCTTAGGGTGTGGCCTGTTGGGGTCTCAGCTTATTCTGATGTAGGTCTCCTCTATACTCCCCTCCTTGTGTTAACCTGGGCCTTAATTTTTGTCCTACTAGCCCATACATCTTTCAGGATTAAAATTAAAATTTGTTAGCATTTGGGCCAGGCACGGTGGCTCATGGCTATAATCCCAGCACTTTGGAAGGCCAAGGAGGGGGGATTACCTGAGGTCAGGAGTTCATGACCAGCCTGGCTAACATGGTAAAACCCCGTCTCTACTAAAAATACAAAAATTAGCTGGGCATGGTGGCGCACGCCTGTAGTCCCAGCTACTCGGGAGGCTGAGGCAGAAGAATCACTTGAACCCGGGAGGCGGAGGTTGCAGTGAGCCGAGATCATGCCACCGCACTCCATCCTGGGTGACAGGGCAAGACTCCATCTATTAAAAAAAAAAAAAAAGAAAGAAATTGTTAGCATTTGCAAATGGCAGAAGCGGCTTCCTTGCTCACTTGTCTCTCTGAATTCCAGTTTTCCCTTTCAGTTTTGGCCTGGTAAGTCCTTAATATCTTGTCAATTTTTCAGTGCTTTTAAGAATATGTTTTTAAAATCTTTTATCTCAGTGCTTTTCAAACTTTAATGTGCAACTGAAGTCACCTGGTCATCTTGTGAAAATGCAGCTTCTAATTCTGTAGGCTTGAGATGGGACCCAATATTCTGCACATCTAACAACCTCTTAGAGAGTGTGGACGCTGCAGATGCACAAGCCACAGTTTGATCAGCAGGGTTTTATTTCATATTTTTAGTTATTTTTAGTGAGTAAGTTGGCTCAAAGGACCTGGAAGACCATTGTTACTCGACTCTAAAATTACCTGAATAAAGTGCTTTATTATGTGTCAGCTATCAGCATTTTTATAATCTCAACAGCCATTTGAAGTAGCTGCAATTATTTAAAGTTATAGATTTCAAATTGACCTAATGAAAACACTGTGATGCTACATGTATTTTTCTTATTTTTAGTATTGAGTTGATTATTGAAGCAATGATGAGCTTCACGGTGCCTTGAACTTTATTTATTTTACTAGAGTATGTAAGTTTTAAAAATACTATGTATTTTCATATAGTAAGCCATGTTAGTTTATCTTTGTGATCTCTCTCAGTCTTTATATTTTATATTGTTAGAAAATGTGTACATTTCGTTGGTAAAATTATATAACTTTTGAACCTTCAAATGAATATTTTGAAAGTAGAGTTGGTCACAGTAGAAAAGATTTCCTTTCACAAGATTATTAGTCTTTTCAAACAACAATAATAAATTGATACTTTTAAGAAGTTTAGGAGTTGTGAATGTGGTAAAACTGAACCTTTCCAGTGATTTAGTGGAAAGGTCTTATCAATCTTAATTTTTTCTTTTTCATGAAAGTTTCTGCATTTGTATAAATCATCAATATTTTCTGTTCTAGGGAGGTGTTGTAGCAGGAAATGTGGCTCATATTCTGGACTCAAATCATGGAAAGGTTAGTTTGTCCTAGTACAAAGGAAATGTTGAATTTATTAAATAATATTGATGAAGGAATAATAGTTTTCATAGTCTTAGGGATTATGTCATATCAAATAGAGTCTTTTAGTCAGTTTGAAAGAGAGGGAGCTATCAGGAAAATTGGCTAACATCTTTTCTCTTATTTAGAAGGCATTACTGTACACTGCGGTAAATCAGTTGGCTATGGGAAGCAGTTCAGCAGAAGATGAAAAAAATACTGCACTAAAGACCATTCAGAAGGCAGCTCTCCTTTCTCCAGGTGCATATAATATCTATTTCATTAATTCCAATTCTTTTTTTTTCTAAATACATATTTTGTAAGTGGGGGAAAAATCTTGCACACAATATATATTTTATTGGCATTGTTTATACCAGACAAAAATGTGTGTAATTTAGATCTTCTACAACAGGAGTTTGGGTGATTAAAGTACTTTGCACTATGTAAGTGTTTAATACAATATATAATGCTATCAGAAAGGACTTTTTAAATTGATGCATTATAGATTTACATAGTTTCAAGGTGCATGTGATAATTCAGTACATTTACATTCTTGAATTTAGATTCTATCAATCTTGCATTTATTTGTGATTTATAGGAGCAAAGTTTATATTTCCATGAAATAAGGCAAAAGGGAATTTTAAGAAAATATTTCAAGATTTTGCATATCGTTTGATTATCTGCTTTTGGCTACTGATTATTAAGAGAGCACCAATTATTGAAAGAGGCCTAAAGGAATGTCTGCTTAATGATACTTTATTACCTGGTACTGAAAATCTGAACTATACACATATTTTCAAGAAACAGTTTTATTTCCATTTTGCATCAATATGGTTTAAAGAGTTTTACCTATAGTTACTAAATTATTTAACATACATATTTAGATATTTTTACGTGTAGTTAGCTTCTTGAAGGATGGGGATGTATCTTATGTGGTAACTGTTAGAAATGCCACAGTTATGGCCTCACCTGAGCTAACTGTGTCATATATAGGCTGTTGATCACAAAAGTACTGAGGAATGTTACTTAAGCGTGTTCCATCACCACTACTGGAAAAATGCCATAGAAGACTGGAATGTCTAGCAGTATAGGGTTATAAGGTATATTTTTATATAATATAATATTATTTTAAATATGAAATAATGTATTAAATGTATTCCCTTTTAACTCTTCAGATGTGTTAGATCAGAATGCTATTGCTTTTGCCTAAGCACTGTTGGGAAAAAAATTACACCAAGAACAAGTTCAATGTTATCTTCACAATAAATTGTAAAGACCCTCATTAAGCTGCAAAATAGTTAACATTTCAGGGATTATTTTGTAAACTAAGTAAAAAAAGTCAATATTCTGTTGTTTATCTTTTCTTTCATTTTGACATAGAAACAAAAAGAGACTAAACATTTTGATTTGTCTATGTTATATATATATTGGTAGGTTTTTTATTTTTGGAGTTCTCAAGCAGATATTAGATAGACTTACTCTCAATAATTCTTATCATGGATCCAGAATGATAAAAGATCTATTAGCCTTTGATTGTGTAAGGACATAAACTTTAGAAAGGTGAGATTGCCCAGATTAGGTCCTCTCTAATGATCTCTGATGTTCCCAGATTATCTGGATAAATACATACTCAAGGAAGCAGAGACATCCCATAAGATGCTAAAACAGTGACTGAGTGGCAAAGATGAGTGCCTGTTTGAGACTTGTCCTTAGAGTCCAATGAAAATGAATATAACTGTAGTTATGTGTAGTGGCTGTACACTTAGTCCTTGTAGATCTTTAGATGAACAAAGCACAGTTTTGATAGATGCTATTCCAGGGAGTCTTGTCAGGAATTTAAAGATAATTACAAGAATTTAGAACTGAATGGAAAAAAATCCAATTTCTGCTAGATTAGTGCTTTTGTGATACTAAAAGTTATCTTTAGCAAGCTATATTTTAAAATTTTTAGGTTTGTAGTTTATATATTATCTTAGAGTCACTTTATTTTATAGGGAATTTGGGTTGCTGGTTATCTATGGAAGAGTTCATGGAAACAGTAATTATTTTGTGTTGTGATAGAAGAAATTGCTGCCAGCTATTGTCCATTCTCCAATCAGAAATGCAAACTATACAATACTGTAAGATCCCTAAAGTAGCTATCCCCTTAATCTTAGGATTAAGTTAATATTCAGAGATTGAGTCTACTTCAGTTGGAATCATAGAATTTAAGACCCTATGGCACCTCAGCTGTTATCTAGTTTAGTTGTCTTGTTTTTTTTTTTTTTTTTTTTTTTTTTTTTTTTTTTTTCTTTTTTTTTTTTTTTGAGACGGAGTCTCGCTCTGTCGCCCAGGCTGGAGTGCAGTGGCGGGATCTCGGCTCACTGCAAGCTCCGCCTCCCGGGTTCACGCCATTCTCCTGCCTCAGCCTCCCAAGTAGCTGGGACTACAGGCGCCCGCCACTACGCCCGGCTAATTTTTTTGTATTTTTAGTAGAGACGGGGTTTCACCGTTTTAGCCGGGATGGTCTCGATCTCTTGACCTCGTGATCCGCCCGCCTCGGCCTCCCAAAGTGCTGGGATTACAGGCGTGAGCCACCGCGCCCGGCCAGTTGTCTTGTTTTATAGGAAAATGAATCCTAAAGGAAGAACTACCACACATTAATTAGTGGCACGGCTAGACCTGAAACCCAGATCTAAGGCTGTCATGTGCCTTTCTTTATATAGTAATCAGATTTCATCATAAATTCTAGGAAATAGTCCCCATTTGTTTATTCTGGAATTTGATGATGTCTGTGTTCCTTAAAATAAGGTAGTTATTATTTGGAGCAGAAATTGTTTCATAATATGGAGGTATGCATTTAACTTTTTGTAAAAGTATTTGATCTGCATAAGATTTTAATGATTCTTGTAATTTTGTTGATTTTTGTACTTTTAGCAATAATACTGGTCACCTATAACTGAAGTATATATATATTTCAGATATATGATAAGAAACATATATTGGGTGGGGTGGTCAGATAAGAAAAAATAGAAAACTAAAGCTAATAAGTATGATCAAGTGTCTATATTGTTAACTAGCACCCCCTTGTGAGATATTAAAAGCATTCATTTGTTTTTTTAAGAGTAGCAGGACTAAAATATTAACTTGCTGAAGTAAACAGCAAAATAAGCTTTATAAAAATAAATGACCAAACAAATGAAAAGAAAAAACTTCTAAATTCCATATTCCCTTCACGTTTCTTTTTTTCACAGCTTTCTTAAAAAGAGAAGTCGTTATGCATAATCTTTTCTATGCATAAAAAGTTCCCTTCCAACTCACTGCTGTTGGACTTTTCTCCTTCTCCCTACCCTGAAGCTGCTGTGAAGGATGAAGGAAAGAAGAAAAGATCAAATGAATGAGGGATAGATAGTCATATAAATGCTTCACTTGGAATGATGAAGTGACTTTTCTGCTTGCCTATTAGAATATAATTAAAATCTTGAGCCTTTCCTTTGGCTTAAACTTTTCTTAAGAACTGAAAAATTGTGTTATCTTCCTTGTCCTAGGACTGAGTCTTTAAAACAGCAACTACTAAGTCATGAAGATGAGTGAGACTTGTCCTTGGTGTCCAGTGAAAGTGAATCTAATTGCCCTTTCCACAGTAATACAGCACTCTAGGCAGCTGAGCTAACCAGCCATGGATGAACAGCTTAATAGGATGTTTATCATCCTCTGATATGTTTGGAAAAATTGGCAAATCTGGAAAGATGAATGTAGCAATGTGTCTCTGAAAACAAGTGCAATTTAATTTTCCTTTGAGAAAGTGAAATTTTTTTTTAGATACAATTTTTTTTTAACTTGTAAACTCTTAATCTCATTTTTGATAGTTTTTAAGCAACATGTTGATTTTAACAAGACTTATCACTGTGTATTTCCTGTTTTCAGGTGATCCTGCTATCTGGGCTGGGCTAATGGCAGCCTGTCACGCTGATGATAAACTGGCCTTAGTGAACAACACTCAGCCAAAGAGGATAGATTTATACTTGGCACTGTTATCTGCTGTTTCTGCTTCAAGTAAGTTTTTAAAAGCATCTTTATACATGATTTAATTCAGATTTCTTGAATGGTTAAATCCAGAATACAAACGGCTTCAGCATATGTTGTTATAAAAAATATATTCATTAGGCCGGGCATGGTGGCTCACGCCTGTAATCCCAGCACTTTGGGAGGCCGAGATGGGCAGATCACGAGGTCAGGAGATCGAGACCATCCTGGCTAACATGGTGAAACCCCGTCTCTACTAAAAAATACAGAAAATTAGCTGAGCGTGGTGGCGGGCACCTATAGTCCTAGCTACTCTGGAGGCTGAGGCAGGAGAATGGCGTGAACCCAGGAGGCGGAGCTTGCAATGAGCCGAGATTGCGCCACCGCTCTCCAGCCTGGGTGACAGAGCGAGACTCCGTCTCAAAAAAAAAAATATATATATATATATGTATATTTTTATGAATATATATATACATTATTTAAATATATATATACATTATTTAATGAATATATATATTTAAATAATGTATATATATATATTCATTAAAAATCCATAGTAAAATGTTTGTACAGAAGTGTGATAAGCATATGTATTTTCTCTTCCAGATAGCTTAAAAGCCCAATGGGTTCTGTTAGCTGAAATCTTTGTTTTGTAGCATTTACTTACTTTGAGACTTTACCAGCATTTTAGGATAAAGGTGACCTGGAAAGAGTCCTTTACTGAAACCAGCATTGAAATTGTCCCATGATTCCTCCTGGGAATCTTGGTCAGAATAAGCTGTTAATCTAATCAGATTTAGTTAACATTGTTTTGTAAATCTATAAATTTCTTCACTGAAAGGTGACATAGATTAACCTACTTAAATTAATAAATAGATTAGCCTACTTTTGTCTTGGGACATTAGCTTTTCACTGAATTAATTTTAGGTTATTAATCATTTTTTAGTAAATGTTAAGCATCATTACTGCCTGTCTTTTGACTACTAGGGCAAATTAAGAAAAGTAGGCTTTTGTTTAATGGTATTAGATTATATAAGATTGAAATATTTTAATAAAATGAATTTATTAAGTGGTAATTCAGAAATACCTATAACATAGTTATTTTGAAGCCATGCTCTTCAGATTAAAAGAAAGAACAATCTACCTATTTTTATTTTTTATCCGCATTGACAATCTCTTTTCTTTCATTGGTTATGTTTAGACTATAGGTGTTTGAAGTGATTGTTGATATAATTGGTTTAGTATCTATCATATATTTTACCATTTTCTATTTGTTGCCTTTGTTTTTTGTTTCCATTTTTGTCCAACTATTTTTCTGTGTTTTGTAGTTTTAATTGTGCATTTTATTTGATGCTATTTTCTCTTCTTTGTTAGCATGTCAGTTGTATTTCCTTTTCTACTTTTTTTTTTTTTTTTTAACTGGTTGCCCTTTTTTACTGGTTGCAATATACATTTAGAATTAATCCAACTCCATTTTCAACTAACACTATACTGCTTTATGGATAGTGCAAGTCCTTATAGTAAAACAATCCTAATTATTGTCCTTTATGTCATTGCTCTTTTGCTTACACATAAGCATACGAGTCTGTATACATCCACACACACGTAAGCACACATAATCAAATACATTGTTGCTATCATTATTTTAGTTGTTTTTTTTTTTAAGAGATGAGGTCTTGCTGTGTTGCCCAGACTGACCTCAAACTCCTGGGCTCAAGTAATACTCCTGCCTCCGCCTCCCAAGTCATAGGTACAAGTCACTATGCCCAACTAATTTTTTTATTTTAGAAATGAGGTCTTGCTATGTTGCTCAGGCTGGTCTCAAACTCCTAGGCTCAAGCAGTCCTCCTGTTTTGGCCTCCTAAAGTATTGGGATTACAGGTGTGAGCCACCACATCCAGCCTATATGTGTTGTGATAGGTGAGACTAGTTTCTTGTATGCAGCATATGTTGGGTAATTTTTTTTAATCCATTCAGCTAATCCATATATTTTCAATGGAAAGTTTAATTCATTTACATTCAAGGTTGTCATTGATGTGTGTTGCCTTATTTCTGTTGTTTAATTAGTTGATTTTTTTTTTGGTATATTCTTTATTTCTTTCTCTCTTTATTGTGTGTTATTGTATTTTGGTGCTTTTCTGTAGTGGTACCATTTGTGTCCTTTCTCTTCCTCTTTTGTATGTTTGCTTTACCAGTGAGTTTTTACTTTTGTGTGTTTTCATGATGGTAAATGTTGTCTGTTCTCTTTTAGGTTTAGATTCCATTGAGCATTTCTTGTAGGACTGGTCTAGTGGTGATATTCAACTTTTACTTGTCTGGGAAAACTTTATTTTCCCTTCATTTATGAAGAATAACTTTGCTGGGTATAGTGTCCTTGGCTGACAGTTTTTTTCTTTTCAGCAGTTTGGATATATTATCTTATTCTCTACTGGCCTGTAAGATTTCTGCTGACAGATCTGCTGTTAGTCTGATGGGTGTTCATTTATAAGTAGTATGCTCTTCTCTTTATGTTTTTAGTATTCTCTCTTTGTCTTTGACTTTTGATGGGTTATCTATAGTGTGCCATGGAGAACATCTTTTGGAATTGTAAATATTTGTGCATCTCTAAGCCTCCTCATGTTTTCAGATGTCTAAATCTCTTGCTAGAATTGGGATATTTTCATCTATTATTTTGTTAAATAGTTTTTTTAAACAAAATAATTATGTTTTCTTTTTGCCTTCTAGGACACTGAAAATTTAAATATTTGGGTGTTTTATGGTGTTCCATATGTCATGTAGGCTTTGCTTATTCTTTTACATTTTTGTCTCACTAGGTTGTTTGAAAAGATCTGTCTTCAAGTTCTGAGGCTCTTCTGCTTGATCTAGTCTGTTGTTGAAGCTTTCAGATATATTTTGTATTTCATTCAATGAATTCTTCATTTCTAGAATTTGTTTGGTTATTTCTTATGATATCCATCTGTTTGGTAAATTTTTCATTAATGTCCTAAATTGCTTTTTCTAATTTCTTTGTACTGGTTTTTAGTATTCTCTTGTATCTTACTGAGCTGCTTTATTATCAATATTTTGAATTTTTCCCCTAGGATTTCATAAATTTCTTTTTGATTGAGATCTGTTGCTGTAGAATTATTATGTTCCTTTGGAAGTGTCATATTTCCTTGCTTTTTCTTGTTTCCTTTGTCCTTACATTGATATATGCATATCTAGTCTAACAGTCACTTCCAATTTTGGAATTTTCTTTCGTAGGGGAGCACTTTTTCCTGAAGATGTATCCATGGTGTTGTTTGGGTAGGTCACTTTGGCTTTGATTCTGAATGTAGTCTCTGATTTCTTTGGCTGTAGACAGCATCAGTGATATTTGTGATTTCTTTGGTTTGTTAGGATGTACTTGTTAGTGGAGGCTTGGTGAAGTTATGGTGGGGCCTGGGATGCCAGATAGGCCAGTCTTTGGGTCCTAGTGGTGGCAGCAGTTGGCTAAGCTTGCCTGTCCTTGGATGCCAGAGCAATGTCCTGGTGTTAGTGGGTTTAGACAGGCCCATTCTTGTGCCTCTATTAGATGGATTGCCCAGGTTCCAGGAATGGCAGCATTGGTGTATTAGGGTTCTCCTAGAGGGACAGAACTAATAGGAGATATATATATGGGGAGTTCATTAAGTATTAACTTACAGGATCACAAGGTCCCACAACAGGCTGTTTGCAAGCTGAGGAGCAAGGAGAGCCAGTCCCAGCCCCCACACTGAAGAACTTGAAGTCTGATGTTTGAGGGCAGGAAGCATCCAGCATGGGAGAAAGATGTAGGGTGGGAGGCTAGGCCGGTCTTGCTTTTTCGTGTTTTTCTGCTTGCTTTATATTTGCTGGAAGCTGATTAGATTGTGCCCACCAGATTAAGGGTGGATCTGCCTTCCTCAGCCCACTGACTCACATGTTATTCTCTTTTGGCAACACCCACACAGACACACCCAGGATTAATACTTTGTATCCTTCAGTCCAATCAAGTTGACACTCAGTATTAACCATCACAATTCGGCTGGGTAGGTGGGTGTGTTCTTGAGTCCCTGGGCAGCACACGTGGTGTGGGTGATGGTAGTGGCAGTGGGACCAACCCTCTGGGACCCAAGCAGTCCACACTGGCATTGGTGGTGGCTGCAATGGACTGAGCACACCAGTCTCCAGGCCAACAATGTGATACATGTAAGTGAGTGCCAGCTGCGGTGTTAGCGGCAGATTGGATGGGCCCAACCTCAGACCCCAGAGGAGTGCTCAAATACTAATGGTGGTGGTCTGAGCTGGGCAATCCCGAGGCCCCAGGAGGGTATGCTTGGGTACTCTGGGGAATGGAGCCAGGCCAGGTAGACTGTCCTTAGGCTCCCTGGTGGTGCATGCGGGCCCTGGCTGTGATAGGCAGGGGCAGAGTGATGCCGGGCTGCCAGCAAATGCTTTGTTGGGAGCAGCAGCTGCTGCACTGTGACCCTGCTACTAGGTAGGGTGGGGTTGCTTTCAGTGTGAGCAGCCATAGGGTTGCAGCCTTCAGTGATGCCTCAGCTCTGCTGTATTCTAATGCAGTGGTAGCTGCAGGGCAGTGGAATTTGTTCTCAGGGCACTTGAATATGCATGGCTGCTCCTTACCAGCAGCTCATGGTGGTTGACAGTGGCTCTCACCTCAGCTCCAGCAGCAGTGGCTGTGGGCAGGGAATATCAGTGGGGCTCTAGGACTGTGGAGATACAGGGGCTGTTGGGCTGCATGGCAAGACACAGCCTGGTAGAGGGCTGGGCTCTCAAAATAGTGCCTCACTCTAGCTGCTTAGGACTCAGGGGTTTGTGGGACTCAGCGTGAGCTCCCACTTTGGACCAATGCCATTATTATGTACTCCCTATGTTAGTTTTAGGGCCTGCAAGGGTCACGAGGTTGTCTTATGGCTAGAATTATCAGAGTCCATGGTAGGAATGTAAACTGTTAGGGGTCTCTTTCCTATCCTTTCCCTGCATTCAGGAGCCTTTCTAGGCTCCCAGCTGATCCCAGCCGAGCAGACGACCTCACTCCCCTCTCCTTCCTTGCTTTTGGTGTTTCCTGTCACTTTTCTGTTGAGGTCCAGTGTGCTTTCTTAGATAATATATCTGAAGTGTGATTATCTACTTGCTATTTGGTTCCTTTCCATGGACGAGGCGAGCACCGAATGCATCTAATCAGCTATCTTGAATAGCTATCTTAAATTCACTTACTAGTGAATTTTACCAAATATTTAAGGAAAAATAATACCCATTCTACTCAAATTCTTTCAGAAAATCTAAGATAGTAACACTTCTGACATCTTCTATGAGGCCAGCATTACCCTAATACCCAAACCAGGCAAAGAACAACATTGCTTGTGAAGGTAGATGGAGAAATTCATAACAACACTTCACCAATTCAAATCCAGCAATACATAAAAATGATAATAATACATTATGATCAATTATGGTTTATCCCAGGAATGCAAGATTGATGTACCATTTGAAAATGAAGGTAATTTGCCATATTAGCACCTGTGAAAGATGCCAAAGAGTTTATACTATATGATTCCACTTATATGAAATTTGTGGAAATGCAAATTGGCCTATGTGACAGAAAACAGATTAGGAGCTGACTGGGGACAGGGGCTAAGGGAGGATGGAGTAGGTTGGGGACAGAAGTGGTTACAAAGGGACAAGAGGAAAATTTTGATAATGCTGAATATGTTCATTATCATGGTTGTGGTGATGGTTCACTGATATACATGTCAAATATCATCAGATTGTATAGTTTGAAAATGTGCAGCTTATTTTACATCAATTATATCATAGTAAATCTTTACATGTTTTCAGCAAATTATTTTATTTTTCTTTAGAAGTCACAATTATATGAGGCTTTGAGTTATTTAGCCACAAATACTCCTGCCATGAAACTTTTCAGAAACCTGCCACTTGTCAGGATAGTCTATGGTACATGTGGCACATGTAACTTTGAAAAACTGTGTATGGATGATAAGCCCAACGGTAATTTTTTAGCAACCAGTTACTCCTCTAAGAACACATTATAAATTGCAGAAGAAAGTAACATTGACATTTTTTGTTTACAGTTAAAGACGAAAAATTCTTTGAAAATTACAACCAGTCCCTTGAAAAGTGGTCTCTCTCACAAGCTGTCACTGGTCTAATAGACACAGGAAGAATATCTGAAGCTGAAACTCTCTGCACAAAGGTATTTTATGGAATGTGCATTGAAACTCATGGATTCTTATCTTACTGGGAAAATAACTTCAAAAATGGAATGTATGAGGCTAGATGCGGTGGCTCACTCCTGTATTCCTGGCACTTTGGGAGACTGAGATGGGAGGATCACTTGAGGCCACGAGTTTGAGACGAGCCTAGGCAACATAGCGAGAGGCTGTCTCTACAAAAAATTAAAAAATTAACCGGTCCTGGTGACACATGCCTGTAGTTCCTGCTACTCGAGAGGCTGAGGCAGGAGAATTGCTTGAGCCCAGGAATTTGACGTTGCAGTGAGCCATGATCACACCACTACACTCCAGCCTGGGCAACAGAATGAGATCCTGTCTGGAAAAAAAAAAAAAAAAAAAAAAAGAGGAATGCATGTTGTTTAAAGAGCAGGTAGTGGTGGTGATGACAATTATGATGATAACAACTAAAATTTATTGATTACTGTACTTGCCACAAACCAGTCACTGCATTTAGCATTTTGTATTTGAACTTCACAACAATCTTATATATAGGTATTTATTATTATCCTCATTTTTACAGATAAGAAAAACTAAGACTTAAAGAGGATAAGTAATGTGCACAGGAGCTTACAATTAGGAATGGATAGAGTTGTGATTTGAACTCACATTTGTCTGACTCTAGGACTCAAGCTCTTATTATAGGTCTTTAAAAAATTTTTTATTTGGGTGTCATTAGAGAGGCAGTATTTTCCTTTGATTTCTGATTGGTTCCTTCTTAATGCTATATTTTCCAGTATCCCTTCAGTTTTCCAAAGTTCTGGATCACATAGAATGACTGTGGAGATTGTTGAGTGGGTGACTGGAATCTACTCAGTAGTCTGTTTTTACATGCCAGGATTGGAGGGCTCTATGCTTGCAGGCTCTGTGAATAAATGTGTATTACCTTGCCTAGAACATAGTAGGGGCTCAATAAATATTTACTGAAAGAATGAATTAGTTTCCAAAGCTCACTTAGAAATAATGTAATGGTTAAAGAGAGTTTTGAACGTGACTTTTCCTGAAAACATCGTATTTCATAATTGCTTACCATGGAGGTTGTGTAATTTTTTTGGAAAGATCAGTATACATTTTACAGAGAAAGAAGAATGGACTTTTGAAGATTTCTTTGGTTCTTAAATTCTATGAAAAGCAGAGTGATACATTTTTTCTTTTATTTAAGGAATTCCATCTAAGTTCAGGACAGGGTATTACACAGTAAGTGTTTACTAAGCATAAATTGACAGTTGCTATGTGCCCTCTGATAGAATAAGTGATGCCTAATGAACCTTTCCTTGTCGGTTTGTTGTTGCAATCTCTTACTTAGAAGAAAGCAATCAAATAAATTTTAGAAATACATTTAAGATCTAATGAGTAAAAAATAGAAAAGTATGCTATTGAGGGACAAGCAATAAAGAAATATTTGAAACAATAGTGGGAGGACTTGTTTACAGAAATTCTTCATATATATAAAAATATATACACATACAGAGAATATAAGTATATACAATACATTTATGTATGTATGTAGGTAAGTATTTTAAGATAGAAACAGTAGCTTAAGGAAATGGGGAAAATAGGTCATTTTTCTTACTCGCAGTACTTGAAAAGGCTGTGCCTAGAAGAAAGACATGTAGAGTGAATACCTTTGTTAAGAGGTTAAGAAAGAAAAAAATGTATGCCTCTTTTCTTCTTACATAGTATAGTTTATTCCAGTATGGAATAGTGATAGCATTCCCACTTAATTTTATATTTATATTTTCTTAGTTCAACTATTTACTTACATTTAGAACCTAAATTTTTCAGGATATCACTTAAGAGTAAACTAAGTCAAAGGGAAATACATGTAGACTACAGTAATAGCATTACTGATTTTAAAGGTTATTTTAATGTAAAGTTTGATATTTACAGGCTGTTCATTGTTTTGTTTATTTAATTATTTGCAGTTGTTTTCTCTTTAATAAGAAAAGGTATAAACCTTCAGAATTTTATTTTCCCAACTTGGAGAATAATGCTTTTTACTTTTAACACTTAAGAACCTATTTGATGTGTTCCTCTTTGGGATTTGATTTCTAGAATTTAAAAAGTAACCCTGATCAGCCAGCCGTTATCTTACTTTTGAGACAAGTTCAGTGTAAACCACTCCTGGAGTCACAAAAGCCACTCCCAGATGCTGTACTTGAAGAACTACAAAAAACAGTCATGTCCAACTCAACCTCTGTTCCAGCTTGGCAGGTAAGTTTTCTCCTTTCTTACTTGAGTCCTCAATTAAAACACTTCATAATATTAGTTAATGTCAGGGCTATGCTCCATTTTTATTTGGCTTGCTGTCACTCTCACCATGTTATCTCTCAGTTTCAAGATCTAAAAGGTATTGTGGTTAGAGGAACTAAGGAAGTTTAACACTAGTTTTGGATCTGCTACAATGATGATTTAAAGCTTTTTAAGTTATTGATTCTAAATTTTCTCACTTTAAAACGGTGATGAAAATACTGTCTTTTATATGGGTTGATATGTTATAGACATTTTATAATAAGGGTATCATAATGGTGTTTAACTCTGCTTTTACAGGAGATATGTATAGTTTCTCCCTAGCTACTTTACAGATAACCTGTATTTAGTGCTTTTAGAAATAATTATTTTCAGGATTGATGCTTGAATCAACAGATCATCTGCTCTTTCAGGTGGCTCTGGTTATCCACAGTGACAAATGCACAATGATCACTGTGTGCTTTGTTCTTATTGATATTAAAATACAAGGAAGCACATAATTATTTTATACAATTTATTATATTTCCTCTGTGCCCCAGAGAAAGTATCAAAAGGGCTTTTTGATATAGATTTATAGACGCTTATTATCTTACTATAATTTGTTTTTTATTCTGATCTTTTATTATATCAGCTTTTTTATATCCCTGCTTTAGATAATTTGAAAAAATTATCTGGCATAAAATTACTGGATTATGAAAACTAAGCCTCCCTTTTACTGTAATTCTTTTTTCCCCTTTCTTAGAGTAAGTTTTCTGTATGAGATTTAGGATTTAAGATCAACATCTAGTTGACCTCAGAACATCTAGCTGACCTTAGATACTTAATCAACAACTAGATGTTGTTGATTTCATATTCATTATCAAAGGGAGAAATACATTGTCAAACTAAAAGGGAAAAATTGAAGGATAAATTATATCATAAGTGTATTAGTCTATTTTCACACTGCTGATAAAGACACCTGAGACTGGGCAATTTACAGAAGAAAGAGGTTTAATGGACTTACAGTTCTCTGTGGCTGGGGAGGCCTTACAATCATGATGGAAGGAGGAAGGCGTGTCTCACATGGCGGCAGACAAGAGAGAGAGCTTGTGCAGGGAAACTCCCCTTTTTAAAACTATCAGATCTTGTGAGACTTATTCGCTATCATGAGAACAGCACAGGAAAGACCTCCCCTCATGATTCAGTTACCTTCTACCAGATCCCTCCCATAACACATGGGAATTCAAGATGAGATTTGGGTGGGGACACAGCCAAAC
This sequence comes from Homo sapiens, assembly GCF_000001405.40. NCBI lineage: Eukaryota > Metazoa > Chordata > Mammalia > Primates > Hominidae > Homo > Homo sapiens. The sequence continues at coordinate 95,481,180 of NC_000005.10, read as the reverse complement.
CATATCAATAAGTAAAGTCTTAAGAGACTGCATGTGTGTGTGTATGTGTGTGTTTTCTTTTATATTATGATATAATTCACAAGGAATAAAGTGTAAAAATCTTAAAAGTACTACTCTATATATGACATACCTGTTTAACACCTCCCATATCAAGATACAGAACAGTTCTAGCAACCCAACTGCTTCCCCTAGGCCTCTGTCAGTTGATCTTCTTGCTTGACTCCCCCCACCCCAAAACAAGGAAATCCTCTATTCTGACCTCTATTTAGTTTTTCCTGTTTTTGAACTTCATATCAATGGAGTAGTACTCTTTTGTATCTGGTTACTTTCACTCAACAGGATGTCTGTGAGATTCATTTGGTGGTTTCATGTACCATAATTTTTTTCATTTCATTTTATGGACATACGATAATATTTATTCATTTTACTGTTGATGGGCATTTGGGTGTTTCCAGGTTTTGTCTAGCATGAATAATGCTGCTGTGACCATTCTTGGTCATGCTTTTTGGTGGGACATAGGGTATATGTATGGTTAATTTAGTAGATCCTGCCAAAGAGTTATCTAAAATGGTTATACCACTTTACACTTGCACCAGCAGTGCATGAGCATTCCAGGTGCTGATATTGCTAGATTGTCATGTTTTTCCCCTATTTTGGTGAATATGTAGGTAATAATATATTGTAGTGATTTTAACTTGTGTTTACCTGATATCTAATGACATCAAACAACTTTTCGTATGCTTATTGAGCCTTTGGATATCCTCTGTGTAAAGTGCTTTGCATAATTTTTAATGGAGTCTTCATTTTTTACTTACTAAATTATTGGAATTTATTATATTTCCTGAATCTGAGCACATTTTTGGATATTTTTATTGAAAATATTTTCTTACACCTATGGCTGCCTTTATTAATGTTATTTTTTAATGAATAGTTCTTAATTCTGATGAAGTCTGATGATGGTTAATGCTTTATTGGGATATTCTATTTAAGAACTTTTTGCTTACTCTAGGTTCATGAAGTTTTTTTTAATATTTTGTTTTAGAAATTTTATTGTTTTACTTTTCATGTTTAGGTCTATAATTTATCCTGGATTAATCTTTGTGAATATTGCAGGAGTTAAGGTTTATTTTTACCCGTAATTAACATAGTACCAATCTTTGAAAAGACTATTCAGTCCCCATTGAATTACAGTGATGCCTTTGTCATAAATCAGCTGTGTATGTATGGGTCTTCAGGCCTCCTTATTTTCCATTGGTCTATTTTTTAATCTTTTGTTTTTTATTCTTGAGTATAGCTTTATAATTAGTCTTAATATGTGGTAACATTAAAACCTCCAACTTTTTGTTCTCCTTCAAGTTTGTCTTAGGTCTTTTGCATTTCCAAATGCAGTAGTCCTACCTTATCTGCGGGGGAGATGTCCCAACACCCTTAGTAGATGCCTGAAACCGCAAATAGTAATGAACTATACACACACACACACACACACACACACACACACACACACAATGTTTTTTCCTATACATACATGCATACCTATGATAAAGTTTAATTTATAAATTAGGCACAATAAGAGATTAACAACAATAATAATAAAAGTTATAACACTATATTATAATAAAAGTTATATGAATGTGGTCTCCCTCTTTCTCTCAGAGTATTTTATTGTGTTGTACCACAGGTAACTGAAACCACAGTTAAGGAGAGGGTCTACTGTAAATTGTTAATTCTCACCCAACAAAGCTCTGCTGGGATCTTAATTGAGATTGTTTAGAATCTACAGTTTAATTTGGGGACAATTGACAAAGTAATACTCTACTGAATATTTTCTGTCCACAAATGTGGTATATTCCTCTATTTAATTTAGTTTGAAATTTCTCACAGCATTGTTTTGCAATTTTCAACCTAGAGGTCTTTTATACTTTTGTGTTAAATTTATTTCTAGGTATTTGGTATTTTTTGTTGTTGTTCTGTTGTGTGTGTGTGTTTAAATCATTTCCAAACATTTAAAAATTCAGTTGATTTTTATACGTTGACTTTCCAGCACCTTGCTAAATTCACTTATTCTTTGAAAGGTTTTGGATTTTGTATATAGTTATGCCCCTTTTACTTTTTTCTTCCCAATATTTACATATTAAGGTTTTTTGTTGATTTGTTTGTTTTGCTTTATTGTACTGTCTGGAACCTTTAATACAATGTCAAAAGTGGTGATAAGTAAACATTCTTGTCTTCTTCTTACCTCAGGTAGAAAGCATTGACTATTTCATTACTAAGTATGGTGTTTGCTATAGGTTTTTATAAATATCCTTATCAGATTAAGAAGATTCTACTTTGAATATGCTAAGAGAGTTTTTTCTTAAAAAATAATGGGTCTTGAATTTTATTAAAACTTTTTTAATGGCATCTATTAATCTTTTTCTTTATTCTGTTAATGTGGTAGATTACATTGATTTTCATATATTAAGCCAACTTTGCATTCTTAGAATAAGCCCTAGTTGATCATTATATATTATTGTTTTTATATATTGCCGGGGTCAATTTGCTAATAGGCAGCTGTTGTTAAAAGAATTGGCAATATGACAGCCCTTTTTTGACCTGTAATTGTTTTTTGGGCACAGAACTTACCAATAACTAAAAACATTTTTACTACGACAAAGTTTATTGAATTTGTTGGAAGTAGGGGTAACAGACTGCATAATAAACTAAAATCCTTTGCCTCCTTCTCCTTTTTTGTTTCTTAGTGGCTGGCACATGTGTATCAATCCCAAGGAATGATGAGAGCTGCAGAGATGTGTTACAGAAAGAGTCTACAATTGGCATCCCAACGGGGCAGTTGGAGTGGGAAGCTCTCAAGTCTGTTGAGACTAGCACTACTTGCATTAAAAGTCTGTATGGTAAGATCATGTTATAATTATGATCATGAAAAATTGATTTTTTTATCTTTCTTTGACGTGAAGGCTTTTTACATAGTAATATTCAATTGAAGTCCTGTTGTTTCATTGTGTTCTAGTGTGGCTTCTTGATACACTTTGTATTTTGGGTTTGTGATGGACATAGAGCAACATAAATCTATAGACTACAGCAGAATATTGTCGATGTTTGGGGAAAAAAGATTACAGTTTTAAAAGTTGAATTATATTAGGATATACATTTTTGTTTCTTGGTGAAACAAATTGTATTAGAATTAAATTTAGCTACTCAACTGTGACAAAAATGTGTATAGTGAACATTTCAGTCATTCTCATTTCAATTCAACATTCTCTAAGAGGGATTTCTAGTAACTTATGACCTAACAAGCTATTTTCTGATACCAATTTACGTATATGAATCTGAAAGTTTTACATGCTGGTAGGGAAAATTTGTCAAGATACATGTTTAAGTGGGAGTGAGGGCAAACTGCAGAGCAGGATGTATGATATAATTCTAATGGAGTGTTCATATATGTGGTATGAATTTTTAAGAATGTATATCTCTAAATATACCATGTGTGTTTGTGCATATGCTTAAAGCATGAAGATGTAATTATATGGAAACATATATAAGAAATATAATGGCAGTTATTTGGAGAAGGGGACTGGGGGTTTTAAAGGATAGTAGAGGAGAATTTTTCATTTTATATCTTTTGATAGTGTTTGGATTTTTTTGTCGTTCCTTATTATTTTGTAATTAAAAGTTAAATTGTTATTCTTTTGGTTTTACATGGTTAGAAGAAATTATCCTAGACAGCCCTAAAGTAACTCTTGTTTTTACCATAGTAATCCATGAGAATGTTAGTTACTCACTTTAACTAGGCATTTGACAATGAAATGTAGAATTAGGCCTTTTTTTTTGCTTTGGTGCCATTACTGTAGAGCACATTTAAGAGATTCTTATGTCAGGGACTATTTCTGTTCATTTTTGCTTCCTTGCTCTGTCAGTCTGCCTTGTGCATAGGGGGTTCTCTATAAATGGTTTTGAGTGAATGGACAAATAATAATAATGTGGCCAACTAATTGTAGTTCACTATTTTATTTTGTTTGCCCCATATTTGTATATAACAAAGGTCTTTATGACCTTGGTAACTGGTGAGCCACAGAAGCTGCACATAGTACCTATAACATGCCCTTCAATATGTGAACTGGAGAAGTAGACACTCTTTTAGCATAACTTATTACTTTTTACTTTTCAGTATTATTTATTGATTTTTGTTGATGCTGGGAAATTAAATCTGACCTGGAATAGAACAAATTAATAATAGTTTTAACAATAGCAAACTATAGCACTTAGTCTGCGCTAGGTTCTATTATAAATGCTTTACTCTTATTAACTTATTTAATAATCACAATAACCCTATTTGACAGATGAAGAAATTAGCTTGCAGTTCAGTAATACCCATGTATACCTGTCCCCCTGAATCCCCCACCCCACCTTTACCTGTACTATACCACCGAAGTATTTTCTCTAAGAGCCCATGTTCTGGTTCTGCCATTTACTACCTGTGAAACCTTCAGCCAGTTAAACTGTTTAAAGCCCTTAGTAGTGGAGATCAGAATACCTATTTTACCTTCTTGTGGCATTGTTTGAATAATGAAGGAATGTTTACACATGCCTTTGTAAACCTTAAAGTGCTATCAATCCAATTTGTTCTTGAAAAAACATTTGACATCCAATAATTATAAAGGAATAAAAGGTATGCCATATTTCTATGGTAAACAGCTGGCAGTATGGGGAGGATGGATATATTAAAATAAGACATTTATAAAAGTCTTTATTTGAAAGTTTTATTATATGTGATAATATGTGATCTGGATGTAAAATTGACAAGTTGGCTAAGATACTAGATATCAGATTCCAAAGTGAGATATCAGATCAAGATAGATTGCTGTAGCATATAGAATCCTCCAGTATAACCTGAACTCAGCCTTGAGCCATGGGACATTCCAGTGCCCCCAGGGCTGCGGCATTCAACTCAGGAGTACAGAGCTGAGATCTGTGGCTGGCACTTGAGTTGGGGAGGAGCCCCTACCCTCAAGAGCTAAGAGGGGTGAGATGCATGGGTTCCTGGGCAAGGACAAGAGTGGGGCATGCCTCCCTTTGCAGGGCCAGTCCAGAAAAGTTTTGGCATATCTCCCTGTCATAGTCCCTGCACAAGGGGACCCAGCAACCCAAATCACCTAACAAAAGTAATGTGGGCATGGAGTGAATGATCAGAGGGGGCTTCCCCTAAGGCCCTGGAGCAGAGCTGGTGAGGTGGTCCTTTCTATCCTGTCCCCGCCATCACCACTGAAGAGCATGCCTGTGAATGTGAAGAAGTACAGAAGAGCCATGTGGCTAAGTGTTAGCCTAGTTACCCACCGTTACTCTTATGCACTAGCTATCTACTGGATTGCAGCCCAAACTACAACACCAAAAATTATCTTGCTAATGTATACGCCTGTGAAACCAAGTGCAAGAGTTCACCTTCACATAAAGATCCTGTACAGAGCCCTGGCTCTTTGGAAGCATCCAGAAATAAGCCAACTGACTATACTCAATTTATACCACAGTTAAAGGAACACCAACTGTATTCGTCTGTTGCATTGCTATAAAGAAATACCTGAGATAGGGTCATTTATAAACAGAAGAGTTTTAATTGGCTCATAGTTCCACAGGCTGTACAGTAAGCATAGCGACTTCTGCTTCTGGGGAGACCTCAGGAAACTTACAATCATGGTGGAAGGCAAAGGGGAAGCAGGCACGTCTTACATGGTCAGAGCAGGAGCAAGAGAGAGAGGGGGGATGTACCACAAACTTTTGAAAACCAGATCTCTTGAGAACTCACTCAGTGTATAGTACCAAGGGGGAATGGTGCTAAACCATTCATGAGAACTCCGCCTGCATGATCCAATCACCTCCCACCAGGCCCCACTTCCAACACTGGGGATTACAGTTCAACGTGAGATTTAGGCTGGGACACAGCTCCAAGCCATATCACCAACCCTCCCAGATGAGAAAGAATCAGCACAAGAACTCTGGCAATTCAAGCAGCCAGAGTGTCCCTGTACCTCCAAATGTAGCCTACTGGTTCCCCAGCAATGGTTCTTAACCAATCTGAAGTGACTGAAATGGCAGACATAGAATTCAGAATCTGGATGGCAAGGAAGCTTGTCAAGATTTGGGGGAAAGTTGTAACCCAATCCAAGGAATCCGGTAAAATAATCCAAGAGCTGAAATGTGAAATAGTCATCCTAAGAAAGAACCAAACTGAACTTCCAGAGCTGAAAAATTCACTACAAGAATTTCATAATACAATTGGAAGCGTTAAAAGAAGAATACATCAAGCTGAGGAAAGAATCTCAGAGCTCACAAAGTGGTTCTTTTAATCAATTCAGTCAGACAAAAATAATGAAAAGCGAATGTTTTAAAATGAACAAAACCTCTGAGAAATATGGGATTATGTAAAGAGACCAAATCTACAACTCATTGGCATTCCTGAGAGAGGATGAGCAACTTGGAAAATGTATATTAGTCCACAAAAATTTTCCTAAATTTGCTAAAGAGGTTGACATAGAAATCCAAGAAATACAGAAAACCCCAGCTATGTACTGTACAAGATGATCATCCCCAGGGCACATAGCATGAGATTTACCAAGGTCAATGCAAAAGAAGAAGAAGTCTTAAAGGCAGCTAGAGAGGAGGGTCAAATTACATACAGAGGAATCCCATCAGGCTAGCAGCAGACCTCTGCAGAAATGTTACGAGCTAGAAGCAGAAGAGTTTGGCACCTATTTTCAGCATCCTTTTTTCCTTTTTTCTTTTCTTTATTTTCTTGTTTTGAAGCATCCTTAATGAAAAGAAATTCTGACCAAGAATTTCATATCCCACGAAACTAAACTAAATAAGTGAAGGGCAAGCAAATACTGAGGGAATTCATTGGTACTACTACAAAAACAGACACATTGACCAATGGAATAGAATAGAAAACTCAGAAATAAAGCTGTACACCTACAACCATCTGATCTTTGACAAGGCTGACAAAAATAAGCAATGGAGAAAGGACTCCCCTATTCAATAAATTGCATTGGGTCAACTGGCTAGTCATTTGCAGAAGAATGAAATTAGACCCTTACCTTTCAGCATATATACAAACTAACTCAAGATGGATTAAAGATTTAAATGCAAGACCTCAAACTATTAAAATTCTAAAAGAAAACCTAGGAAATACCTTTTTTGACGTCGGCCTTGGCAAAGAATTTTTTGGCTAAGCCTCCAAAAGCAGTTGCAAGAAAAACAAAAATTGACAAGTGGGACCTAATTAAAGAGCTTCTGCACAGCAAAAGAAACTATGTACAGAGTAAACAGACAACCTACAGTATGGGAAATAAATATTCACAAACTATGCATCTGACAAAGATCTAATATCCAGAATCAATAAGGAACGTAAATCAGCAAGCAAGAAGCATAACCCCATTAACAAACAGTTAAAGGACATTAACAAACACTTCTCAAAAGAAGACATATAAGTGGCCAACAAACATATGAAAAAATGCTCATCCCTATTAATCATCAGAGAAATGCAAATAAAAACCACACTGAAACACCATTTCACACCAGTCAGAATGGCTATTATTAAAAAGTCAAAAAATAACAGGCTGGATGTGGTGGCTTATGCCTGTAATCCCAGCACTTTGGGAGGCCAAAGCGGGTGGATCACTTGAGCCTAGGAGTTCAAGACCAGCCTGGACAACTTGGCAAAATCCCATCTCTATAGAAAAAATTAGCCAGGCGTAGTGGCATGCACCTGTAGTCCCAGCTACTTAGGAGGCAGAAGTGGGAGAATCACCTGAGCTCGGGAGGTTGGGATGCAGTGAGCTGAGATCTTGCCTTCTCACTCTCTCCCGGGCCACAGAGCTTGAGACCCTGTCTCAAACAAACAAACAATAACAACAAAAATAACAGGTGCTGGTGAAGCTGCAGAGAAAAGGGAATGCTTAAATGCTTATATACTGTTGGTGGAGATGTAAATTAGTTCAGCCACTGTGGAAAGCAGTTTGTAGATATCTCAACTTAAAGCTACCATTTGACCCAGCAATCCTATTACTGAGTATACACTCAAAGGAAAATAGATCATCATACCATGAAGACACATGCATTCATGTGTTTATCACCGCACTATTCACAATGCAGAGACATGGAATCAACCTCGGTGCCATATAGTGGATTAGATAAAGAAAATGTGGTACATATACACCATGGAAATACTATACAGCCATAAAAAAAAGAACGAAATCATGTCCCCCTTGCAGCAACATGGATGGAACTGAAGGCCATAATTCTAAGTGAATTAACACAGGGACAGAAAATCAAATACGCATGTTCTCACTTGTAAGTGGGAGCTAAACATTGAGCACACGTGAACATAAACATGGGAACAACAGACACTGTGGACCACTGAGGGTGAAGGAGTGGGACAGGGATTGATAAACTACCTGTTGGGTATTATGCTCCCTAACTGGGTGCAATATACCCATGGAGCAAACCTGCACGTGTATCCTCTGTATCTGAAGTTAAACTTTAGAAAAAAAAAAAAGGCATCAGGAGAGTGGAGTTAGAGAAGGATTTGTGAAGACATTTCTTTGGAGAGGGCTGTTGCCTCACCCATTTTCCCCCTGGCATGCTTCTACAGACAGATACACACAAAGTTGAGGAAGGGGGTCCTACCAGAGAGAGGGAGGCTTCAATCTGTGTCCTCCGGGGTCCTGGAAGCATGTGTCTAGAAGCATATAAACAGGTATCTAACTGTTTCAGAGACGGTGGCACTCAGTCTTAGGTGTTAGGACAGAGAAGAGGAGAATTGCTAGCGTTTTAGAAAGTGATCCCATGTTTCTGGGAGAGAATGGTCAACAGTAGATTAATCCCAAGGGTAGGCAGGAGTATCTCCTTGTGCTATAGGGAGGAAGGAATGAAGGAGAGTTGCTGCAGACAGAATTAGCAACACTCTCAGAGTTTGTTAGATCCAGAAATGAGCAATGCCAGTGGTGAGAGTGGGTTGGTGTAGGAGTTATCCTAGATCCTGTTCACTAAGGCCACCTAGAGGGATGATGGGATGTCAGCAGAAAGGAATCTGAAGTTTCCACATTGCTAGAGGATGTGGAGAGAGTGAGAAGAATAGAATACATTTGCTAGATTAGTGGAACTGCAGATGAGCAGGGCTGGCTTCATGGGCATGCAGCCTCTGCAGTTACACAGGGCATCATACTTGATTTAATGTTCTGTAGTTGCTATCTTGAAACTCTTCGTAATTTTTCAACAAAGGGCCCTACACTTTATTTTGCACTGGGCCCCACAGCTTATGTTGCTGGGCCTGCAGATGAGAGACTACCCATGAAGTTGGGAGTCTCTGCTAAAGCCAGATTGAGAAAAAGAGCTTTAAATATCTGTCAACCCTGGAGAGCTTGGCACCACCTTACAATGGCACCAGTTAAATGCAAATTTCTAGTATTTCAGTAGGGTCCTGAAGCTACAATTAGCCACAGGAGTTGGCAGTACTAGGGAAAAGGAACCAGCCACCTGCTACTGCCTGTAACCATACTCTAGCCTGGGAGCTGAGGGGAATTGGGGCGGGGCAGGGAAGTATGTGCAAATATTACTTTTCAGCAAAGACTGAAGTGTTGAAAAAAAAAAGAGGACATTCTAATTGAGACTGTATTTGTGGATGAATGTAAGAAAAATGGAATAAGACTCATGGGGCCTAATGTAATTTACATCCAGGGACACAGAAAAAGTATCTCTCAAATAAATGTTGAACAGGTAGTGGGAAAAGAAAACAGAAGTGCATTCTGATCACTTTGTTTAATATGCCAGGTATATATAGTAACTTTTTCCTTATAAAGTCATCTTTGGGCTAACTTTACAGAGTGTTTTATATGATTTCATAGAATTTAGAGAGTATATTATTAAAAGCATCCAGTGAGAGTTTTATGTTACTGGTTTTTAGTAAGATGTTAAGAATAATTGTATTAGAATGTGCTTTGCCTTACTTTCTTTGTCAGATGTACCCAAAGTAGCCACTATTTATAGAAGATGCATCATAACCACTATTGTCTATTTTCACATTCATTATAGCTTCCTCTTACTTGATTATACAAATTGCTATTGCCTATACTGCACTCAGAGATAATTGCTCTAATTTTTGTTATATAATTTAATGTTTGAAATAGACTATATATATTGACTCACTATATTGACTTTATTAAAATACATATTTTAGATACTTGTGGTTATGAAATCTTCGTCAAAATTTGAGATTTTTTAAATGAAACTTTTTAATGCATTTTTTTCTCTTTACATAATTCAGTAAAGTGTTCATCACTTTAGTTTGTTACTGTTTCTTCAGAAATACTTACCTTTGTTATTTCTGAGTCAGTACCTAATATGAGAGAGAATAAAGCTTGTAACCCAAGTAATATATAGATACATTAATATCTTAGCCATAAAGTAAAATTTTTAAAAAGTTTTTAGTACTGATTACTTTGATTTAATACCTTTATCTCTGATCTGTTTTGTACTTTTTTATATTGGGAGTTTATTAAAATACTTTATTTCAGCCTTTCCTCTCTCCTTAGATAATTTTTGAAATGTAGAACTCTATATTTATCACTACCAGTTAAAGAATCAATTATGTTAAATTGAGTTTTGTATATTTGGTAGACACAAGACTGATAGATTTTATTCACCTATGTAGTATAATAGTGCATTTTCTTTAAACAAATATTTTAGTGTTTTTTAAATATCTCCTCTTTGAAAACCTCCTTTATCCCAGTCTACCCCATTTTATAGCTCCTTTAGAGCAGGGATCAGATCTTAAATCTCTTTGTAGTAATTATACTCTTTGTATTATTTATATGGTGACGGGCTCAAATAGGTACTCAATAAGAATTGAATTGTTGGCCGGGCGCGGTGGCTCACGCCTGTAATCCCAGCACTTTGGGAGGCCGAGGTGGGCGGATCACGAGGTCAGGAGATCGAGACCATCCTGGCTAACATGGTGAAACCCCATCTCTACTAAAAATACAAAAAAATTAGCCGGGTGTGGTGGCGGGCGCCTGTAGTCCCAGCTACTCCGGAGGCTGAGGCAGGAGAATGGCGGGAACCTGGGAGGCAGAGCTTGCAAGTGAGCCGAGATCGCGCCACTGCACTCCAGGCTGGGTGACAGAGCGAGACTCCGTCTCAAAAAAAAAAAAAGAATTGAATTGAATACTTTTCAAATAAATATGCCAAATCTTTGAGTTAATATTTGTCTTATATTTTTATAGGCTAACATTTCCAATGATCACTGGCCATCTTTGGTTCAAGAGGCTACAACTGAGGCCTTGAAGCTTTGCTTTTGTCCACTGGCTGTTCTTTTACAAGCTTTGTTACAATTCAAACGCAAAATGGGGGCAAGGTATGAAGAATCTTCATCTTTTTCTTATAAATGCTTCTTCACTTTAAATCTTTCTAGGAAATAATCAAGGAAAGATTATAAACTTTAAAGTTTGTAACAGACCAATTTAACAAACTTTGGGGGGTATTTATATATCTGTATCTACTTTGGAAGAACTGGTTCCAGAAATCCAGTAAGGGAGAAACAAAGCCTTATATTTGTTTAAAAAGGCAATTTGATACATATTTATAGGGCATGAGGGGTTTGGCATGATAGCATTTCCAGTGAAGAAGGTCTTGGAGTTTTTGTTCTTCACTGTGTTAGGAGGCACCAACAGTGTGATGTGGGTTCTAGAAACAAACAAAACCAAAAGACCCCAACACAAGGCTACATTATCAGTTCTTGCTATTGTTATAAGCTATGAAAAAAGTAATAAATATTGAAAAGGCAGAGATATGTTGTTTATAAATGATGTGGTTTCCTATCTAGAAAATCCAAAAGCTGCTCTGATTAAAATACAAAAATTCTATAGCAATGTTTATGTTGAAAGAAGTGTACTTAAATTTGAAGAAAATTACTTAAAGATCATATGGGTAAAAAATACAGGCAAGAATACTTTAATATTTTGAAAATATCTAGTTCTAATATATACTACATATAATACAAAGCATCTGTAAGTAAAGCAGTGATTGAGGAGCAAACATCACTGGAACAGAATAGGTATGGTAGAAATGGAGGTTAGTACATATAAATATGTAGCAAAAGACACATCACAAAATAGGGATGGTGGAAGATTAAGACCATATGGCTGATTAGCAACTCCAGCACTATTTATTAACATTTATTTATTTGGGGCCATTTTTATGTGTGACTAATTTCACTAAGAAATGTTTTAGGCTATAATTTAAACTTCCTAATGAACTACTTCTGCTCATGCTCAGTGTTGGTAACTTAGAGAGTACTATCTCCCCTTCACCCCCTACCCCAATAATCTTTGTTAACACCTCCCATAATTTTTATCGCCTTCAAAACCTAGCCCAAATAAAAATGCAGTCTAAGAAAAATAACAACGTGCTTACTACGTGATCCCTCTGCAAAAGCATCTTCAAGACAAGTTATTTAGTTCCTGCTTCAAACTAATTGCTACTTAGAAGATCTTTCTGTTTAGCAGTTCTGAATATACTAATGGTTTATGTTGTTTTTAGCAGTACAGAAGTTTTGGAGTCATAGATGTTAGTAAATTAGGAAAGAAAAAATTAGAACACAGCTGTAAATCAGCCTGTTATTACATGGGTTTACATTATCATACACGTCCTTGAAAACATATGCTAAAAGCCTGATATGATATACATAGCCTGTAATGTAGACATTGAATATTTCTTGTTCCACTCTTTATCACCCTTGCATTATTTAGTGACTTATTTAGTTTCTGCCTACTTTTCAAAAAGATTGGAGGTAGAGCACTCAAAGTAGATTATAAAATAGCGACTGTCTCTCTGTTCTCTTTGGAATGAGGATAACTTGGAATAATTTACTTCTCTGCCATATAGGAATAATAACTACCTACCTAATAAGATTTTGAACATTAAATACAGCCATATGTATAAACATTTAGCATGGTACCTAGTGCATGATAAACACTCAATAGATATTAACCATTATTACCTTTATTGTTATCTGAATTAAAAAATCATAATCAGACACTACATCTGCAAAAATATGAGAAAGATAATGTGTGTGTGAGATTAGTATAGGAAATATCTTATGGTAATTTGCATGCTTTGGACTAAATGTAAATTTTTTTTTTCCAGAGAGACACGGCGTCTTTTGGAAAGAGTGGTATATCAGCCTGGGTATCCCAAATCTATTGCATCAACTGCACGTTGGTACCTACTGAGACACTTATATGCCAAAGATGACTATGAGCTTATTGACGTAAGGCATTGATTTTATTTAAAATGTTTGAGGCATTGATTTTATTTAAAATGTTTTATCTTTGATCTAAGGGTTTTAGAGTTATTGTTCAAAGTTACTTCACTTTTATGATTGAATTTTTAAAAACTGAGTGTGTAATTTTTTGGCTAATAAAAGACTACAATGTCTACTGTTACATCTGTTGAAAATGAGAAATATTTATGCATATGGTTTAAAGGTTAAATATACAGTTTGTATCTTACCATGGGTTAGTTATGACATTCTCCTTTCGATATTAGAACATCAAAAGCTGGGGCTCTTTGGCATAAATAACAGAACTGTTAAAACCTGTATTTAAAAAAAGTTTAATGTTGATTTAACCTGTATATGTACAAGATGCCTTTATATGGGGAAACTATACAGGTTGAGCATCCCTAATCTAAAAATCCAAAGTCTGAAATGCTCCAAAATCTGACACTTTTTGAGTACCAACAACCTTGGGGTCGTGATCAGTTGTGAAGCATGTTGTAAGTAATTAGATACTAACCAGAGGTGACAAATGGTTTTACTTTTTTATTTTCAGTAATAAAATATAATAGATTCATGGATATTTTTATATATCTCTCTATTAATGCGTTCCTATAAGCTTTTTTAAGTGAAAGAGAAGGGTAGAATTTTAAGGAGCTTGTCTAATTGCAGGACTTTATCTTTGAACCAATGAGAACATCACAAGTTTAAAAGTCATCCATTAAATGTACTGAGGTTTGTAAAGAGTTGCGAACTGCTGATCTAAAGCCCTTACCTAGTGAAGTTTATAACAATACAAATATATGACCATCTAAACCCAACCTAAAGCAGTATCAAAAATCAACATTTTCTTTCCCTTTTTTGGCCAGAAGGGAATGACTTAACTATACTTTCTTTCATATTATTTATTTACCGTTGTTATTTCTTTATAAATTGATGGATAAAATATTTTGTCCAGTTTTTTATAAACATTGGATTATTTTATAGTAAGGAAGCAAAGAAAAAGCCGTAAGAATGAAGCAATGAATCAAGAGTTTTTCCCAAAGCGACATTTGTTTAAAACTATACTTATTCATTCCTTTTCTTTTTTAAAGAAAGGACTCTAAAGAAGTTGAAGGTTTTAACTGTATTTAAGCAAGAAGCAAGGCTAAGTAAAAATGGCCAGCTGGTAAACCAAAGGAGAGAATGTCCATGCATGAATTGTCACTGGTCTTGTATTAACATCACAATGATTATACTATTTTTGCCTGCCTATATTTCTCTTTTCCTGAAACCAGGATATGATATACCCCTTATAGTCTTTTTAACCCAGAGTTTCTCATCTTCAGAGATCTCAACTCAACCTACTGAGATTGTGGAATGCACAATTTTTTCTTAGGTGTGGGTTGAGGGTGGGTACTGTCCTATGCAATGTTGGATATTTGGCAGTATCCTTGGTCTGCTAGGTGTTAGTTGTATTTTTGCAGCCATTGCAGTGGAGGCAAATAGGCAGATAGGATGGAGTTAGAGGTAACAGAATCCTAATGGAATGTTCGTATTATCTTTAAAAAAATTGTTTGCCTTATTCTTGCCTTTACTATAAAATACATGTGACAGTTTCTACTCTACTTCTCATGCTATGGCTCTGGCATCTAAATATATAAATATATATGTATCCAAAATTATTTTGAATAATGTAGAGAATATACAAATGTATTGGGTTAAAATTTTCATAGCTTTAGCCAACAATTTTAAAAACACAATGAAAATCACTGAAAAGCTTTTTCAGTACCTACAGCATTTTGAAATACTGTTTGCCTTTTGGTGAAACGTAAAAGCTGAAAGAAATAGTAAAGAAAAGAATGCTTGGAGAAAGGCATTGTAATCAACATATTCCAAATCAAAAAGGTGGAACATATATGAATGTTGGGAGACAGTTCGCCGTGGATCTCTTGCATTTCTAAATATCCTGTGAGCAGGAGGCCTGATTACTCTTTGTTCTAGTCTATCTTTTCAAAGATATTCGTATAGTGAACATCCTTGGAAGACAGAGATAGTATCTCCCTCCAGAACAAAGGGTAGATATTCCTGTCCATTATAAAAGATTAAGCATCCTAGGCTTAGGGTTCCCTTCTTGTAATGCAACCGACTGCATATGTGGGAAACTATATCAGTCCATCCACGTCACAGACTGAGAGGACAAGAAGAACAGAGGCAAATATGTTGATGTTCATGCTGTTTGCCGTACCTTGAATAATGAAGACTTTTCTCTGTGACCTAAAAATCCTGTATCTTCTGGCAGTATCTATGGAACTGTGGCAGGCTAACTTGTTAGCTTCCAAATAGAGCAGAATCTCAGACCCTTCACAGTGCTTGACAATGAACAACCAAAAAATGTTTTAGTATGAAGGATCAGCTGAAATTGAATCTTCTAGTTTGTGAAATAGGTAAAATCATGGAAAAGTTATTGATAAAGCCTAGAACCTATAGCCTAGATCCTGAGCTGTGGTTTCAAAGAGGAACAATTTCATTTGAACAGTTCTATGCATAAAGTAGTCTTTTTGAGTAAGAGTTTAGAGGTGACAGTATTATTAACAAAGCCAACAAACAAAACCTTTAATTTTATGCAGTGCTAATAACGATAGCAATCAGGCTGGGCGCAGTGCCTCACGCCTGTAATCCCAGCACTTTGGGAGACCAAGGCCAGCAGATTACTTGAGGTCAGAAGTTTGAGACCAGCCTCTGGCCAACATGGTGAAACCCCATCTCTACTAAAAATACAAAAATTAGCCAGGTGTGGTGGTGGGCGCCTGTAATCCCAGCTGCTTGGAAGGCTGAGGTGGGAGAATCTCTCAAACCCAGGAGGTGGAGGTTGCAGTGAGCCACCAAGATCAGACGATTACACTCCAGCCTGGGTGACAGAGAGAGATTCCGTCCAAAAAAAAAAAAAAAAAAAGCAATCAGAATGTTGGCATCTATACTAATTTGAATGAATTGTGCATCTCTCTGATGTTAGCTTCGTTTAAACAATTTATATCTGCAAAAGTGACTGAAAGATTGCACAGAGTCACTTTTCCTAGTATAGTTTGATGTTGCCTTTTCAAGACTGCCGCCCTTGGATTACTTGGCTTCAATGAATCAAAATATAGATATTGTTAATAAACAAAATACTGACGTTCCTGTATGTGATTTCCCATAGGTGCTGGTAAACAATGCCAAAACTCATGGAGATACAAGAGCATTGGAACTGAATCAGAGATTGTCCTCACAATAACATTGGATTATTTTATAGTAAGGAAGCAAAGAAAAAGCTGTAAGAATGAAGCAATGAATCAAGACTTCTACCCAAAGCAACATTTTTTTAAACTATATTTATTCCTTTTCTAAAGGAATCTAGAGAAGTTGAAGTTTTTAAGTTAGGAATGCAATTTTCTGTTAACTCCAAACCTGATTTTAATCTGAAAAAAAAAAAATTTAATTTGGGAAAACCAGAATGAAAGGAAAACCATTATTGCCTTGGTTGCTTAACATTATTTGTAAACCATTATTTTCTGCATCTTGCATGGTGCACAATAGAATATCTTTTACTGTAATCCCTTACAATAAAGCCTTAATAGCCATTTTCTATGTAATATGCAAAAGTAGATTAGCACAATGCACAATTTTCTTTTGTTAAAAATCAAATTCAAAGATTTAATTCTTGCTATGAATTCTAAAGTTCGGCAAACCAATTCATCATAAAATCCAAATAATCTTGTAACCTATTTATCTAGTGATTCATCTCCAATTCTGTTGAAAAAGCATAATATAAATGTTGATGAGACTAGACTCTAATGGATATGTTTATATAATTCCAAACACTCAGGTGTGTGAATGCATTTAAAAACATTAATGGAAAATAATGCTGATAATATTTAATTGATCATGCAATTCCTTCAATTATGATGGAAAGACTTGAACTTTCTGAAATAAAACAAAAATACAGCATCTTGTTTTCTTTATAGTGTCAATATCAGACATAATTTCTAAATTTCAAATTTTAAAACTTGAAAGCACAGTTATCTATTTTTTTAAGCTCTTTACATATTTGAAAAAACTGTCACTTTGGATTTGTGGTTTTAAAAATATTTTCAGACACTTACATATTTATTGTACAGAAAATATGTGGTTACGCGATTTATGTATGTGGCTTTTCTAAACCAGCAGCATCAGGATGTTACTTTTTAAGATAATATAAATTGACAATATCCTATAGTTAAGTTGTACTTCAGAGGTTAATAATTGAACTGAATTTTCATCTGGTGTTTCCCAAATCTGGCTGAACATTATAATCATTCATACCCATGCAATCAGAATCTTTAAGGATGGGGACAGGCCTAGGACTCTGCATTTTAAAGGTATGCCGAAGAAATCCTAATGTTTATTCAGATTTTCAAACTACTATATTACTCCAATGATGATTCTTCCCTTTATTTCTTCAGCAAGGTTCAACACGTGCCATTCTCTGCTCATTTCTTCCTTATCTTCATAACTGTCAAACTGATTCAGTGATTTTAACAACCTGGTCCACAGACTTAGCCACAGATGCACTTCAAAAGGCTGCCTGCATAGCCCTCATCTCCATGCCGTTTCCTCAGGAAAACACTTCAGCTTTTTCTTCCAGAACGGGTTGGCTCCATCTACCTAAATGCTTTGTATTCAGTTCTTGCCCTCCATCTGTTTTCTGGAGCGTCACTTGCTTCACAAGATTACCCTTTGCTTCGGGACCATAATCAAAGGGTAACCTTTTGACTTTTTTGCCAAATTCTGCCTTCCAGGGACCTCAAACCCAGGTTTTTCTAGACTGGAGGGTTGGAAAAACACCTGAGTTGATACTTTCTCAGGTCATTCTTTTTTGCATTTATGTGCACACATTCTCCCTTAACTTTCGTTGCCTTCTTCTCAAATTGCCACCCAGTTACCGTGAGCCTCAGATAATTTCTGCTCACATAATTTTTATGGAGCTTACTTTGTGCCAGAGCTAGGCTAAGTGTTCTTAACATTGTCATTTAATACTAATTAATAAAGGTGAATGGTGTTAAACAACATGCCTAAAGCAAAGGAAATTCACGAATCAGTGTTATCAGATTCCAGAAACTCTAAAACAGTGGCCAGAATGTCTTTTGGGAGTTTAAAGTTTTTTTTTTTTTTTTTTTTAAGACGGAGTTTCGCTCTTGTTGCTCAGGCTGGAGTGCAATGGTGCAATCTCAGCTCACTGCAATCTCCGCCTTCTGGGTTCAAGTGATTCTCCTGCTTCAGCCTCCTGAGTAGCTAGGATTACAGCCATTCACCACCACACCCAGCTAATTTTTTTGTATTTTTAGTAGAGACAGGGTTTCTCCATGTTGATCAGGCTGGTCTCGAACTCCCGACCTCAGGTGATCCGCCTGCCTTGGCCTCCCAAAGTTCTGGGATTACAGGCGTGAGCCACCGCGCCCAGCTTTAGACATAAGTTTAATTAGAGAAATTAGATTAAAAATTATTTCCTGAAGTACCAGTATTTAATATTCATATTAGTATTTCTTTTGTTATATTTTGTTTGAGAATTGTAGTGAATTTTCTGCTATTTTTATCCATTTTTTATTATTGATTAATTAGATGTTTATACACTAGTTTGGCATCTGATAATTTCCTATGGGAAAAACATGTTTCAGCTTCCAAGTAAACTTTTGGAACATAATCTGTTTGGGGTCACTTGTCATTTTTCATGAAGTGTCCCTTTTAATTTCTGGTCAGGAAAAAACAATCTAAAATCCTGTGCTCTCTTTTCACTTTATGAAAAGGAGCTATTAAACTTCCTTTAGTTTAGAATTCTCTACAGAATAGGATTAGATAGAAATACTCATACATTAAGGGAGTTCAAAGATGTGGTTATTTAAAACAGTATAAAACATTAGGTAAATATTTACTAGTTTGTAATGTATGAATATGAAGGTATACATACTTGGTTGCTGCATAAAAAGTTTGATACCTCCTTTGGGAAAGTTTTATAAGAATACAAAAATGAAGCCTATTTTGGAGTATGAGTGAATGTGGCTTGCAGATCCCTTTTTGTCTTGGCACATTAAAAAATGTAGAAACTTTGTTTTGACAAGGTTGACCCTTGTGTCTCTACAGGTCTTCCTTTCACTCACTTTAGTTGTTAATGGCTAGAAAATGTCTCAGGCTGCCATGTTGCTTGCTGTAAGGTATAGCACTCAGCTGCTGGTTATAAATTGACCCTCAGTTTCCAGGAGAGGTTTTTTTGTTTTGTTTCTATTTTTGTACATTAAAAAGGTACATTTATGTATTATATACAGGTACAATAATTTTTCCACTTGTGTTTTTAAAGACTTTTTATACAGATGAAATGAAAGTCCAAAAACTCCCTCATTTAGAGTATGTGCCTCATTTTTGGTTTAGAAAATGTAGTTAGTCACATAAGATCTATTGTAACTCCAGACCATTCATGGTGTCTAGCTGTCCCTATGCTACGATAGTGGGTTTTTCGTTCTTTTGGATTAGAAACTTTTTGAATAGCAATATTTTAAATCCTGGTATGCCTAAATAAACACCCTTACAACCATAATATTTTTATAAATGCTAAACTATCTTTAGACCTCAAAATGTTTTGAAGTAGGAAAATAAAGGTGAGTATCTCTTTAACAAGAGCTATTATGAAACATTTGAAATATTTGTTCTTATTAATTATAAACTTAGAATTGAAAACACCTGTTTGTTTTAGGGAAGGGAAACGGCGCCAACAGAATGATGATTGAAGTTGGAGTATGCACCAAAACAAGGGTTGGATTTCATATTATATCACTGGACTGTTGAAATAATTGTCATGTCATGAGGGTTCGAATCAGTATAAAAAAGTTTATTTGGGCTTCATTTTTCACCATATACTTTCCCTGTATGTAATGCTTATTATAAAAACATATTTAAATTACATTAATTTTGGGGGGGATAAGGTGGGTATGAAAAAAATGCTTATCTTGCAGCTTTTTCTTATAGTAAGCAGAATAATGGCCCACAAAGATATTCATGCCCTAATTCCCAGTTTGTGAAGATGTGGCAAAAGGAATGTAGTTGTTCATTTGTATAATAGCTAATGTATGAACTACTCTCACCCAACACGCTACTTACAACACAGTATCACCAACACCATTTTTAAGTACTTCACTCTAATTCTCTTTAAAATAAACCACATTAAATTATACTCACAAAACTTAAGTGGTATGTTTCAAGCTGAGTTTCAATATTAAATGGGTATGAGACTAAATAAGTCTTGGCCTTTAGTGTTTATTTGAATTTGTAAAATAGGCCTTGAGCTAGGTTTCTAATGGCAACATTCTGTTGTTCTAAGACCACCAATGTTTTCCAAGTCAGAAGTGAGCTGAAACAAAATACTGAAATAAACTGCTTGGTGCAGCACCTGTGTAGCAGCAACCCTGGTTTCCATTGAACAGTGGGACCCCCTGTGCTTGAAGCCCTTCTTAGGGTAGAACCCCTTTGCCAAGAATCCTATACGGTAGAAACAGATGCGTAAACAGGTCTTGGTTCTTGGTGCTAAGACTATGAGAAGGAAAGTTGTTCTACGCTCAGAGACTATTTTAGTGGAAGCCAACATCTATGAATGGCTGAAAGTAATTACATGTGCCTGCTACATGCCAAATAGGTTATACTTTTTTTTTTTTTTTAATTGAGACGGAGTCTCGCTCTGTCGCCCAGGCTGGAGTGCAGTGGCGCAATCGTGGCTCACTGCAAGCTCCGCCTCCCGGGTTCACGCCATTCTCCTACCGCAGCCTCTCCGAGTAGCTGGGACTACAGGCCCCGCCACCACGCCCGGCTAATTTTTTGTATTTTTATTAGAGACGGGGTTTCACCGTGATCTCGATCTCCTGACCTCGTGATCTGCCCGCCTCGGCCTCCCAAAGTGCTGGGATTACAAGCGTGAGCCACCGCTTATGGAAAGACTAGCCACATTAAATACAACATTTGCATTGTTTTATTATCTGACTCCCAGGTGACAAATAACTTGAGTTTCTAAGACCCTGCCTTTTTAATGCCATTTCCTTCCCTTTGATCATATAAAATACGGTCATTAATCTTCAGAGAAGAAATCCTACATACTTTAGTATCAAGCAATCAAGAGTGTTTCTGGAAAATATCTATATAATAGTGGTTTAAAAGTTCTTACCTTAATTTGTTCAATATAATAGATAAAGAAAGGGAGAATACTGTACAAATAGTCTTTATATACACCCTAGCTTCAGAAGTTTGGAAATTAGCCTGTGAAGAAGTTAAGCACTATGAAGAAGTTAAGTGGTATGGAATAAAAGACAACTACAGGTTTGGTCTTCGCAGAGTGAGTTATGTGTTTTCTTGCCTATACATATTCCTGGCAGTGCAAATTTCTCTTGTGTTGGGGACACAAGTGTCTCTGGGCACAGGAGAAAAGCCAGATGGAGCAGAAGGTTTTTCGTGTGGAAAGAAGGAGGAGTTTAGGCAGAGAGAAAAAGCATTGCTGAGAAGGCAAATTTATATTGTTATAAGCAGCTTCTATTAGGTGGAGATAAATATATTTCTGAATTGCCTGAGACCAGCCTTCCTGTGCCTCAGAACAAGTGTTATGCATATGGTTGGAAGATTTTTCTAAGAAATAGATTCAGAATAAAGAATCAACTCACTGTGCCCAGATTTACATAAACAGTGGTGAATAATTTGTAAATATTGGGAAATATATAGGCAGCATAAAGTTTTTGTGTCAAGTAGCTTCTAAGAAAGCCCAAATAAGATCTAGTATTGCAAAGGATCTTGATACTGCACCAGCCCACCCTTTGCTTCAGGAGAGGAGCTTTTTGTGCTTATGAGGTAGTAATCATTACCCACCAGGGCTTCAGCAACCGGGGATAGATTGAATGCCCACCATGTGCCAAGCTCTTTATCGCCTCATTTAATTTTCACTTTTTTTAAATAGTGGCTATTATCCTTATTTTACAGACCAAAAAACTTTTATAAAGAAGTCTCAGAGAGATTATCTTTTCTAAAATTAACAGTATTCTTAGGCAAGCAGAATCTGGCCCCAAAGATAGTTTCCAATACTGTTGTCAAATGTTGTTAATGATTGCTGTCAACTCAAAGAAATGTAAAAAGGTTGAGGTGTGTATCTTTGAGTCTGACTTAGTTATCCTACAAACCTGTATTCAGATGCTGCCATTTACCTTTTGGTACTATCTGAATTCTAGGAGGAAACTTGGGAAGAAGGGAACCTCCTCCCGAGGATTAACTTTGCAAATTTAAGCCTATGTAATGATAGAGAATAGAATACTCCACTCTTGTTACGTTTTGAAGTTGATATAAGCCGGCTGAAGTGAGCTTATTGTTTCATTTAATCATTTAATCCTTGATAACATCACAAATGCCGCCCCTTGGTTTTCTCTTTGGCTTTTTCTAACCTGTCTTCCCAGAGTTCAACTTTCTTTTGGCCATCCCATGTTAAGGTACAAAGGACCTTACTTTTTTTTTCTTTATCAACTAATCCCCGCAGAGAAGATAGTTGGTAAAATCTCATGGGTGTGTATATGTTCATTCATTCATTCTTTTCTTTCTTCCTCTACCTATCCATCCATCCATTCCTGCATTTTTTGAATATTTAATGTTGGTATTATGAATACTTCGAAGCTGTTAAGTGCTATGTGATAGAATTTTGGCCTAGAGACTACACGGATTCTTTAGTATAAGAGTCATTTTGGGTTGTAGGGGAGGGGGTTTGTCCAGTACCATGTAGGCCCCACTCCATTTGAAGTCTATCCCTGAATGTTTGCCTTATGAACACAGTGCATTACTTTTTTGTAGAAGGACCTACTAGATGAGTACTAATGGCTTTTACCTGGCTGTAATGGCTATTGGGTTTGCTTTGATGGCCAGGACTTTTGGAGGAAACATCCTTCACTGGACAGTAGCATCAGCATCTTGTGCACCTCCAGTCAATGCCCATAATGTTGCTTCAGCTGTTAGCCTCCTTCTCCAGAGACAATTGAAAGAAATGCTTTTAAAATAGAGGAATAGTTCCACATTATAGTTTGTTGCAGGAGAAATCTATATTTTGTACTTCCCTCTGCTTTTGTCCATTGCTAGAATTATTGCAAGCCAAGGTATTTCTTCTCATACATAGTAAAAGAATCTTTTTTAAGCTCAAGTATTTTTAGATACTAATCTGAATCAGAGTTGTATGCCAGTGCACCATGGAACTTGTCTTTCTTTTCCCATAAAGATAAAAAGCTCTGTTTACTTGTATTAATACCATTTATCAAGTACAGTGCCTGTTATGTATCAGACACTAGTATTAGATGGTTTACATATATTTAGAGAAACAGTGTAGCATAATGTTTAAGAACAAGTTCTCTGTTCTTGTGAGTTCAAATCCTTGCTCTATCTTTTACTGGCAATATGACCTTACATAAGTTATCTAACCTCTCTGTGCCTCGGTAATAGGCATCTGGTAGATTAAATGCATTAATCTATGGAAAGTACTTTGAGCTATCTCTAATATCTGATGATAGCTCAATAAATGTTTTTTCTAATGCCTCAGTAGCCTACAAGATAGGTATTGTTATCCCCATTTTAAGATAAGGAAATTGAGATTCTGAAATTAAGGAATATATCCAAAGTCACACTGCTAATGAATGGTGGCACTGGGTTTAAACTCTGGCTTGTTAGGCCACAAGACCCTTCAAGACTTCTCAGCATAGAAGTTTGGGTTATTTTTCTCTTTTCTCAGTGCATCTTTTGAGACTGTTGAGGAAGACCTGGTTTATGACGTAGTGCTGAGTTCATCAATGATTTCTGATTTGTAAACATCACATTTGTATTTGTAAATATCTTCTGAAAGGAAGTAGCAAAACTCTACAAAAGAACAGAGAGTTATGGAAATTTAGTCTATGGAGTCACATTTTTATAACTGTATATCAAGGGAACGATTTGACATAATATTAAACCCTTAACACAAGTGTGTGTAACTCTAATCTGAAGAGGGAAATGCCTAATTAGGTAGAGGCCAAAACAGCCTAATGTTTTTCCTGGCAACCATCCTTCCTCTCTCAAGGAGGGCTCCCCACCCTCTCTGCATTGGAGAAGATGCAGCATGTTTATTTTATGGCATGGAAGGAGACTCAAGAAAGCATTTGTAACTATTCTTCACTGTGTTGCATAATATACCTTGTCAAGTTTACACTGTAGGTTGGGGTCCTCTTTGATAAATGGAAAACTAATGGTGGGTCTTGAAGTAATACTAGTAGAACTTCAAGTTGATTACTGACACCGTCTGCCAGCAGGAACTCCCAAGGAACACTGAAACCTTCAAATGATTACACTCCCTCTCCTACTTTACTGCTGCACGTCTCCCCATACTCGCCCAGGACTCTTCTGCTGTTCTTTCAGTGTTAGGTGTCTTCAGTGTTAGGTTGTTCTTGGTCTCTACTTCTCACTGTAGTCTTCATGTCCCCAACCCCTATCCCACCTAACCAAGGCAATGCCTTCCTCCCCAGTAATTCCAGTAACCATTTCTCTGCTGGTGACTTCCAAAGCTAAATCCCCAGTTCAGATCTTTCTCTCATGCTCCAGGCCCAGCTCTCTCACTAACCACTGGACATCTCCATTTGGATGTCCCATAGATGCCTCAAAATCAATTAGTTTAAAACATCTCATTATCCCCTCTCTGCTGTATTATTTCCCTCCTTTCCCACCCAAATTTGCTTCCCACACTGCATCTAATGTATTCTCTACACTGCAGCCAGAGGGATCTTTCTATAAAATGCAAATCTGTCACTCTCCTATTTAAGATCTTTTAAAGGCTACTCTGGATCCTTAAGATAAAGCCCAAGTTTCTCAATATGAGTTACAAAGTCTTTTGTGATTAGACACCCCACTTTCCCTAACTTCTCCAGCCTTCTCTCTCACTACTCACCTCCCCTAACACACAGCATAGGCTCTGACCTACACTTATTGAGCTTCTTGCAATTTCTGGCATATATCCCCATTCTCTTTTGGCCTCCAGGCCTTTGCTCAGGCTGATCAATCTGCCTGAGCCCTCACCTCTACCAATCAAGCCTCTTTCCCTTGACTTATGTCTGCTTATACATTGGAGGTCTCAATTTAGATACTCCTTCTTCTGGAAGACCCCTCTGCCTGATTCCCTGTGTTTCTGGTAAACACAGGGAATGTGTTTCCTCTCTCTGGCTCTCCCATTACACTCTACTTTCCCATGTATTTGTGATTTTAATTGTTGGTCTTTTCCACTAAACTATAAATTCCCTGAAGGCAGGGTTTGTGTTTAGGTTGTTCAATATTGTATCCACAGTGGCTAGCCCATGGATGTATGGAAGCTGGAAAGATAGAAATAGTAATACTTCACAAAAACTTTGGAGATCCCTTTTGTAAGGCAACAATGTGCACTGTGTGTGTGTGTGTGTGTGTGTGTGTGTGTGTACTATAGATCAAATTTTTCCTTCTTGGTGTTTTGGGATGCTACTTGCTGCTACTATGGGTGAAGCCAATGGAAGGGAGTCTATGTTTGGAAAATTAGAAGACGGGAGGGCTGCTGGTGTCTAGAGTACTCTGGGAATGCTGTTTCTTTGACCAAAGTCTTGGGCCTTGCTGCTGTCCTGACTACCAGATGGCAAGCATATATGCCTCACAATGGGGCTGAGAAAGCAGTTACCTGTGTGGCAGAAGGGGAGGGATTTGTCCTTAATTTTTAGTGCAGAAGTAAAACACTTTGAACATGACCATCTAGTCCTCAGTATGAATAATTTCATATGATTTTTCCCCAAAGAGCAAGTTTAAAATTTTTTATTCTACATATGTAAGATGTACATTGTGGGTTTTAATATACACTGTGATACCTCAATCAAGCTAATTAACGTATCACCTCACATAGTTACCATTTTTGTGTGTGTGGTAAGAACACTGAAGATCTCTCAGCAAATTTCAAATAGACAGTACATTATTAAGTATGATCCACATGCTGTACATTAGATCTCCAGAATTTATTCATTTTAACTTTAAAGTTTGTATCCTTTGACTGAAATCTTCCATTTGCCTCGGCTCCCAGCCCCTGGCAACTACTGTTCTATTCTCTGTTTATTTCTATGAGTTCTGGCAACTACTGTTCTATTCTTCATTTATTTCTAAAGAGATTCCACATGTAAGTGAGTTTGTGCAGTATTTAGCTTTTTGTACCTAGCTTATTTCACTTAGCATAATGCCCTCTAAGTTCACTCATGTTGTCGCAAATGGCAAGATTTCTTTCTTCTGTAAACCTGAATTATATATATATGTATATACATAGATGACAGTTTATCCATTCTTCTGTCAGGTGGTTTCCGCATCTTGGCTATTGTGAATAATGCTGCAGTGAACATAGGGTGCAAATATCTCTTTGACATACTGTTTTCACTTTATTTTCCAGAAGTGGGATTGCAGGATCATGTGATAGTTTTATTTTTAGTTTTTTTGAACAGCCTCCATATTGTTTTCCCTAATGGCTGTACCAATTTATTGTCCCACATACAGTGCACGAGGGTTCCCTTTTCTCTACATCCTCACCAACACCTGTTATCATTTGAGTTTTTATATATCTGTTGGCTATTTGTATATCTTCTTGGAAAAACATCTATTCAGGTCCTTTGCCCATTTTTTTTATCAGGTTATTTGTGTTTTTGGCTATTGAGTTGTTGAGTTCCTTATATGTTTTTGGATACTAGTTCCCCATCAGATATATGGTTTGCAAATATTTTCTCCCATTTCATAGGTTCTTTCATTTTGCTGATTGTTTCCTTTGCTGTGCAGAAACTTTTTAATTTGATGTAATCTCACTTGTTTACTTTTGTTGCCTGTGCTTTTGGTGTTATATCCAAAAAGTCATTGTCAAAACTAATGTCAAGGGGCTTTTCTCCTATGTTTTCTAAGAGCAGGTGTTGATAATAGGAAGGAAACAACAGGAAATTTAAGGGCAGTAGGACCCTTAACTATTCAAGACTGTTTAAATGGTGTTTGTACTTAAAGTAAAAACTACCTGAGCATATTTTAACATATGCCTCAAGTCTGTAGCGTGGATCTGGATTGCAGATTCTCCAGTGCTCAATCATCCTATATTTGTGGGAAGAGAAGTCTGACATTTCCCAAAGGATTAAGTAATATTGTTTGATATGGAATAAAGTGCCATGTATATTGAGCTTCTTTAGGAGGATAGTTTTATTTATCTTTTTGGATTTCTGTCAAAATAAATGCAAGGGGAGGGAGGCCCAGTGCTCCACTGGTTCCTTGAACAGAGGTGAATTTACTGTGAAACAATGGCTCTTAAGCTTCAGGGGCTCCTGCTTGCGTGAGCTCTAGCCATGTATTTACAAGATCATTGTCATATTTACAGAAGTAAGACATTTTAAACATAATTGATGAATGCCATTGATTAAGACCACTGCCTCTTTTCACTCCCACTTCCCTTGATGTCGGGTGGTGCTGAAGTGGCTGTGGACAAAGAGAAGTTGAGTTGGGGATACATTTGGATTACAGGGATATATTCATGTTGTTCACAGTCACTTCTGTGTTGAGTTACTACTAGCTGTCCTGATTAGGAGTGGCTTCCAGGAATATTCTTATAGACTTCTGTGCTAACTCATCTGGCATCAGGACAGTACATCAATAACAAACTGAAACATCATAAGCTTTAGACTCTGAGAAACCTGGATCCACCTGCTCAATGAGCATAGTTCTTTGACTATCTAGAGTCTGTGCAAACCCGTGAACACCTCAATTTGGCATCCCAAGTAGAAGAGTGGTGATAGAGGATTCTTTGATCCTTTGATCTACTGCCCCACATGTTACTGTCCTGGCCAAGAGCAATGAAAGATCTATTGTTGGAAAACTTTTGGCCTGATTTTACACTATTATTTGAACTACAATCTAATTTAGAACATTTTAGAACATTAGAACATTTAGAACAAGGAGAAAATGTATATTTTTTTCAGTTGCTGTGTATCCTCTCTGCTTTTGTAGCTATGTCTGTATAGCAAAAAGAGAGTGAGATGACTTGACTCTTAGTCTGTATTAATTCCTAATTTAACCCTCCCTACAATCATTTGTTTAGTTCATTACAAAGAGTTACTCTTTCAGCCTATTATATTTGTTGTTGTTTTTATAAAATATTTTTAGTAGAAACAAAAATATTATATAAAAATATAAAAGCTTTCATAAATCCTTAATGTAGAAAACAGAAGTTTTTTAAAAAATAGAATCCACTAAGTTTGTTGTAAATTCTTACCTTTTTTGGCATACAGTATATGCATATTATGTTTAACTTAGTTAAAACATTTTATGACAAAAGTGGATCATATCCATATTGCTTTTAAACTTGTCTTTTTCACCTAACAGTATATCTTGGACATCTTTCTGTGTTCTTTTTAAAGGGCTGTCCAGCATTGGGTGGTGGGGGGAGTGGTCTTGTTAATACCATTTAGTCAATCAATTCCTTATATTTGGGTGTTTTCTGGTTTTGGTGTTTCTTTTCCTTTTTTTTTTTTTTTTAACTATAACAAATGATGCTATAATGAGCATTCTTGTTCATATATCTTTGCACACTTTGGGAGTTGTTTCCCCCGGTAATATAAATTTCTAGCCATGGATTGCAGGATCAAAAGATATTTACATTTAAAAACATTAACAGATGTTCTCAAATTGCCATCTAAATCATTGTACCAATTTATAGACTCGCCAATAATGTATGAGAGTGCACTCTTTCTCCACCCTTGCCAGCCCAGTATTATCAATCACTTTAATCTTTGCCAATCTTGAAAATAGTAGCTAAGGGTTTCTTAATTTTTATTTATTTAACAGTAAAGTTGGACATCTTCTCATACCTTCATATTATTATATTCTTCTGTGGCTTGCCTGTTCATATCCTTTGCCCATTTTGAAAAAAAATTGATTATTTTCTTACTTACTTGTAAAAGTTATTTGGGATTACTTGGGATATTAGCCCTCTGTCTTAGCATGATACTTGGTTACAAAGGACACTTACCATTGCATTATTTTAATATTTCTTACTTTTTCGTTGGATACCATATCATCACTGAACATACTGCATTTTAAACTCTTAAATTAAATTCTGCTATGAAAATCCCTTCAGTTATAGACTCAATGATGCTGCATGTGGGTTATTAATAGCAATAAAAGGAGATGTTTCATAGAGTTAAAACATTACAGAAGTGAGCATTAGTCAAAAATTTACTCAGAAGGTAAACTTGTTCTGTATTAGGGGAGGAAGTTGTCACTTTTCTTCCCTAAGCCAAGGAAGGAGCCTAAGTCGGAAGCAAAGTTTCCATTGCCAAGCTTACATAAGTTCTGTGATTAGAAATTAGTCCTTGTTATAGCCGAGTGCATATCCTGAATAGTTCATTTTTATGTTTCATGAATATACTGCTCAATATTAGGCTCTATATTTAATATTTATATCTAGAAAAGTTAGACAATTTTTTTTTTGAGACAGAGTTTTGCTCTTGTCACCCAGGCTGGAGTGAAATGGCGTGATCTCAGCTCACTGCAACCTCTGTCTCCAGGGTTCCAAGTGATTCTCCTGCCTCAGCCTCCCGAGTAGCTGGTATTACAGGCGCACGCCACCACACCCGGCTAATTTTTGTGTTATTAGTAGAGACGGGGTTTCACCATGTTGGCCAGGCTGGTCTCAAACTCCTGACCTCAAGTGATCCACCCACCTCAGCCTCCCAAAGTGCTAGGATTACAGGTGTGAGCCACTGCACTTGGCCAACAATTTTTAATTGTATAGGAAACTAGCATTTTTGAAGTACTTCTGAATTTAGCACCTAGGTCAAATTACGTTGGATATGTTTTCATGGAAACTGTTGTATTCTCTTATTTTGCATGGTTTGGCTCTTAATTGCTTATAATTCTGGTACATATTGAGTACAAGGAAAATATATTTTAAATATGCATAAGTTAGACTTGCTACAAACATTGAGATTAGAAGTTGCAAACTGACCACTAGGTCATATCTGCTCCACAGGCGTATCTCACATAGTTTGAGAACTATTTTGAACTAGTTGCTAAAGCTTAAAAATAGAGGAATTTCTCTTGAAAAGTGGAATTTTGGATAATAATGGATTTTATATATATATATATATGTTAGTCATGGACTGTCACTACATAGTAGCTATTATTTTTAGACAGAGTAAGTGCTCTCCAATTTGCCAGAGCTCCTGTCATTCTTTAATATATTACAGCTGGCCTACTTCACTCATGTACCTTATGTAGATTCCTCTTTCGTTATTTATAGGTATATATATACATAAAGGCAGCTATATAAAGAAATTTCTTAGTTTTTTCATTAATAAATTCAAGACATCCGAAGCTTCTTTGCTTTATTATTTTTCTGGTACATTCGTCTCCTTAAAAGGAGACATTAGAAGCAGTAAACATCCCAGAGATAGTAACTTTCTTCTTCAGAACTTTTTCCAACAAATCACTCCATTGGCTGATGAAAAAGAAGATGACTGAAAAGGTTTATACTTCCTGGAGTTCCACTATCTTGCGCTGTAATTTCTTTAGGTCTTTCTGTACTTTATATTTCTCTAAATCCATCTTTGTTTTCTGTATTTGTTGGAGGGAGCTGAGAGAGTCATGAATTGATTTAAATCCTGTAAGAGGGTAAAAGAATAGGTACACTTAAACAATGCATTAGAGCTTTTTTTTAAAAAAGTTGCTAATCGGCAGTCCTGCCATAATTGATTATCATTTAATTCCAAGCGCATTAAATTCTATGAAGACCAGCCTAAAATTGTACATAATATATTTCTTGTATGTCATGAAGATCCATTCACAATAGTGTTTCAACTTATATCTAGTTATCTGGTTTCATTGTGAAATTTATTTTTCTCCTCCTCAAATATATTGCATAATTCTATATTGCAAGAGAGAAATTTAAAATATTTTATTCTTTCTGAATGCTTTGATGAGAGACTTGTGTGATTTTTTTTCAGTCTTGTTACCAAATTGAAGGTAAAGATCACAGATGAGATTTTAAATCTTCTCTGAAAGTAGCCTATTTGAGGGACCTAACAGCGGCCCCCTGCTGCCCTCCTCCCTCCTAGCACTTTGTATCTCTCTTATGCATGTCTAGTCACTCCTGACCACAGACCTATCAAACCTCAAGGCCTTAGGGCACAACCCATTTGTTATTCACTGGGGCCTTTCACAGAGTCGTTTCTCAACACATTTTTATTAAAGGCATAAAGCAGCAAACCATTAATTTGAAGTTCCCCCTTTTTAGAACTCCTCCTCATTAGTAAAATGAAAGAACTTGCAGGTGGTAAATTCCTTTTCAGTTCACCCTGAAGTTTTACTAATGGAATAAGTAAAATTAAACCTCTGATAGTTAAACAGAAAGCAGAGCCTTTAAAAGAAGGGCCAGTTAAGTTTGGGACATGATTCCTGGCCAGATAATTCATTATTTTGATATGACGGTGGGAGGGGTATATTGTGAGGGTTGAATTTCCAGGCAGCAAATTCTACTTATATGCCAGGAACATCTGGCAGATTGAGACCCTCATGTCCTCCCAAGGCACCTCCAAGGTATCTCTATACAGGACCAAATTTGGTAGAATTTACACATGAATTTTTCTGAGATCTAGAAGACAAAAGAAAAAAAATTACTTGGGACTTTCTCTAGGAAAGAAACTCTTCTGAGTCCTGGTAATTCCCTCAGAATTATGACTCAAGGCAGATGGCTGCACCACAGCACCTATTCCATGTCCTTCCCTTTGAGAAATTAGATGAGCCTTTCAAATTAATCCTCTTTGATGTTAGCTCAGCTTGACACTGCTGCCATTAGCCTCTTCAAAATAAAAGCAGTCATTATACTGGACTCTGCTAATTCATCCCTCTTTCTCACTTCTAAAGGTCAGGTCTCCAGTCTGACATCTGTCCAAGCTCATTACTTGTAGTTCAATGAGAAGGGCATTTGATTTAGGCTCTTAATTTCATAACATACCCACAAGTCACGTCTTGGGTATGTCCAAGGATTTTCCAAGTCTGACAATTCCATGAATTAGTAAAAATTCCATGATCTTAGTAAAAAAAAAAAAAAAAAAAAATTCACACCAATGGCAGGCCTGTGACATTGCCAAGTGAAGAAAGTTAATTTATTTATATGCCTTCCAGTATAATACTCATATTCTATAGGATATTTAGAAAAGTGGAATAAATACATAACGATGTCACTAATGACAAGATTGATCCCTGGCCATTAGCTCAAAGTGGAAGACTGAGGGATTGAACAGGAAAGGACAGATATTCTTTACTTAATAAAAGGTATCTGCTCACCTGATTGATATTCATTCTGCATTGTCTCTAATTCACCCCAGATCTGCTTTTCCATTTGTTCCATCTTTTTGGACAATTTATTTTCCATATGCTTTACTTTACTTAGTTGTGTTTCCTGTTTCTGTGTGTTAATGAAATTCTCTACTTTGCTTGAAAGCTGCAGCAGTTTTTCTTCCATTTTATTTTCAGACTTTTCCTGTAAAAGAGATTATGGGATAAAACTTCAGAAATGTACATGGATTTATCTTTCAGCTTAGAGAAAATATTTTTAACATTCATTTTTCTATGTTAAGCATGAAAATTCAAACCAAGTTCCTTTGTATCTAAAACTGTGTTCATAAGTATAAGAGTTAATCCCTTTGGCCCTGTTCATTTGTAGTTTCTGGAATTCAACATGTAATGGAATAAAAGAAAAGGGCTGTAGCGTGGCCCAAATGCCTTGAGAATTTGGCATTTAAGTCTAATATTCAAAGACATTTTAGATACTGCTTTTCCTGAGTTTCTTGGACATACTCCCTCAATTTCATACCTCCACGTGGACAGACTTCGGCTAGAATAGTGACTCGCCATTCCAGTCGTTTAGTAACATCACCTGGACCATACCCCAGCCCCAGGAATTCTGATTTAATTGGTCTGTGATGGAGCTCAAGAACTGATAGGATTTAAGCACTCTCCAGGTGATTCTAATGTACAACCAAGGTAGGGACTGCAGAGTCAGCCTTAGGATAATCAGCTGCTTTTCTCCTCACTTCTCCACAGGGAATCTGGGAGCAGGAACTGGGCATGGCAGGTATGACCCTTTTGGTTCTCCTCTCTTTGGCCCCATCTGCCTCAGGAATAAGTGTTGGTGGATTCCAGTCTCTGTGTTCCTTATGGTGGGAGGTTTCTGCCTGCACAATGACCCCACGGTTACCTAGTGCTGCGTATAACTGGTAAAGGAATCTGCCTAATTCAGGAGTGAAGAGCTAGCAGTCCCACTCGGCAGCTGCAGTCTTACCACACATACTTCGATAGCCTTACCAGTGATAAAGCTTTATGTTTATCTCCAACTCTTGGCTCCTTTGTAACTCTATCAGCTGTTTACAAACTCAGGCTGGAGCTGGGGACATTATTTCCTGAGCTGCCTCTGCCTAAAGTCTCTCTACCTAAGTTCTCAAAACATCTTACTTTAGTCACCTGCAGGACTGGCAGCCATTGACCACAGTGATGGCGCTGTGCTGCCCTTCCCATTGGGTAAGGTGTGCTGGTTGCAGTGGGAGAGGGGACCCCTGAAATAAGTATATTTCTCATAAACCTTGGTAGCCTCACCCCAAAGCTTGGGGCTGTCTTTACATGGTCTGATCTGAAAAAAAGAGTTTTGAAAACTTTTAATCTACTAAGAGATCTTCAGAAAAGTCAAATGACTTGTCTGCACATCACTCAGGGAGTGTGCCTTTAACCACTGATTCCCAGGGGAGGCCCCAAGAGAGTCAGACTCTCTGGGTCTGGGGTGGCAATCTATTTTTTTTTTTTTAAAAAAAAAAACCTCTTCAGATTCTTTTGGTACAGGTAGAGCACACTCTGAGAAACACAGGTTTGCAGAGTTGGGGAGTAGCAAACAGGACCAGAAGACAGGCCTCTGGACTCCTATTGTGGTGTTTAAAAAAAAAAAAGTTACTGAAGCAGTGAAGATTACCATAAATGTTGAAGTACAAATTCCCAGACCTTTACTCACTGCTAACAAGGACTATGCAGGTGCTTGCTTCACAAAATAACAGAACTCCTCACCAGTTTCTCCTGT
The DNA here is from genome assembly GCF_000001405.40 of Homo sapiens. Lineage (NCBI taxonomy): Eukaryota > Metazoa > Chordata > Mammalia > Primates > Hominidae > Homo > Homo sapiens. The sequence continues at coordinate 95,446,684 of NC_000005.10, read as the reverse complement.
AGGACCTTCAGACATTCATTTATATGGCCCAGGTGGTCTTTTCTATATTTGAGAAATTGGTTTTCTGTCCATTTTTTATTATTCTCAACTTCTTCGTACAGATTACTTGAAAGTGAATGAAATCTATGGGAAAAAATGTTTTGTTTCATTTAAATAAGTTAATTTAAACATAAAAAATTAGTATTGAAAAAGTCTGCAGTTTTTTGAGGTGACGAGACTCAGTGTGTCTAGCAAGTATTTGTGGGGTGATGTGGGAGGTGCCAGAGGCAAGGTAAGTACACTCTGGGTTCCTGTCCTGAGCTTGAGTTCAGTCCAGCTACTGTTAACACCCCCTCTACATACCCTAAAATACAAACACACAGTGACAGGAGCACTGCTGGCTGGGAGCTAACCACAGCCACACTGAAATGTAGTGTTATCCATGCAGAATTCCTCTCATGGCCTGGGGCTCACTGGTTGTGTGTGGAGGAAATACTTTGATAAGTTCCCTTGTGGTGGGGATTATTACTCATGCTAGGCGTTGTCTGTCAAAGGCCAGATAGTAAATATTTTAGGCATTGTGGGCCATATAGTCTCTGTTGCAACCACTCAATGCTCCATTGCAGTGGGAAAGCAGCCACAGATATGTAAAGAAATGAGTACGGTTATAGTCTAATCAAACTTTATGTAATATTCACATGTTATGAAATAGAACTCTTTAATTATTAGAATGCATAGAAGCCATTCTTAGCTGTGGGTAAATGTGGCTAAGTGTGATAGTTTGCTGACTCCTGCTAAGTGCCGGTATGTGGCTGGGAGAGGAGCAGGGGCAGAGAGGACCTGCATTGTCTAGCAGAGGAGAGAAAGGTCAGAGGCAGGAGAATGGAGGAGAAAAGCCCCCAAAGAACCTGGGGAATGTGCCAAGGGGGACTTTAGGTTGCATTTGTCTCAGGCAAAATCTTCCATAAAGTCCCCATTGCTACCAATGAGTCTGTGTGAGTGGATTTTTTTTTTAGGGGGCATTTAAAGAGGCCTTGAATTACTCATGTGGGGCAAAAGCAGAAGTAATAGAGGTACAGGAAGGTACCTACGGGACCTATCAAGATGATGCACCATAGAAGTATTAAATAACAGAGAATGAAAGATTTTTAAGAATAGAAGTGGATAAAAGGGTTGGAATCATATATCATCAGTTGAGAAGTCACTGTAGAGTGGCCGAGGGTTTGAGGAGAGAGGGGAATCCAATCTGAATTAAATGAGGTATGGGACTGGGAAGAGGTAGGATGAGGGATGGGGACTTGTGAGTGGTTTCTGTGTGTGTTTTCTGCATGTGACTTGCTCATGATAAGATGTTGGCTTCAAATTCCCTTTTAGAATAGGTAAAACTGTTAGATTGGCAAGAACAATGTTTGTTATTGAAAATATTCAGACTGTCTTACAATGTATGGTACAGACAGTTAAAGTAATAATTGCTCTGATGTTTTCAGACAAAATTATATGCATATAATTTAGTTTGTGATGTTTATCATTGGAAATTAATTAAGTCATGCTGGACATACACTCCATATACATGCCTCTCTTGCTCTTTGGAAAAAGTGTTTGGGCTAATTATTAGAAAATACAAGTTCTGTGAAATCATTATTTTTAGGCTAATAGCTTTCAACTGGGGGCAGTTACCCCCCTCCCACCTGCTTGCCCCTGGGGGACGTTTGATAACATCTGGAGACAATTTTGGTTGTCACAACTGAGAGGTGTTACTGGCATCTAGTGGGTAGACACTAGAGATGCTGCTAAACATCTTACAATGCACAGGAGAGACTCACAACAAAGAATGATCCAGCTGAAATACCAATAGTGCCGACACTGAGAAAACCTGACTTAGATGATGAAACCAAGGAATGGGAAATGTAAGTTAATTTTCCAATAGTTATATTAGTTACAGTCTAATAGCTAAATTCTGATCTTTGTCCTCTGAATTCTCTCATTATTTTTGACACAGAGTGATATTTTTCACATAGATATGAGGCATATCTTGATTGACTGTTGAGTACCTCAACACTGAAGAAGATGGAGTTGGTTTCTATTCGTGTTCTTAGTCTAATCATGATTCCCAATCACCTGTGCTGTTGGTTAACAGCTGTTGGATCTCAGACAAATAAGCCCACCCACTGGATACGTAGACTCCCTCATTTTAGCCAATTATTTTCTCTATCTGGAATACTCTTCCTCAGAATATCCATTGGCTCCTGCCCTAATCTCATTCAGATTTACATTTATACACCACCTTAAAAAATAGAACTCTTTCTCCTTATTTGAAACTTCCTATTCTCTTACCCTACTTAATTTTTCTCCAAAATTCTCATCACCATCTGACGCACACTAATTTGTGTTCTATCTCCTCCACTAAAAGTTAAGCTCCATGAAAGCAAGAATTTTGCATTGTTCATGGCTGATAACAATGCCTGGAATATAGTAAGTGCTCAATAAATAGTTGGCTAAATGAACAAATGGGTCATTCTTTCTCATTAAGTATCTTTTATTAGCATTGCTGACAAATAACAAATCATAGATTTGTCAAGCTATTTAGAAATCTAATCTGCTTTGGTTTTCATCTTCCTTTCCCTGTCTCTGGTGGAAGTATTAATTAATAGTCATAGTTAAGGGGGCCAGTAAATCCCCAGATAATCAAGAGATAGCTTTACAATTGAGAATCCAGCCTTCAGTGCCCACCTTTACTGTATAACAAATAAATGAGAGCATTTACTCTTTTATCACTGATACAATATTAACATCCCTCTGAAAACCAAGGAAACATTAAGTATGCCCATGTAATATCTCTGGAAGGGCATATCAGTAATTGAAATTCTGAAATTAAAGCCATAAAGAATGAATTACTACTTATCCTTTTATTACAAGATTTGCTTTCAGCTGGGGATTAATTTTCCTGGTAACACCCAGAAGTTGGATTCTGTTGGTAGTTTATTAAAATTTGAAAGCATTTTTGAAATAGCAATCTCCTTGAGAGATGTAAAGAATAAGTAAAATAAAGGTTTGTATAACTCTTTTTCTTTGCATAAGCTTTTCCCGGACATAATGGACATGATTTGCCATAATATATTAATTACAGAACTTACAGTTAAAATCTCAGCAGTATGAATCTATCTTAGATGACATTCACATTTTAGATCCCAAATCTTCTATTTCAATAGGTGTATGAGCATTTCTATTAGATGTATACAGATAGGTGATGAGATAGAGCTTATTCTTTCCTTTTCCTCAAAACACAAAAGTCAGACATTTAAATTATAGCTAGAGACCTCACTAGGATGATGAGGGCTATTGGTTGTTTTTATGTTTTTAAGTGTTTATGCTGATTTAATCAAATTAAAGTACACACCGAGAGCAATTATAAGGGAGAAAATTACAAAACAGTGAAGGAAAGCTGAGTGAAGATCTACAGACATAGCAGGGCACAAGGCAGAGAGCTGCAGTGAGGGATTAGTGGTGAAGGCAGCCAGGGTCCGCCTTCCTTGGTCATGGATGACATACAGAAATGAGGATGTAGCTCTATCCTAGGCCAGTTTTGCCACTACACTTATGTCCCAAAACCAATGTCTTGTGTTAAAAAAAATCTGTTGAATGAACTTTTCCAAGATTTTGAATTCTTGGAAACTATTACTGCTAGCAGGCTCTCAAGAACTTAGATAGGGCTTTGACCAAGTGTGAATGTAAAAAGAATTAGTGGCCTTTCATTTGCTGATAAACAGAAGATATTTTCATTTTTGTAATCATATTTGAAAAAGAGCTTAAGACAGACCATATGCTATTATTTCTTTGGAGACTGAGTCTAAGATTCTAAGTTTCATATTAGAAACCAAAAATTAGTTCCAAGAAATACTGTTTTTCTACTAACTTTACACCTACAGGTAGAACTCTCAAACTAATTTCTTCTTAATGTTATGTGATTTCTAATTAGTGACACTAAAAATCAATTCTGCCTCCACTCTGATAGAAAGACTTTTGTTTCTTAGATATTCCAAATTGTTCAAATCCCAATACATTCACAGCCTGTTTCCCAGCCACCCAAGTCAATGTGGTCTTTCCCTTTTAAAAATTTCTGTGGTAGAATTAGTTTTCAATAGACAGAATTGTGAGATGGAAACATCATGAATTGATCAAAACAATTTGAGCTTTAGAGTCAGACACTTTCTAGCTGTGTGATTTTGGGCAAATTAATCTCCATGATTTTATATGTCCTAATCTTTAAGATAGGGATAAATAAGATCCACCCTGCAGAGCTGGGTGCATTGAGTATCTTCAGCACTAGTGGTTGGTAAGCATTCATAAATGACGATTACTGTATTTATTATTTCTGCCTATTGATACATCATCTCATTTAACATTGTCTTAACTTTTACTTTTCCTGTGTTTAGCTTTTCACTTATGTTGTTTCTTCTCAACTGTAAGTAGCAAGGATTATGTTTGGATATTCTAAAACACAGTTTACATAATATAGGTGCTCAAAAATCGTTCATTCATTCATTGGCTTCTACTTCTATTTCAATGTGTTGGGTGCTAAAGATACAAAGTTGAATTTGACATATCTCTGTACTGGGTAATTATTAACTTTCTACTGTGGTAGTGTTTTCAAAGTTGGATGATATTATTTGAGTCTATGCATTTGCTTCATTGACCAAACACTTTTTCTTTTCTTATAAATCACTGTCTACTAAACAAGCGTCAGCAGTAAGAGCTATCTAGGGAGTGACTGGTAAGTGCTGCCCCTGCCAAACCCTTGTTAAAAGACAGCTTTATTTCCTGATGGCCAAGACTCTTGCTGTGTAAGAACTAAGTAGGCTTAGGACATTACTTAGCAGAAGCTCAGAGGATGATCCTTCTGAGGAGGAGGCACAGTGGAGGGGTTCAGTGCATGTCTTTGTCGGATCTAGAGATCAGTGCCCAAATCCCAGCAATTCACTAGAAAAGTGTCAGAAAACACTGTAGCTTTTAAGTTCAATATAAGTTTAGTTGACCATTAAACTTGAATTTGTAAATGTTTCTAAATGGGAAGATTGCCTATTTAACCTTTTTTTTTTAATTTGCAGACATAGTTTTATTTATATTTATTTATTTATTTAGATACAGAGTCTCACTCTGTCGCCAGGCTGGAGGAGAGTGGCACGATCTCTGCTCACTGCAACCTCCACCTCCCGGGTTCAAGCCATTCTCCTGCTTCAGCCTCCCGAGTAGCTGGGACTACAGGCGCCCGCCACCACGGCCGGCTAATTTTTGTATTTTTAGTACAGGCGGGGTTTCACTATGCTGGCCAGGATGGTCTCCATCTCTTGATCTCGTGATCTGCCCGCCTTGGCCTCCCAAAGTGCTGGAATTACAGGGGTGAGCCATCGCGCCCGGCCAGATGCATAGTTTTAATTTTGAAAAATGCGCATGTAAAGTTTGAGGTTCCTCGGCTGCTGTTTCTGGTGCTTGGCCGTCAGGAATGGTGGCTATGGAAGCCGAGGCTCTTTGTATGTTTTAGCCGCTGGTATCATTTTGACAACCTGTCTTGACAGGTTTTAATTGTATCTTGGCAAGTGAGGTGACATAAAAGCCATCGTCTCGGGTTTCAATTTACTAATGAGGATGGTGGTGGAGACGGAATTACCTTGGCGTTTTGAAGGCATTTGCTCCTGGATTCCCTGCCAAGACACCTGCGAGTAGGTGTGGCACGGGGAAACTTTTTCAGTATTGCTCTTCTCTTCTCTCTCACATTTTCCATGATTGACATCTGGTAACCACAGAGGTATCCCGAGTGAAGGTGGCCCTGGCCTGCAGCAGCTCTGCTCTTTTTTTTCCCCTACTTTCCTAAACTTTATTAAAGAAAAAAGCACTAGAACATAGTCACTTTTCTGGGATTCCTCCCCGCAAAATGTGACGTTTGATTTTCAAACATGCCAGAAGTGGACATGGTTCCCAGTTGTACTAAATAGGTGAGAAGCTGAAGTCCTAAAGTGTTCATCTTCCAACTTTTCCCAGTCTGTGGTCTGTCCTTGGATCAGTAATAATTGTCTGAACAGCTACTATGGCTTCATTAATTTTTGTCTGTAGCTCTCTGAGCTCTTCTATATGCAGTAATTGCAGAATTTGAGCAGCTTCATTAAGAACTGCATCTCCTGCATCAAAACCAATAATATTTTGTCTAAAGCAACAGGCAAACCCTCTGTTTGATTTGCCTTAGCAACTGCATCCTGTCAGGTGCTCCTGAACCAAAATTCGAATTGCCTTAGGCATTACCAGGTAATCGTCATGACATTGAATCTGAAGCAGGTTAGCCTTCACACCAGCCTTAACATCAGGATTATTTACATCCAAATTGATCAATGGTTCTGCATTTTTAGTTGCATTGTCAGCAGTTTTTGCATAATCAGGTACTAAGTCCTTGTATTTTTCAGCATTATCTCCATATTCAAGCCTCACAGCTAGACCGAGAAGCCAGTCAATAGCTTCTTGTTGATCTTGAATCTTGAAAGGACTTGTCAGCACCTCTGAGACACTTTTCAAAGAACTTGTGCCAGTCTCTGCTGTGGATGTTTCTTAAATTAGCTGTCTTCAATCTTGTAGTGTCTAATTTTCTGGTCTTCAAGCCAAACAAAGGTTAACCTTAACCTTTGTTAAAAGACTTTTTTAGAGACCAGGTCTTGCTCTGTCATCCAGGCTGGCATGCAGTGGTGCAATGACAGCTCATTGTAACCCGAACTCCTGGGTTCAAGCGATCCTGCTTGCCTCAGCCTCCTGGGTAGCTGGGACTACAGGTGTGTGCCACGGTGTCTGACTAAACTTAACCTTTAATGTTATTAAAACACTTTTATTTAAAGTTAATCTCTTTATTCAGAGAAAGTTATTTCTTTAAAAAAAGTGAATTCTATACATTATCTACTTCATTTTTAAATGTATATGTACCTCAAAATCCTAATATTAGCAGCAGTTTACTTTTTTTTAAAGTAGTGGAACTACTTATTTTTGTTCAAAGTTAACCTTGTTAAAAACTAAATCCAATATACCAGATTGAAACAGAGGTCTTCTGATTGAAAAAAAAAATAACCCTGTCTTACTTTCTCTTTGAGCAAAATACATTTTCAATACATATCTCAGTCAAATGGTTAATATCTCTAATGTGAAAGAATCCTAAAAATTGATAAGACAATGACAAAAATCCCAATACAAAATTTGATAAATAATAATGGGCAATTCACAGAATATTCAAATAGTAAAAGGGAATGCAAATTAAAACAGATGCTTTTTTCATCCTTTGGCCAGTATTAAAAAGAGAACACATTCATCATTGGTTAAAATGTAGAGAAAGGTCTTCTCATACATTGCTGGTCGAAGTGTAAAACCCTACAACATTTTAAAGAAGAAATTTATAAAATTAAAATATACATATATATATATATATATATATATATATACTCTTTAACCTAGCAAGCTTGCCTATAGAAATAAAAGTGCCAGTATTTAAGGATATCTAAGGATATACACATAATACTTTTTTTGTTTCTTGTGGTAGTCCTAAACTAGAAATAATCCATTCAGCAATAAGATAAATGGTTGAATTAATTATGGCACATATATAAGTTAAAAGATTGTACAGCTATAAAAAACTTAGAACATTTACTGATCTGGAGAGATATCCAGGATGTACTAGAAAAATCAAATAATTGAGTAATAGGTATAGAAATTATTTTTAAAACCCATGCTTCCTCTATACATATAATATATACATATCCTTTCTCTGTTATATACTTATATTAACAAGGAGGAAATTGAGGATGGCTACATCCCTGGTGTTAATATTGATTACAACAGAAGGCTGAGATGATGACCTCTTTTTTCACTGTTGTTGGTTTTTTTTTTTTTTTTACAATTAATGCATATTTTTAATTTTTAAAATTGGAGAAAATTTAAATATAAAAGTCAGTTGTGTAACTAAATGAATTATTAGAATTATTTGCCTGGGGGAAAAGCATGGTTTATAGAGTCACTGCCACCTACTGTAATACTACTGAAATATTAAGACTTCATTATTTAAAGTGAGAAAAAGAGTCAAGTTTACACTGTTATAAAAGTGTCCAGATTCAGATTTAACTACTCAGATGACTTTCCATAAGCCAAATTCCCATAATACCAAAGACAGAAAAAATGAGCATCATCAGTAATGCAGCAGTTAGCCCTGGATCTCAAACATTTCCTTTTTCTCTCTTTTCCACTTGTTAATATACCTCATCCCTTTAAGTCAGCCTTCCATTTCAGTTTATAAATCCCATCCCTTCCCTATACAGTCAATTCTTAATCTGTATATCTAGAAACAGATTACTGTTCTACTTTTCCTTTGGACAGTTTTCTTTGTCTTAATTCCAAGCTAAAGGTATTAGATTAGCTACTCACTGAACACCCTCATTGTGCTAGAATTTAAGAAAGTAGAAATGCTTTCTTAGACTATGAAGAACATGAATATTTTCTGTTTACTTGACAACTACTTCTCCAAGTTTTAGTAAGGACAATTGTTTTACATCAACTTGTAAGACACACATATTTCGCATTTTAGCATCTCCAAAATCAAGAAATATCTTAAAATGATGATATGCTACGGTTTAATTGTTAGCTTCATGTCTTACAGGTACAAAATTATAATGGTGCATGTTATATTCAATGGCACTTAGATTTAATAAAATACAGTAGAGATGGGAAAAAATGGAGAAAGTAGAGTATTATCAGGATACTGGATTTGATTAAGGCATTAAACCCAAATGTTGTGAGACATAGAGTAAAAAGAATAAGAGCATAAGGGACAGTATGATAGTATCCAAGTAACTAGAATTTCCCTCTGCCTGCACCATGACCCTGGAAATGATGATCATTTAAAAAAAGAAAAAAAGGGAGATTTGATAATAAGGAAGCCAGTAATTTGAACATTTGTGGAGCTGTCTCCTTTACTGCTTTCTCCATTGAGTGGAGGAAAAAATTCAGTTTAAGATGGGGTAGAGACCAGTCTTAAAAAGAAATAATGTAGGCCGGACACAGTGGCTCACGCCTGTAATCCCAGCACTTTGGGAGGCTGAGGCGGGCGGATCACCTGAGGTCAGGAGTTCGAGACCAGCCTCAACATGGAGAAACCCGGTCTCTACTAAAAATACAAAATTAGGTGTCGTGGTACATGCCTGTAATCCCAGCTACTCAGGAGGCTGAGGCAGGAGAATGGCGTGAACCCAGGAGACGGAGCTTGCAGTAAGCAGAGACGCGCCACTGCACTCCAGCCTGGGCGACAGAGCGAGACTCCGTCTCAAAATAATAATAATAATAATAAAATAATGATAATGTAAAGGAGTAAATAGAGGATGTTAGGAAGAATCTTAAAGGAAAAGCTTGTGTATCAAAATTGTTTTTAAAAATATTTGATAATCTTGAGGAATGAAATTATTTTCCATAGTGCTTTACATTGAGACATTTTAATATGCAATTGATAATAAGTAAAAATTACAGGAAGGGTAAAAATGATTGTGTCAATTCAGTTGAGATATTGTGCAGTCAAAGTGAATGATAAGATTAATATTCATAATTCTTTTATTATAAATATTATATAAGTTACTTTAGTGTAAAATATTCTCTGTGTTAGTTCACTGCTTTATTTCTTGGCCAGGTTCAAATTCCTGGGATAGGTTTTTATTTCATGCCAATGCTTTCATTAGGCAAAACTCTTTGGAATGCACTTAACAGAATTAAAAATCTTCTATTCACTTACTTGAATTCCAAAAGGTTCATTTCGTGGCGATAATCCCCCTGGACCATCTTTAAATTCGAGGTTTGCTCAGAACTGGCAGTTTCTATCTTTCCTAAGAGCTGCATCACCTAGTCAAAGTACGAGAGGGTTTGTGCATATGAACAAAACCACCAGCATTCACATTAATATACTTTATTCCTTTAAGGAGCCGGGAAACAGATTAATATACTTTATTCCTTTAAGGAGCTGGGAAACAGACTTGAACCTAAAGCATGATTGCACTTGAAAATGCCTTGTGTTCAAATGAGTATTACAGTTACACTATCTTCAAGGAAAGAATAATAGGGAGTGTTCCATTCTGTTGTCTAGAATATTCTTTTTGATCATAGGCCATCTAATGATATAACAAAAACATGCTGTTTCCATTAGTTTGTTTATTAGTCTGTTAATTTGATTATATTTCTACTTCTCTATTGTCTCCCGTTACAATACAAGATATGGTATGCTATTACCACCATATCCTCAGTGCACATTAGGTGATCAATGGTAAATGCTCAACAAATACTTATTGAATAAATGTTTAAATGCACAATCAGGCTCTGAGGAAAACACACATGACTGGCCCAAGATTTCCAGATAGTATTCTGACATGAGCACAAGTGAATCCCAAGTGAAATGACTTAGGGCATTTAAGGATAGGAAAAAAACAAATTCCAGTTTTAGAATTTAAGATTAGAGCACCTTTCAAACTGCCAGAAACATTGAGAAAGTTTCTTTATGTAAAAGAACTGGATTAAAAAATAGAGGCAGAATTGCAACCCATAATCATGCCTAAACTAGTCACTTTTAAGGAGAATGAAACTACATGATTGGCTTTGGTCAAACAGAATTCAGCTCCTAATAAAGACGGTCATATGGAGGAGAGTGGGCATTTAATAAAATGAGTTCTTATGAAAGAAAGAGGGGAGTAACGGAAGGATTTGAATAGGTAAGTGTTGGGTGGGCAACCAACAGCAGTTGAGTGGCTATTTACAGGAGAAAGATACACTTAAAACAGGCTAAAGATGGAAATGTTTGAAATAAAATAATAGGCAATTTATTATAATAATAGGCAATTACAGGTAAAGGCAAAGGAAAATAAAGCAGCAGAGCAATATTAATGTTAGGTAAAATATTACTTAAAGCAAAACACATTTAAAAATGGGACAAAGATGGTCATCTTTATAGATGAAGAGTAAAACTCATTGTGAAAGTAGAGAGCTGTGAATATTTATATATTGAGCAAAAAAGCAACAGCTTTTCAGGATAAACAGAGACAATACATTAATGATTTTAAATGACTTTTCTTGACTCTTTACTGGTCAAGTAAGTAAAATATAAATAATGATACAAGAAAATATAAAAACTGTAAATGTATTTCATAGATTTATATATCAAACCATGTAACTTGGAAACAGCATTCATTTTTTCCCAGTGCCCACTAAGCATCTGCAACAACCAAGCACATATGCAACATTAAGAAAATCTCAAATTATTCCAAAAAGCAGGAAAAGCACAGGCCATAACTCCACACTGTGCTAAAACTAGAAGTTAATAAGGAAGCATAAAGGAATAAAAACCCACAAAAACCCAGTCACTTGAGTAAAAAAAAAGCAACAAAAAACCCACTCTTGATTTTAGTGTTTCACATGAAAATGTGCCTCTTAGATGTCCTACTGCAAGGAGCATAATTGGCCAAGGGCTGTGACTACTGTGCTCAAAATCCATCACGAGTGTCCAGACCATGCTTTCTACAGGCCGTGCCTAGCCAATGTCTGAGTAGTCCTTTGATGCGTGACTTTTGTTCAAGGAACAAAGGAACTCACTGAAATAATCTTAGAATGGCACTGCAATCCTAAAGCCTTCTTTCTCCATCTTTTTCACAGAAACCAGACCTCTGTCATAGTCTCCCTCCCAATTTTTCTTCATCAATTTTCCTCTCAATAAATTTCTTGCACATTTAATTCCTTTATGGCATTTGCTTCGCAAAGGATCTGGACTAACACAAGTGCCGAAGAGTAAATCAACACTGCAATTACAAATTTACTTAGGAGAAGATAATGGAAACATTACATATCAAAAGGACACAGCCAAATATATAATCAGAGGTAAATTTGTGGCATTAAATATTTTCATAATTATACAAGAAAGAATAAGGCAATGTAAGTGAATCATTCATTTCACGAAGTTTAAAAGGAATAAAAAATTCCTAATCAAAGGAAAGCAGGATGAAGAAATTGACAAATTGTGGGAGGCAGAATGGGCTCGAAAAGATGTCCATGCCCTCAGTCTGAAACCTGTGAAGGTGCGATGCTGTAGAGCAAAAGGGATTTGCAGCTGTAATTAAAGTAAAAGGGGGAGATTATTCTGGATTATCCAAGTGGGCCTAACTTAATCACAGGGCTCCTAAAAGCAGAGAAGTTTTTCCAGCTGGTGTGAGAGGGATGCAGCAGAAGGTGAAGTCAGAATGACTTGAAGCATGAGAAGGACTTGACCTGCTGTTGCTGGAGAAAGGCCACATGGAAAACACAAGAAGGAAGGTAGGCGGCCTCTGGAGCAAGGACCAACCCCCAGCTAACAGCCTGCAAGGACCTCAGGACTACAACTGCAAGGAACTGGATTCAAAAGTTTGAATGAACCTGAACAGGATTCATTCCCAAAGCCTCCATAAAGAAACACAACTCTGCAGACACCTCGATTTCTGCCTTATGAGATCCTGAGGGTCCAGTCTAGCCCCTCCCAAATTTTGACCTACAGAAAGCATGAGATAATGCATTTGTGTTGTTTTAAACTATTATGTTTATGGTAATTTGTTAAGGCAGCAATTGAAAACAAATATTTTAAAAATAAATGAATAAAAACAAAAGGTATGGGGATTGATGTGTAATCCAAGGGCTGGTTTTTCGAAAAGGTAATAGGCAAAGTTTGTTCTACTCTACATGTGAAGTGAGGAAACTTAAGTATTAAAATTAAGAAAGAAAAAAGAGTAGTTATGAATATCTGTAAGCCAAATAACATAGCAGAAACATTCTAAAAACTGAAATTATAGGTGAAATGGAAGTCTGATAACCAGAGGAGACTTTAATTCACCTCTCAATCCAAGACAGCAGTAGACTAAAAAATAAGTAAGGATCAGAAGATTTAACCAGTAAGTTATTCCCTATAAGTACTGATTGAACTTTGTGCCCTAAAAATACAGAATACACTTTTTTTAGAACATGTATGAAAATGGACTATCCAGCCACCAAAAACAATCCTCAAAATATTCCAAAAACTAAAACTTACATATATTAAAATTTTTACCTACAATGAGATGAAACTAAAAATGAATACCAGCATAACAAAACAAAAAGTCCTTAACTCAGAGGGTGGGGAAAAAACTTCCTTGATATGGTTTGGCTGTGTCCCCATCCAAATCTCATCTTGAATTGTAATTCCCATAATCCCTACATGTCATGAGAAGGACCCCGTGGGAGGTAATTGAATCATGGGGGCAATTACCTGCATGCTGCTATTCTCATTATAGTGAGTGAGTTCTCATGAGATCTGATGGTTTTATATGGGACTTTTCCCCCTTTTGCTTGGCACTTCTCTTGCCTGCCACCATGTAAAACATGCCTTTGCTACCCTTCACCTTTCACCATGACTGTGAGGTCTCCCCAGCCATGTGGAACTATGAGTCCATTAAACCTCTTTCTTTAAAAAAATAAATTACCCGGTCTTGGGTATGTCTTTATTAGCAGTGTGAGAACAGACTAATACACTCCTCTTAACTATTTAAGGGAAAATACCACATGCAATTGCAGAATTTCTAGGAAATAATAATGAGAATACTACATGTTAAACTCCGGGGGATATAAGGAAGAAGAATGAATGCTCAGGAAAAATTCACAGCCATAAATGCTCATGTCAGCAAAAAAGACTACAAATACATGTGGTTTTAAAAAGTTGCAAAATGAACAACAAAATACCCTGCAGGCAAGGAAAAAGAAAAGATAAAAGGTGAAATTGGAGAGTTGGAAAAGACAATAGAAGCAGAAAATAAAAAATATATAAAAGGATTTGTTAATTGTAAAATCATTGTTAAGGCACACCTAACCTAATCAAGGGGGAAAAAAAGAAAAGCACAAATATACAAAATAATAAAATAGAATAAATAAAAGCAGAGAGAATTAAAACCACCCTAAAAGCATTTTGCATAACTTTATGCAAATTCAAAATCTGAAGGAAATAGATTTTTTTTCTAAGAAAAAGTAATTTATAGAAGCTAACCTCTGAAGAGATAGAAAGTTTAAGCAGACTAATCAACAGAAAGAGACCTTGTCTCAAAAAAATAAATATAAAAAATGAAAGCTATCAAAGGGCTTCCTTCCCCATCAAATCATCAGGCTCAGATAATATGTCAGAAGCAAAGCTACCAAATCCTTAAAGAATACTTATAATACTCTTTAAACTGTTTCAGAACATAGAAAAATAAGAAAACTTTCAAATTTTTTTATGAAGTCAGTTCAATGGTGATTCCAAAATCTGAAAACGATGGCAGAGAAAATAGGTTAATCTCACTTAAAAGCACTAATGCAAAATTCTTAAGTAAAATGTCAGCAAACATTATCCTGCACCACAACAAAATACATCATAATGAGTGTAATTTATTTTAGAAAATGCAAGGATGGTTTAATAATAGGAAATAATTACACTAGTATAACAGAGAACACATCATTTCATAAATGCTGAAAAGGTATTTGATAAAATTCAATAATCGTTTTTGATTTCTAAAAAATTCAATAATATAGGAATAGTTGGCTACTAAACATGCTTAATGGGGAAACTTACTTTCCCCATCATAAGGGAAACACAGGACAGTTAAAGTTAGGAAGAAGACCAGGATGTCCACTATTCCCACATACTATCTAACATTGTTTGGGGTTATTAGTCAAAGCAATTAGAAAAGAGAGAGAAATTTTGCATATGAAAATGAAAAAACATGAGCTAAAATTATTACCATTTACAGAGCATATGATTGTGTTCTTGGGGAGGAAGGGAAACTAAAAACTTACTATAATCAAGAAGAGAATACACTGTGGAATATAAAATTAATATTGTCTTCATAATATACAACTAACAATGAATTAGAGGGCATATCGAAGCCCCTGTTACAATAAACTAAAAAGAAAAAGATTTCAAAATCTCAAAATACATTTAATAAGAAATTATGCCAAATCTACATGAGAAAAATTTGAAAATACTCCTCAAGAACTTAAAAGCAAACTCAGACAAATGGGAAGCACACTACATTCTTGGATAGAACACTCAACATTATGACTATGTCAATTCTAAAATTTATTTACAAATTTAACATGATTTTAATAAAGATTAAAATAGTTTATTTTTGATTTATTTATTGAAATGAGACAGGCTGATTTTAAAATTATAAGCAAAAACAACTAATTATACCAGGAAACTGAAAAAAGAACGTAGTGGAAGGAACTAGCCCTACCAGATATAAAAATACCATAAAGATTCAATAATTAAAACAGTAGTTAAGACACATATTAGGAAAACTACAAATGGACGAAGGATTTAAGTGTAAACAACAAAGCCATGAAAGTGCCTGAAGAGATATGAAGAATTCTTTCAAGACTTTGTGTAGGGAAGCTCTTTCTAACTGATTTGAAATTCCAGCAGCCACAAAAGAACTGATAAATTCAACTACAACTAGAGAACTATTTGTGCATGTCAAAAACCAAAGACCTATGACAAACTGGGGAAATGCATTTGCAATTTGTGTCATAGAGAAAACAGCTCATCTCCTTACCATATAAAGAGCTCCTAGAGATAGAGAGGAAAAATAGCCCAGTAGAGAAATAGGCAAAAGACATAAACAGATAGTTCACCAAAAAAGAAATACAAATGCCCCTTAAATATGTGAAAAGATGCTCAACTTCATCCATAATAAAAAAGGCTAATTAAAACAAAAAGATACTGCCTTTTTCCTATAAGAATGGCAAAATTCAGAAGTTGAACAATACTGCATTGGTGAGGCAATGGAGACACAGGACATTTTACATATTGTTGGTGGGTGTGCAATGAGGTGAAAGCCATATAGAAAGCAATTTGGCAAGATCTTTCAAAACAACACACATGTACTCTCTCTGCTTAATTCTCTCTGCTTTTATTTATTCTATTTTGATCCTGAAATCCCACTTCTGGATATTTATTCTACAGATATATCTATACGCATACAAAATGACATATGTGCAAGGTTATTCATTGCAGCATTGTTTGAAAGAGCAAAATATTTAAAAGAACCCAAATGTCCATCTATGCAAGAGCAGTTAACTGAACTATTACATACAAAGGAAGGGTATGCAGTTGTAAAAAAAGATAAGGAAGGTCTCTGTGTATCAATATGGAAAGATGTTCAGGATATATTTGTTTAGTTTTTTTTTTTTAAAAGCATAGCTCTATATATATACTATTTATTTACATATACTATATATATATACACTATTTTTGTGCAATAAAGGGGGAATAAAAATATGTATTTGCATTTGCTCATATCTGCATAAGGGCATACTGAATGCATCCACAATTGACTAATAAAAATGCTTACCTGTGAGGATCATGAAAAAAATGTGATGAATGGTTAAGGGGTGGGAATGAAAATTCTCTGGCTATATTTTCTTATGTAGTTTTGTTTTTGAGCTATGTGTATGCATTATCTTTAAAAATATACTAAACAGAGAGGAATTATAGTCCAATGTCACTTTTGAATCCTGATGCCAAATTAAATATTGAATTATTATACAATAACTGTATAGCTTTCATTATAGAAATGCAAGAATGTTTCAGTATTGGGAAATGTATTAACACATTAGAAGGCCAAAGAAGTCAACAAACATCACACAAATCCCCAAACCAAAAAACAACCAATATGGTGGTTCTAGATATTTGTTGATATCTAAAAGGCATTTGATTAAAGTAGATATTCCATCCTGATAAAAACTAAGTAGGAATCACTGGATACTTCCTTAACATGATTAAAAAATATTTCTAACCAATAGCCAGCAGCAAACAGCAAAGACATTTCCAGGATAATCAGGAACCAGATAAGTTGCCTTCTATGACCACTTTTATTTAACAGTATTCTGGAATTTCTGCTCAAGACTTTAAGAAAAGCAATGAAGTCTTAAATCAGAAAACCAGAGATAAAATTGCCATGTTATTGATATGATTGAGTACCTTGAAAAACAAAGAGAGTTTAAAAATTATTGGGCCTAATAAGATGGGTGAGTAGGAGGTAGATAAGGAGAGCCAGATGGGACTAGAGTAAACTATGTGCTCAGTAACACCTGCTCTGGATTAACTGGCGCCTACCAACAAATAATCAAACGCCAGACTTTCATATTTCCAATTTCCAGAGGATGTCTACTTTGTTCTGCCCAAATGACTTCAGAGGAGAAGAGAAGTGCTTGTTTTGCATAAGATGTGACAAAGTGGAGCACAGAAAACTTTGCATTGGGCTCCACTTTAGTGAAACCATTGACTGGGAAGGTGAAAAAGAGACACTTCAGGCAGAAAAGAGCACAAACTAGAGGAAGATGTGTAATATCTTGGTGTGAGTGGGGACCTACCTACAGGGAGCTCAGTATCACTGGGCATAAAGGGTGAGTCAAGAAGCACAGATGGCCTTTAAAATCCAGACCAACCAAAGGACTTACATGTTATTTTGTAAGAGATACAACCCATTGCAGGGCTTTAAGTGGGATGTAACATGAACAATTCACATTTATGTTGGACTTTTAATAATAATAGCTTCCATGGGAAGTTCTTTTGTTTATATTCCTTGGTTCCATAGTCCTTGAGTAAAAATAATTTTACTACTTCCAGAGAGTAAAAAAATAACAGCAATGGTGGACTCAAGCAGTGCATGCTTAGAGTAGATGGCTGTGTTGGAACACGGCAGACATTCATTAAACATTTGTTGATTGAATTGACTGTTTCCATGGCGTATATGAGTGAGCTGTCAGAATTACACCCTTTGGAAGAAAAGAGTTCTCTTAAAAAATTACCACCTGATTGGGCATTTTGATAAGCTATAATGATCTTACTTCTGGCAGTAACACGTAATATGAGTCCCATCTATTTTCAATTACCTTCATGTCCAAGTTCTTGGAAAGAGTTTCCAGGGCGGGCACGAATTCTTGAATGGCTTTCTCAATTTGCCGGTGCTCTTGCCTGAATAAGTGAATGTCTCCAGAAAGCTTCACAATGCTTGAATCACATCTAATGGCAAGATGGAAATTGGTGTGGATCAATACCTTTATAACATTTTTAACACTATAGTAGACACCTGCACATTCATTTGATGGCCAAAGTTCTAAAGTCATTTGAAGAATGAGTTGGTAGATATAGGAGTGTATTCAGGAATCTCTTTCTTCATTTTTCCCTTCTCTTTCTGATGAGAGAGAAACCAGGTTGAATGCATTGGCTCAAACCAGAGCACCAACTTGAAATAGTTTACATGGGGATATTGTGGTAAATTGAGGGAATTTTTACATTTTCAGCTTGATATTAACTTAGTCATAGGAGTTATAGCAAATTTTGATGTTTTGGAAATATACGCTGCTGCCTATGGTTAGGCAAAATTAAAATTTGCTCCTCTTATATATCATGTTCTAAATCCACTTTCCTCTCTTTATCCTCTTTTCTTGGCCCCCAGACTATCAATTCTCCGTTGGCAAGAAAAGGTGTCCCAGCAAATCAAAATCTTCCAATCCATCTTCTCCAATTTCTCACCGTTTTAGCCTCAAACAAAACTCCTGTTCCTTGAATGGTCTCAGTCAGGCACTGTCATATTAGGACAAAACCAATTCACACTAACATATGAATGAAACTTTGGTCCATAAAGTTGCATGTGATAATTTAGGGAAGGAATTCTGGTGAGAAGGAGCTAGTGAGGTAAGCTGAAGATTATCTTCCCAGTATGTTAGGAAAGATAACACACAGAACCACACCCCCACAACTGTTACCCGTGACTCTCTTGGGGGACAGCAGGTTGCACAGTGTATTAATGGTCAGTTTCTGTATACTTTCACATATGCATGAAGGATAGGTTGAAGAGCACTGAAGGACTTTATCTTTTGTATATCTGAGTTATCAAGGATTATTTTGATATTTGTCACTTTTATAAAATAACTGTTTTGACTGTCATCAAATAATATTAATTAGGAAATACATTTTCATATTATTATGCTAAGTGATATAAATATTGTTTGCTTTATGATGTCAACATTTTTAGGATCCCAGAATGAATCTTTTTTCCTTAAAGTTTTTGGTGCAAAAGATTTGAGGCAAAGGTGAGTTAAGATGGCAATTTTGCCTGAGCATTTCTTTAAAAAGATACTAAAGGTATCCCTTTAGTATCACCCTTAAAAATGGTTGTAGTGGGGGTGAAGAAGCTGCTGGGAGAAAAAATTAGGAATTAGTCTGATCAAGAATGGGAGCAGGATGGTACGCACAAAATTCCTGATCAAAAGATGTTTTACACCTTTGCATATACAAACTGTCATTGTCAGAATGGCACCTCTATTGTTGGTTAGTTAGAATGTCCTGATGTGAGTCCATATTAAGACCCCCAAAGACTGCTCAGGAGTGGCTGCTGCTACCACCACTTCCTGCCATCTCCCTTCTATCCTTCTTTTGTTTCCCACCCTCAGGGACAGCAGGGTCTGTGCAGTGGAGGCTACTGGTTAAAAATGTGGTTTCTGGTGTCAGATAGACCATGCTTCTGCTACTTCCTAGGTTTATGATCTGGGAAAAGCTTCTTTTCTTTTTTTTGAGACGGAGTCTTGCTCTATCGCCCAGGCTGGAGTGCAGTGGCACAATCTCGGCTCACTGCAAGCTCCGCCTCCCAGGTTCACGCCATTCTCCTGCCTCACCCTCCCGAGTAGCTAGGACTACAGGCATGCGCCACCACGCCTGGCTAATTTTTTTGTATTTTTAGTAGAGACGGGGTTTCACCGTCTTAGCCAGGATGGTCTCGAGCTCCTGACCTCGTGATCGGCCCGCCTCAGCCTCCCAAAGTGCTGGGATTACAGGCGTGAGCCACCGCGCCCGGCCTGGGACAAGCTTCTTAATGCCTACAGATTTCAGTTTTCCTCATCTGAAAAAAAGGGGAAATGATGCCATGGTCACTGCATACAGTTGTACAACTTGTCTACCACACGACTCCAGGAGTGCCAGAAACACGTGATTGACAATGCGAATAATGTCTCCTGGAGTGCGCAACCTTCAAAACTGTAAGTGGCTGTCCTGAATAGTGTTACTTTGTAGGTTATTTAGGGATGGAAGGAGGTGATGCACGCAAAGCATTTAGCCAGTGCCTGACACGGGGAGTACCCACATAAGATTAGCAGATATGATTTATTTACTCAACTTGAGAGTTGCCGCCTATTCATTTTCACCTCCCCTAACCACCACCCACTAGCCTAATCCCACATGTTGAAGTCAAGGATTGATTCATGGCTTTTCAAAGCTGCACTCTACATTCCAAAAGGAGTTCCTCTGCCTCCTCCTCCTTTAGAATGATTTTATTGTTTCTGTTAAAATAGTACATCACCATTAGAAAAAATTTCATATCATGCCTCAAAGAACAAAGAGGAAAGTTAAGCTCTTTCCAAATCCCTTTTAAAAAGTAACATTATTAATATTTGGTTATCATTCTGTTCATCATTATACATATATACTTAAAATATATGTGTACATATATATATATATATATATATATATATACACACAGAGATAGGAAGAAAACATAATTTAGAATACTGGGATTATATTATATGCATCAACTTTAAAATATTACATTTAATTTTACTTTAACCTAAGAAAAGATAAATGTAGTGAGAAATGAAGAAATTGTTGAGTTTCAGATATGTATTTCTTCACTATGAGAGAGATTTCTAAAAAAAAGAATCTATAAAAAGCTATCATAGATTGGAATTGTTATACTTGTCACAGCTACCATCTCAATACCAACTTTAGATATTATCTGTTGACCATATGCCAAAAAATAAGAAAATAAATAAGTTTATATACTTGTGCCTTCAACATTTAAAAAAAAATTTGCTAATTTTAAAATGTTAAATTTTATGACATTTGCACTGTGTTCTGTCACTAGAATGTCTATGGTTATTTAATGTTCACTTTATATGTAGATTAGATGTTCATTGATAATCCTTTCAAACCATGATTTCTTTTCTAAGATCCTTATTTTGATTTATTCCATGGTTGGCCAGATTTTGTCATCCAGATTTTAAAAGCAGGGCTCAGGAGTACTAGAATTCTCAAGTTCTTGAGTGCTTGAGAATACCTGACTTCTCTTGTGATTGAAAGGTAACTTAGTTGAGATAACATTTTTTTTCTTTCTTTCAGAACATGATAAACATCAATCCATTCTTTTCTAGCATTGGTTGAGGTGGAGAAGTCTGAGGTGATGACATTTCTTTCCTTTTTTATGAGACTTGCTTTGTCTACCTGGATGCTCGTTGCAGTCTTTATCCTTATTGTTCAGCAACTTCAACCAGGATATCTTGGTTTCATTGTTCTTATATCATTTTTTCCATGGTCACAGTTTTTCCTTTTAATCTATAGATTCACATCTGTATTTCAAGAACACTTTCTTCTCTTATAGGCATGATTTTTTTTTTTTTGAAGAATTCGTTCTGTTTCTTCTTCAGGGCCTTCTATTAGTTCTATATTGGATGAGTTTTCCTTGCCTGTCATACGACAATTTTTCTACAATCATTTTTATATTGAAAAGTAACTATCTCTTTTCATTTGGTGTGGTTTACTCATGTTTTTACTTTTTATAACTCATTATTTTTGGTTGCATTTGTTCTATTTTAAGAGCTTCTAAAGTAGATTAATCTTCATAGTATCTTGACTTTTTCTTTCATCTATCCCGAGCAATTCCAGTCTATCTATCTCCTTTTGTTATCTGATAGTCTCTTTTGGAGGGAAATGTTTTTATACCTTACTTTTAAAATTATTATTTATTTTATCAAAGTAAAAGATGCCTGTAATTTGAAAGTTAATAAGCTAATAATAAACTACAGTGGTTTCTGACCCTTCCTCTCACTGCCTCTCTCAGTTCCTCTCCCTAGTGGCAAGGGCCTGAAGCCTTTTGAAAATTCTGTTGCATAAAGTTAGGTTGTTCTCAGCTTATCCTACAACTTGAAAATTGGCTTTCATTCTGCTAAGGCAGTTTTCATGTTTCCATCTGCTTTCTAGGTTCCAAGACTTCTATGCTGGTATCCCTGGTCCTTATGGGTTTATATTTTAAAGAGAAAATCTTTTTACTGTAGATTCAATGGGGCTTTTGGAAGGGCCAAATTACATGTGACTGTTCACAAGTAATCCTTTTTTTTTTTTTTTTTAAATTCTTTGTCTTTTGTTCTTAATTTCGTTGAAACCGGGAGAACTTTTGGCTTGAACTCTTCCTATACTTTTCTGGGCAGTTCCTTCATGAAGTGTATTCACTAGTCTTTTGCTTATGTTTTATGTATCTATTATCTGTCTGTCTGTCTATCATCTATCTGTCTGTCTTCTGTCTATCTGGGGATGATAGTGGAAGTGATTCATATGCATGACTGCATTCTAACAATAACTATTATGTCTTTGAATGTTTCTGCTACCTGCAGAGGATCAGTGAGTGTGTTTGGTGGCTGGTAGATAGCATCCTCTATTCAGGCTTGCAGTATCAAATCTCTCTCCTTCCTCAGCCTGTCGCACTTCAGCCAGTTTCTCTCAGGTATAAGCGGGCAAGGAGGGAGGTCCTAGATGATAGAAATGATAAAGAACACGGTTGCATCCTTGGCTATACCTCCCGGCTGTTTGGTGTTGCTGACCTGAATCTCTAAGGGGACATGTTGTCTTTCTCCGATGACCCACCCGAGCCTCTAAGTAATGCTGCTTGATTCCATTTTGCCAATGTCTCTCAAAATTATGACTGTTGACTAGTGGAAAATCATTATGTTTAAATCTGAGAAGGACTGTATCAGTCCAAATGTCACAATATTTGGTAAGTGTGCTCTGTTTGTGGTCAGTGGTTACAGCAACTTCCATATTATATTAAAGATGGAGTTTTTTGTTTTCCTTCTTTTATTTTTCACTGGCATTGAGTTGTCTCAAGTAAGAGGAGTGGAATAAGAGGTTTTTATTCTGCCCTCTCTGACCAGGCCTGTCATAATATCCACATTATTATGTTTCTTTAAAGAACATGATTTTGCTTTTAATCACAAATCAACAAAATTTATCTTTTTTTTTTTTTTTTTTTTTACCCACATGCAGGTTTGTTCTGGAGTCCTAAAGAGCCAAATGGGGCTAGAGAGTTCGCCTCTGACTGCGGCTACGGATTGTAAGTCATATCCATCCCTAGGGGTGCCCTTCCCATGCTCGCCTTTTCCTTTTTTGCACTTCACCTGAATCTCTAAGGGGACGTGACCTCTCTCTCTGATGACCCACGCAAGCCCCTAGTCTATTAAATAAAGGACAGGGTATCAAAAGCAGGCTGGCAACTTTGGGAGCCTCATCTCATTGGGAGGACTTACTTTTAAACTGCAATGTATTGCCATGGGAAATAAAGTGTAAAATTCAAATCTCATTGTAGTTATTAAATATTGAGACTGATTTATGGAGCAGTAAAATGTTTGCTAGTAATTATGTTAAAACAATCAATTTTACTTATGCCAAAATGCTCATTGGAATAGAGGTCCCTCTATGTGGAAAGACAGTAATCAATCTGCCTTAGCTTGTACATTAGTCATTTGCCTGGCAAAGGCACAGAAAAGAAACAGGAGAGGGAGGGTGAATTTAAGTCTCATGGCCGTTAGCCAAATTCTGTCTCAGATTGCCAAATAGATTTCAGAAATTTTCCATAAAAGGGAGACATTTCAAGGAAAAATAAGACCTTGTCCTAAAATCACTGCTTTTGATTGAAGGGGAAGGTAAGCAAAACGCAAGCAGAGCAAAAAGAATTGCGTATCTTGATGTAATTTCATTGATCTCTTAGTTTCTTTGAGATCCATTTGCTATTTTGTCTTGTAAATAAAACAGGGTTTACAAAAATAAAATAATTGGTTTGTAAGTGGTTTGCAGAAAGAAATAGTTGGTAGGAGTGTCATCAGCATACCACCAAATTGAACCAAATTATATTTCATTTAAAACATGTTTGAAATTAGCCAGTCATGGTGGCGTGCACCTGTAATCCCAGGCACTCAGGAGGCTGAGGCATGATAATTGTTTGAACCTGGGAGGCAGAGGCTGCAGTGAGCCAAGATCGCGCCACTGCACTCCAGCTTGGGTGACAGAGCGAGACTCTGTCTCGAAAAAGAAACAAACAAAGAAACCATGTTTGGTTTTATCTTCTTTGCAGAATCTTGGCACATCTAAATAGGGTTGTGGGTTTGCTGATATTTGTTTTGTTATCTTGTTTCATAACTTACCCAAATGTTATAAAACTTCTTTGGTATTGATAAAATATTAATGAAATAAATATTTCTATATATTATTTATTTATATATTAATATATAATATAAATTCACCTGTTTATTCTCTGGACTGGCTGACAGTTATTTTTTCCTTGGATGAGTGTTTTTCAACCATATGTATTATTTCCAAGACGGCATCTTTTATTTTTAACAGAAATGAAGTCACACTCCAGAACTACAAAGTCTTTCAAGTCTTTCCCAAAGCCACAAAGTCATTTATGTTGTGGGCCAACCAGAAACTTGGGCATCCCTGACACCTCCTCCCTTCCTCCCCTTTTGAGCTCCATGCCCATTCCAGCTAATATTCTGATGGCGTCTCATACACAACATGGTGGAAGCCAAACATTTTATTACTCTGTTTCTCTTTCCACTTCCTTGTTATAATTGCTCCTTGTTTCATATTTTCTTCTCTGTGGCATGACATGAGTATTCAACCAGTCTCCAAGCCCAGAAACTTTGGTCACTATCCTTGACCTCCCCCTGCTTAATTCATCCTCCATGTTTATTCATGCAGTAATCCTGTAGATTCTATTTCTCTAATGTCTGTGTTGTCTGTCCCCTACTCTGGGCTTTCATGGCTAGTGCCTTGGTTTAGGCCCTGCCACTTCTCACCTGGATTGGTACAATAGCCTTCCTCTGATCTCCACAACCTTTTTTTGTATTCTACCAATTCACTGCAACTAGAATGTCACAAAATATGATATGCCACCCCCTTACTTAAAATCCCCCCATGGTCATTTATAACCTTCTACATAAAGTTCGAACTCTTTACCTTAGCCTACAAGACCCCTCATCCTCCAGGTCTGGACTGCTTCTCTGGCTTCCTGTCCCAACTTTCTCAAAATGCCTTCTCCAAAATACCATAACCAAAATGCCATTCTCCCAGGTAGGCCCATGAACATGTCACAGTGATCCTTCCCTCAGTTCTTTTGCACATATTATTCTTCCAGGTAAATTGTCTTTCTCACTTTTCCTTGTCTAGTTAACTGTTATAAATCCTTCAAAACTCAGCTCAAGTGTCA
Source organism: Homo sapiens (assembly GCF_000001405.40). Classification (NCBI taxonomy): domain Eukaryota; kingdom Metazoa; phylum Chordata; class Mammalia; order Primates; family Hominidae; genus Homo; species Homo sapiens. Next base: position 95,421,314 of record NC_000005.10, on the reverse strand, counting down.
CTTCCCCTGGGAAGCCTCTCTTCTGTGTGGGTCTGATTTGGACATTTCCATAGCATCCCAGACTTTTAGTACAGCATTCACTGTATTGGTTATTGATACAGCTTGTTTTTCCTGGTAGACTGTAAACAGCTATAGAAAGGAGACCATGTTGCTGAATTCTAACATTACACGGCCTGGCATAAGATGAGTGCTTAATACATTTTTGTTGAATTAAATGGGTAAATACCCTAAGAGAGCTTTGTCTTAGGTAGTAATTATCTAATTCTTAGGTAGTAATTATCTAATTCCGAGAGGATTAACCAGATGGAGATGGGAGTATTTCAGGAGAGAGGAATGAGGTACTGGCAGAAGATGTAGAGATGGAAAGGTGTCCACAGTCAGCCATTCACAAGTCATCTTTGATGTGTCTGCCAGAGTGGTCCTGCCATTCTCAATACCTACACATATTTGCTGAACTGCATACCATCAATTCTTTTGATTTAGAAATCTTGTACAAAAGATGTTATTCAAAACTTTATCCATTTGGCAGTAAATCCCATTAGACTATTATAATTCTTGTATATTTTAAATGTTTTACTCATTCGCATTTGACACATATGGGGATTTCGTACATGGTTATGAAGGTGCGTCTATGTATGGATGTTGGCATTTGGACGGTTGAGGCTGCAAAGACAGAACTTTGGTCGCTTCCATTGGAATCAAACTGTGTAAGGGGTCTTTACAGAAACTTTGAATCTCACCGCTAGCGTGAGGCATTGAAAGTTCTATGGTACACTTTCTCAAATGCCATCTCATTAGTTTAGCTTAATGTGTAGACAATATCTTTTTTCCACAGCATGGAGCTTGTTTAGGAATGCGAATTCACTGGCCAAGAATTCACTGTTAAACATTAGTCAACATGCTTCTTCTCACCTGGCTACTCTTCCTCGAAGATCTCCAACTCCTTGTAGGTGTTTGATGTTTATCTCGTGTACTGCAAAGTTAGTTCCTGTGGCCGCCTGATCTCGAGCTCTTATTTGGTCTTCTAAAATCTGTAATTTTGAGTCAAATTTCCCATTAATTTCCCATCACACATGATAAGGAAACATCATTTAAAGCAGGGGTTACCTAAATGAATGCATTTTGTAATTAGGCTGATGGTGTGCATGAGTGAGAGAGTCCTATCTCAGAGAGAAGTGATCTCTGCTAATTTATCTGAGGGAAGCAGCAGTGGTTTGATTCTAGGTGATTATTGCCAGGTGGGGAAGATGTCTCAATAGTGTTTTAAAGGAAGCTAGAAATCCAGATTTTATATGAAATTGCTCAAATTAACAATATTGGCATATTATTCAAGATCTTTTGTAAACCATATATGGACCAAACAGAACATGCATTGTGTTGATATGGTCATGGGTTGCCGTTGGCCATCACTGACATAAAAGCTTTTCACAAAAATGTATTTCACAATTGGTGCCATAAGTTTGGAAAAGGATTTTTTTCAATATTGCATCAGGCAAGATTTTTTATGGATTGAACCAGAACCACAATGAAGTTAACACAGCGCAAGCAAGTCTGAATCAACCTGATTCATACACAATGAAAAAGAGTTTATCTAGATTTTTTAGAGAATATGAGAGATTTCTGGCTCATTTGTGTCCAGATTTTGTCCATGAGTGTTGTTAGTCACATCTTTATTGTGTTTTGGTGTTCTGGAAATAGAACTGACTTTCTTGTACCACCAGGCTAGTGGTCCCAAGAACCATGGTTTTTAACTTTTTGTACCCATTTATAAGTATTGATTTAAAAAATTTAAAAAAATTCTGCTTGTCCATAGAAAAAAATTGTATTATACTTGACATTCAAATAAATTCCAATGTAGAGTGAAGACATATAAGAAATTGGTATTTACTAAGAAAAAAAGTGAGAGTTCTGTGTAGGCCTTTGAAAAACACAAATCTGTTACTTGGGGAGACATTCCAGTTTAAGTATTATATTTGACAAAGTCCTAAATTATGTTTAAACTATGGTTATGAATTTTACTAGGAAAGGAAGAATTTTTATAGCAAATAAATTACAAGAATTTCAAAGACCACAGACAGACTCTTGCTCATTTTTTAACTGGGATTGAGACAACCCAAGGGCAAATGAAGCCTTAATTGAAGATGTAAAAGTGTCAAAAACACTAACTAGAGTTTGGTTTTATCTTTTTGCATGTATGCAGGTATTTTGTTTTCTGTTTTGGTAAAGACAGTGATGAAAGGAAACTTACTCTACTATATGCTAAAATATTTTCTAAAATAAGGATAAGTAAATCAGTGTAGTAAAGGTATATAGCTACCTGTAATGTCATGAAGACCTTGGTAAGTGTAGGAAAGGAATATACTCTATATGCAATTCATAAATCAATGGGGGAGTAATTTCACAAGTGGGCTGGGGGCTCTAATTACTCAGAAAATAATTAATTTAGATCCTTACCTCATGTCATATATCATTATAGATTTCAGAAAAAAATAGATCTAAAATATTTTTTAAATTAAGCCATAAAAGTCACAGATAATTGAGGAGATTATTTTGTCTTTGAATGAGGAACTTTCTAGTCTTAGAAGTACAGTAGTCTCCTCTTATCCAAGGGGGATACGTTCTAAGACCCCCAGTGGATGCCCAAAACCTCATATAGTACTGAACCCTATATATATTGTTTCTCCCTATACATACATACCTATGATAAAGTTATTTATCAGTAAGAGATTAACAATATCTAAAAATAGAACTATTATAACAATGTACTATAATATCGTACACACTGTGGCTGTAACTCTTGTAGCTTGAAGTGCGACAGCAAAACTAGCATGAATTTATTTTTCCTTTGTCACAATTTCATGGATAGAAGATTTGTTCTTACCATAGATTTTAGCAAACTCAGCATACAATTTTTTTTTTCCTTATTAAGTCAAGAACTTCAACCTTTTCCCTGAAGAAAGCTCTTTACGGCTTCTCCTTGCCATAGTGGAATTGCCAGCATCACTACTTTTGTGCTTTGGGGAATTATTAAGTAAAATAAGGGTTACCTGAACATGAGCACTGTGATACCTCATCTGAACAGTTGATCTGGTAACCAACAGGCTACTGAGTGACTAATGGGCAGAGAGTATTGACAGTGTGAATGTGCTGGACAAAGGGATGATTCACACCATGGGTGGGATGAAACAGGATGTGCAAAATTTCATCCCGCTACTCAGAACAGCACACGATTGAACACTTATGAATTACTTGGTTCTGGGATCTTCCATTTAATATTTCTGTAAACTTTTGAAATCACAGAAAGTGAAACCACAGATGAAGGTGGGAGGACTGCAATAATGAGAGAAATTACAAAGCAAAATACTTGAATATTTACCTTTGTGTAAAACTTGTAAAGACACTGTAAATACAATTAAGATAGAAAAAGCAAACTGAAAAAACATTTGTAACATATACTATTGCCAAGGGTTTCAGTGATGTACTGCAAGCAGCCTGGAGCCGTATGTGAAAGTGGATTGTATACATCTCTTCTCATCTTTGTGTACAGTGTCATCTTGCTGGTTGTTTGAAATCATAGGAGTATTTACACCATAGAAATAGGAAAATACTACAAACCAGGCTCTCTTTTCCCCTAGAAAAGAACTGATTGCTGATTGTTAAACACTTACTACCATATTACCAGTTATTATTTCTAATATGTAAAATAAAAGAGCTCGTCAAATCAACAAAATTTAAAAGTACTAAAACTCAAAAGATAAATTAACAAAAGACATAAATCATTAGAAGAAGAAATGAAGCTGTCACTTTATTATTATTAATTTTGTTGTTGTTGTTGTAGAGACAGAGTCTCACTGTCTCAAACTCTTGGCCTCAAGCAATCCTCCCAAGTCAGCCCCCTAAACCACTGGGATCACAGTTGTGAGCCACAGGCACTCAGCCAAAATTGTTACTTTAAATAGTCACTTTAAAAAAGTGGATTCAACACTTTCACTAAGAAAAAAAATCTTATTTCTGTTCCATGAAGTTAGCAAAAATTAAAGTGATAAATTTCAATTCTGGCATAGGTAAAGTGGAAAAAAAGCACTCAAATAATGCTAATGGAAGTGTAAATTAGTATAAACTTTCCGGAAAACAATTTGGCAACATGTATCAAGAGCTTTCACAGTATTCATACCTTAGTAATTCCACTTCTAAGAATAGATACTATGGAAATAATCCAAACGCAGATACATATTTATGCACAAAGATATTTCTTTCTTAAATTATTTTTATTTTGAGACAGGGTCTCCGTCGCCCAGGCTGGAGTGCAGTGGCATGATCATGGCTCACTGCAGCCTTCACCTCTTGGGCTCAGGTAATCCTCCCACCTCAGCCTCCCAAGGAGCTGTGTCTATAGGCGTGCACTACCCTACCCAGCTAATTATTTATTTTTTCTTGTAGAGACAGGGTGTCACTATGTTACCCAGGCTGTTCTCAAACTCCTGGGCTCAATTGGTCCTACTGCCTCAGCCCCCCAAAGTGATATTTCGACATTAGGACAATAATTAAGCAAATCATGGTGTATGCACCATGCAAAGAGATTTTAATGAGACATGATAGAGTTTAGGATGAATGTTAGAATAAAAATCATGCTTACAAACATAGTCTCAGCCTCCTAAATGGAATACTTGGAAGGACTAAAGGGAGATTCATCTGGGTATTTGTAGAGATCACCATTTGGTGGTTGAATTGTGAGATATTTTTTCCCCAAGTTTAAACATTTTTTTCCTAAACTTTCAAAATAATTATGATGAACAAGTATTGCTTTTGTAAGTTGAGGGGAAAACCCACAGTAAAACAATGCTATATATAAAATTTTCTTTGAGTTAAAAATAAATTAATTCTAAAACTTGTAATCAACTGCCTTCTTAAAAAAAGGAATCATTTGATTTTTAAAAAGAAACAAGCACTTTGATGCAATTGTGGTAGATTAAAAAAATTTTTTTTTCATTTCATTTATGGACCTGTGTCAAGCTTTAGCTCACACTTGAATTGATCTTGATAGCCAACTTGCAAATGGGCTGACCTGGTTAATGAGGTTAGGTTCTTTTAAAATACTTGAATAGCATCCATTTCTCTATAAAGTGCATATAGTTATTTACTAAAGGTAGCTGAATAGTTTCTTCTTCATAATGTTTTAACTATGTTATCTACAGCCTTTAAAATATTTTCTAGTTCAATTTTCCACAAACTCAATCCAGTCCTTTTCATTTTCCTATATATGCCAAACCCTTAATAGGATTGTAGGTATTTTGAGATTTTTGTCTTTGTCTTTTGGAAAATGTTTTGGATTTGTCTTTTTTTAGAGAGCTAATCTAAGATAGTCAATTATTACAGAAAAATAAACTGTTTACAAGATTTCTAGAGATTTGAAAGAAAGACTTTCTCCTTATTGCTAATAGTATTTTACTGGGGTATAATATGTATTGAACGCACAAGTCAAAGTGTACATCTGGGCGGATCTTGACTCAATGTAATGTAATCAACCATATAACAATCCAGATCAAAATATAGAATATTCTTAGAAACAGTTCAATGTTTCTAAGAATGTTGTTGGCTTTTTCAATTACCAAGAAGTTTTGACTCCTAAATTGGAATCTTATTTTAGCACTATGCTGTACTTACTTGATTTTCTAGTCATTTCAAAAGGCACAGGGCTGCTTGCCTCTTGTCACTTTCATGATACTTCATTATGCATGGAAATACCTTTAATCACTTTGAGAGTGGCATTGACCTTTGAAGCACTGAGGTCAATTCAAAATGTGCTAAATACCAATAAAGTGCTTTTTAAAAGTTCACTGAGAGTTTTAACTTTTCACACTGCCTCAGGTACATTATGGGGTCTGTTAAACCCTGCAGATGGAAAATGAATTAATCAATATCCTTGCCCTTAAGAACAAATTCACAAAGGAGTAATTGCTGGTTCAATCCCATAATTTTAATAAAATCCAGTATTCTCTTTGATAGTAGAAAAGGACAAGTATCGTGAGACTGCATTGTTGTCAATTCTCATGATAACTCCACAAGTTTTGGGCCAGTTTCCTAAAGTACACTATCTGTAGCCCTTGCATGAAAATTGTTAACCCAGATTCATCACGTACATCTGCACCCTAGCAACTCTCGAAGACCTCTTACACAAGCATGTTTCTCTTGATTTAGACAAAGAATTTTCTTTTTTTGATGAGAAACTCTATTTTTACTCTAATGCCTTAAAATTAATTAATTTATTCATTCATCAATTTAAGGAATATTTAGAGTGCTGACTACAACACCACTGTTGTCTGGTATGGGATATGGGATTTAGCATGAAGAAAACAAACTCTTTGACTTTATAGAGATTATATCTTAGAAAGAGAAAACAAACAGGAATCAAATATAGACCATGGTAGTTTGCAATGAGTGCTATGTGACAAAAAAAATAAAGTAGGCTTTAAGGGAGATTGAAACCATGTGGGTAGAGGTGCTATTTTATAAAATGTCATGCAAATCCTCTGTTACGAGGCTATATTTGAACAGAAACCTGGAGGAATGAAGCACGTTGCATAGGAATATCTAGGGGAAGATGATCCAGCCAGAGTGAATTATGAGTGCAAAGACCCCAAGGCCAGAATGTGTTTGGAATGTCCTAGGAACAGCTGGGAGGCCAGTGTGGCCAGAGTGAAGGAAAGAAGGGTAGAAGACGGGGCTAGAGAAATTGCTGGCATCAGATTGCAATGGCTATACAATGGAGCGTTACTGATGTGCATTATGAAAACCTCTATTTGAAGTTATTGCATTAATAGAATCTTGGAGATTTAGGCTAACATAAGCATCTTAGCACAATGTCTGACATAATGTCTTTGTTGTCACAAAATAAATATACAGTAAATATTTTTTGAATAGAAGTTCCTTCTACTTTTTGGCATAAATGAACAGCTGAAAAATTGAACTGTTTCCCTCTTAGACCACTAAAATGTAATCATCTAAACTTAAGCAATAGTGATATATTTCTGCACTTGAAAAATGACACTGATGGTTGATAATCTTTATCAAGCAATGCTGCCAAAATACAAAACAAAAACAAAATAAAACAAAAAGAGAACTACCTCAATATTTTGGCTGAGTTTTTTGACGATGCTGGTGATGGTCTGGATGTGGCTTTCCAGTAACTTCCTGGCGAGCGATTCCTCTTTTCGAAAGCCATGGGTCCCCTGCAGGCAAGCAGAGATGTCCTCCTTGATGCGGAAGGCTTGTTCAAGAAGGAAAGCTATGGTACGCGCCTGGTTGTTCAGTCTGTCTTCTAGCTGACCTCTCTGGGTGTTTGGAATGATGGGGAGAAAAGCATGACTCCTGATCAGAAAAAGGAAAAGGAAACACCAGGGCATTACAAGAATGAGCTGGAGGAGCCAGGAACCAGAACTAGAATCCTCACTTCTGATCCTTTATTTTTGCCCTGTGAGAAGTTTGATAGGATTTTAAGCACTTGCCATGGTTAGAATTTGGTGAAGGTCTCATCTAAGAAGCAGATGCACTTTTCATGCTTCAAGCCAATTGGTGGTAGTTAGGAGTGGGTAGAGGCATTCATGAAAGAAGATGTTAGAAGCCTTCTTCCAAGACTGACGCCTTTATATACCCCTTATGAAAATTCTACTTTAACGTAGAAAAAATTAAGTTTTTATAACTATAAAGATGCAAAAGTGACTGTGTTAGAGAGTTTTCCAAGGTGTGAGTCCTGGAATAGGAGTCAGGAGGATAGGCCACCACAAAAGAATTCTATGATCAAATACACTTAGAAAACCTTGCATATGATGTCTCTCCCTTAGAGATTCACATTGTACATTTTCATATTGTCTAACAGAATTATTCTAATTTCATAGTTAAGGAAATTAGTTCATGAATGGTACCAATCATAATCCCAAAAGACATAATCTCAAACATTGAAATTCCTAAAGTTTAAAATCCCTTGACTGGATTAAGGGATACCTAGAACCTGGTGTAGCAGTGTATCTTGTGAGGGTGTTTCCAGAGGAGATTAGTGTGTGAGTCTGAGTGCACAACGTGAGAAAGATCTATTCTCAATGTTTTGAGTGTTTCGAAAATCATAGAAAAAGTAAAAACACAGGTGAAAAATATAACAAATGTCCCCTGTCAAATGATTCAATCATGTATGACTTCTGCCCCTTCACACATAGTGCCATGCTTGCCTTCAAAAAACACTCTTCATCAGAGAATAAAAAGAATTCCACAAGCTGAGCAACATTCTGAACCAAAGATGCTTGCCGATATAGAGGTTCCTCCAGTGTTCTGAAACTCATTGAGTGATGAAATATTCTTAGTTTGGGATTTGACTGTCAAAGAAGATAGACTTCCTATATTTGCCACTAAATCTAACATAGACAACCTAGTGCATCCTTCACTTTGGCTGAGGAATGACACTTTGAAAATCGTCCCCATCTTTCTTATCAACTGTATGCCATCATGCCCCAGTTGGATCCAAACATTCTTGAACTTACCTGCTTCTTTATATATTAATGACTGGAAAAAGTAAAGCACTTTATAAACATTTATTTGAAGATTTGGTGGACTTTGCAGAAGAAAATGGATTTTAGTAGAATCCCCAAACCATGACAGATTTGGAATTAAGTCCCTTCAAGGCTTCTAAAAGTGAATCTCAAGGTGTCATCAATAAAATTTGTTTTTGTCATTCAGCCCAATGCATATGGTGAAAAATTCAGACAAGTGAATTGGCCACCCCATATGGTTTAAAAATATTTCATTTGTTTGCAGTGGCATTCCTCCCAGCTAATGACATTTTAGGAAATTTTAATGAATTAAAGCCACATTTGCCTGAAGAAGCCAGCAAAGTTACCAACTGGTTCAAATATAATTATGCACATAGTAAGATAAGAAGACACACAATAGTGTGACTATTTGATTATCAGTATTGCTTCTGCATATGAGTGCATGTGGAATGAATTTCTGTGTACCGAAAACAGCATAGAAAAATTATGCAAAGATGGAAATATTTAATAGGGATTGCTCATGTTGGTGTATGTCGAATCATAGAAGAATTTCAAAAAGAGCAGTGCTATGTGGAAAAGGAATGAAATGTGAACATATTCTCTGACGAGAGTCATGTCTTAAAAAAAAAAGCAGCAATTCATTGCCATGCAAGACTTCAAAATATGACTGTGAATGTTGGCCAGCTCTAATGGACTACCTCCAGGCAATTGCCCATAATGTATCCCTGTAATATACTTTTTCAAACGTTGAATTTTCTTTCTAGTTCTTTCCCACTATCTTAAATTGTCAGCATTGTTATTATTACTTTTCACAATTTGCTATGCTGTGTATTTCATCTTCACATCATTTGCAGTACTGGAGTATAAATTGTATAAAGACTTTCAGAAAGTTCTAATTTGTTTTATGTATATTTTGTCAATTTGACTCCACAAAAGTGCATTATCACAACATTGACTTTGTGTGTAAGCATTGTGTATGTAAAAATGTTGAAACTTCCCCAATAAATGAAGAGATGTCCTTTTTTGTACAACTGCATTTGTGAAAGATAAAATTTCTTAAGATCTCAGCTCTTTGTGCAATTGCATATGCCGTAGTGACTCATTGAAGTTTTGGATCAATCTTATCAAAAGACTTAGGTTATCGTCATGGTGTTTCAGATGACTACAGTTATAAAGCTGGTTGCATAAAATTACCATAGTGTTATGCATTTATACATTTTGAATCTTGACTTATTTCTTTATGAATATGGTTCATCCACTTATAACATTATACCCATATGACTGTTGTTAGTATACCTGTATGTTTATGCTTGTAAAAATACAAATGTTACTATTGCCTATTTTATTATGTAAAGTGGCCTGTGAAATGCTCTGTCATGTTTTTATATGTTTCTAAAATAAATCTCCTTTTATAAATGTGAAGAAATGTCTTTTAAATTATTTTTTCCAGAATTATATTTTGGGGATTTAGATCTTTTTGGGATTTCCACATTTGGTATTATGACATTCAGGATTGTGTTTTTTTGGGATTATCAAACCCGTTAATGGAATAGTTAACTGGTCCTAGGTCATCCAAAGCCCATGTGTTAAAACACTTGCTTATATAGTCCCCAAATACAGGTTATTTCCAAAGCCCTTATGTGTACTGATTTCTGACCCTATACCAAGTCACATTTTTTATACATGAACATGACAACATTCCTTCAAATCTATATAACTGAGTGAGAGGTTTACTTTAAATTTGTCTTTAATGCTATTAAATTTCTTGGGGATTTCTTACTATCCTGTGACCCAGTAGAAGGGGCTGCGGGTTTTCTCTCTTTAATCTTACCTGCTTAGTACACTGAATTTCTGCACGAATTTTTATTTGAAGAAATGTTTCAATGTCTCAGAACTATTTATTTGGTAGAGCCAGGATTAGCTCTAGGTCACCTGTAACTTAGCCTAGGATGTTTTCCATGTTGCCGCCTCTGAATGGTAGCAAATTATGTTGTGAAGATCACTGGAAAGAGAAGTCAGCCTTAAGGAAAAGGAGATTTGGCCTTTATTAGGGCCTGGAAATAAAATGATGAATACGACAGATAAAGCCCCTGCCCTCTTGGAAATATATATTTGTACCTATATACTTATGTAGATGTATAGATATATAGTATATATCTTTTAAAAATGACTATTATATATGCTGGATCATAAAAAGCCAAGGCCAAATAATTCATGCTTGTTCCCATTGCATGAGCCAAAATAACTATTTGCTTTAGGCCAATAGTGACAGATTTTCTTGGAAGTGAAAATGTCCTCGGGACAGCAGATTTTAGGGCCAGATTGTGAACATTAGCATTTTCTGGACTGCGGGTTTCAGCTGGGGTTGTGTTTAGCTGTGTTTATCAGAAATCCAGAGAGAGTGACTGAAGCAAGTAGGGTTTGTTTGGCTCAAGTAACAAGAAGTGGAGAGGTAGAGCAGCTGACTGAGGAAGTCATCAGGTGCCCAGCTCCTTCCGGCTTCCTGGCCCACTCATAGTATGTGACCTTTACCCTCAGGTCTCAAGGTTGTTGTTCCACCTTGAACTATTGTGTCCCCATTCCCGATAGAAAAGACAGAAGGCAAAAAGTAAAATAAAATGTGTGCATCTGTTGAGTTTGTCCCCACCCGTCCTTTTTTAAATCGAGATAGCCTTTCTAAAAGACTCACTATGACACTTTTGTCTATATTTCATTGGCTGAAGCTATGTCATATAGCCACCTCTTATACCTTATTTTGTTTTGTTTGTAGCCTTAAACAAAATTGGGACTTTTATTAGCAAAGAGGAAGGAGAAAACGTCTACTGGATTGACTACTGGTGGTATTTGCCATATGCAATTTTCCTCCTTTTTACCTCCAATTTGATATCAAGTATCTCTGCCAAAGGAATTTAAAAAATAAGAAGTTTGTTTCTTCCCTGTTGGTTGTTTGCTTTCTGAGGATTAATCTGTAGCTAAGTTTTTTTGGGCAATGCCAGAAGCTGGCTAAAGTTTGGCCACAGATATAATTTTATTACCCTAGTGATGGATGGTTGCTCACAAGGATCAGTGTGTGTGGATGGCGAGGCTTCAACTGCCCAGTGAAGGTCAGCAGAATCTGGTTGGCTTATAAAGGAAGAAGAGGGGCTCATGCTATGCAGGTAAATAAAATATAGAAATATATTACTTCTTTTTAATTTAGTAGCTCTGTAATTTCATCTTTATAAAACTGCTCAAAAGAAATATAATGTAAACCTTATAGACAATTTTAAACTTTCTAATAGCCACATTAAGAAAAATTCTTTAAAAACTGATGACAGGCCAGGCGTGGTGGCTCACACCTGTAATCCCAGCAGTTTGGGAGGCTGAGGTGGGCAGATCACTTGAGGTCAGGAATTTGAAACCAGCCTGGCCAACATGGTGAAACCCCATCTCTACTAAAAATAGAAAAGTTAGCCGGATGTGGTGGCACACGCTTGTAGTCCCAGACGCTCGGGAGGCAGAGGCACAAGAATCACTTGAACCCGCAAGGTGGAGGTTGCAGTGAGCCGAGATTGAGGTACCACACTCCAGCCTGGGCGACAGAGCGAGACTCCATCTCAGAAAACAAAATAAAACAAAACAAAAACTGATAATGTTAATTTTAACAATATAATTTATTTAAACCGTTATATCTAAAATGTCATTGTAACATGTAATCAATGTGAACTTTTTAATGGAATATTTTACATTCTTTTTAAAGATAAGTCTTTGAAGTCCAGTGTGTATTATACACTTATAGCACAACTTCTCAATTTGGACTAGCCACATTTCAAGTGCTCAACAGGCACATGTGGCCAGTGGCTACTGTTTGGGATAACATAATTCTAGAACCTGAGAATCAGAAAGAGGGAAGAAAACGTCACTGAGCAGTCAAAAACATTACCACCGTGTCCATACACTACTCCTGCACTTTATAAATAGTTATAGCTAGTATCTTTGAGCATTTAATACAAGCCAGACCTTGTGGCTAGCACTTTAAATGAGTCATCTATTGAATCTTCATGATAACACCATGGAGGGTCTATTAATATTACCCTGTTTTTAACGATAATAAAACTGAGGCTTAGAAAGATTGAATAACTTTTGTCCGAGTTTACCCAGCTAACAACAGTGGACCAGTATTCAAGCCTAAGCAGTCTGAAGTTCATACTACATTACATGCAGAGAAGAGGTCCCCTCCAAACTCTGCCTCCAAATCATCCCTGGAATGTGCTTCCTGCTCAATTTACCCACTATTCTAACAAACCAAGTTGGATGATTTCCGGGTCCATACAAATGTAATACCTGATAATTCTATGTTGAGGAGAGGGCTGCCTACTAACAGATGAAAGAAATCACAGATTAAAGGCAAAGATGAGCAAAAGAGTCAGAAGTTCAACGAAAAGTAAACAAAGTAAATTAGAAATGGGAGAAGACAAAGGCCAGGGCTATTTCATGTACAGGCAAAGAAACTTAAAAATCCTGATACCCTCTCTTGGCCTTAATATATTACTCCTTCCCTTCACTGATCAGTTTCTTGAAGAAGCAAGCTAGTTTTGTTGTGCCTTTCAATATGTGTGGTTTGCTCCTCACCCTATGATAATCAGATTCTTCTCTTTCTCTCTCTTCCTCCCTCCTTCCCTCCTCTCTCTCTCTCTCTCTCTCTCTCTCTCTCTCTCTCATTTTGGGGGAAGCCAACTGCCATATTGAATAGCCCTGTGGAGAGGTCCACATGGTGAGGAACTGAAAACTCCTGACAACAGCCAGCAAGAGTCTGGGGTGTCGACCAAGAGCTATATGAGTGAACTATCCTAGAATTCCTGATCCTGAGAAACTGTGAGATAAATATTCGCTGTTTTATGCCGCTGAGTTTTGAGATACTTTGCTACACAGCAATGGATAACTAACATGGACAGTAATCTACATGAAAAAATGAGGAAGGTCTGAGACTCAGATGGTGATCTTGGACATAAAGAAGGAGAATACATGTTGCAGATATTATAAACCTAGAAGTTGTAGAACTTTGAGATAGATTGGAAATGAGCCTGAAGGAGGGAGAGATTCTGATGTTTTGGATTTGAGCTTAATGTATGATGCCACTTTTCATCAACACTGAAAATTCAGACAAAAAACAGTTAGGTTTTGGGGGAAGAAAACAAATTTGGGATTTAGTATATGGCATCTCTCTAGAGATGCCCCTTGAACAGTCTGAAATGTGTCTGAAGACAGAGATTTGGATGTTATCAGAGAAGTAAATGGTGGTTGAAGACTTAGGTGAAGAAAATGAGATTGCCTGAGCTGGCAGGTGTGCGTGTGTGTTTGTGTGCGCGCACGCGTGTGTGTGTGCGTGTGTGTGTGTGTGTGTAAAAGAGAACAGGCATTTTTGGAATCACTCAGGTAGCTTTCAATGGTGGTTGAAGACTTAGGTGAAGAAAATGAGATTGCCTGAGCTGGCAGATGTGCGTGTGTGTGTGTGTGTGTGTGTGTGTGTGTGTAAAAGAGAACAGGCATTTTTGGAATCACTCAGGTAGCTTTCAAAAGGAAGAGTTGCACCACCACTGCTCACCTTGGCTCCTACCCCATCCCACATACTTCAACTGTCTGGTGGGGTGGGGGCCTAGGACCTGAGAAATGATGGGGGATTCTGTGGGACTCACAGAGCAGACTTTGGTCCCATGGAAAATATTGCCATCCCCCATGCCCAGGGGTCCTGTTGTCTCTGCAGAGCCAGCACACCTCTACTTGGCTCTGGCTGGGTCTTCAGAGGACTCATTCAGCTTCAGCCTCCTGGGAAAATAAAGCTTTCAGCAAGCAATACAGAATTGAGAGTTAGTGAGAACATGGGAGCTAAAGTAAATCGGCCCCAGAGGGATATGACAGCTCATGTGAGACAAAGTGCAGAAAGAAAGGAAATGAGTTAGACAGTTATTCAGAGGTTAAAAAAAATCCCGGGCTGACTATGGTTTTGACAAAAATGTTGAATAAATGTGGCTTCCCATCCTGTCTCCCTTACAAAATCCTGAAGGACTTGGAGAAAGTGAAAAACCCCTGGGGTGGTGGGGGCTATTTTAAACTGGTGCGTGTGTGGGTGGTGCTGTGGATGCCGTGATGTGCCACCCAGCTCCCCGTTCAGGAAGGAAGGACTTATACCCCCCAACTGTTGGGAGTGCTGCCAGCTGGCAGACTTCAGCTGTTAGCTTTCTCTGAGAACTGCCTTGTCAAGGTCATGCCCACTTTCTGGGGCAGCTTTATTCAGTGATTGGACAGTGTGTGGGTATAAAGGCCTGGCATGCTTGGTCTAACTCTGGACAACTTTGAAGGGCTGTCCCAGCTCCAGAGCTTCCTGTGAAGTTGGTTGAAGTCTTCTTTGGCTCAACTGTTGGAGCCATGGTACCTAATATATATAAAATCCATATATAACTAATTGAAGTTAGTTGGCTCAACTCACTTCATATAGTTCAACTATTCCTTCTGTTCAGTTCCATTCATTTCCCTTCCCTTCCACAGGTGTTGATCCCAGTGTGCTCTGTAATAAGCCTTCTATTCGCCAATCTCCATCTCAGAGTCTGTTCCCTGGGCAACCCAACCTGAATCAGATGGCTGCGTTGGCCTGGGACAAGAGATAGCTTGGGAGGGCTGTGGGAAGATAAAATAGGGAAAGGGAACAACATAAGTCTGCTCTTCTTCTCTATTTCCTTGGGACCAGTTGTTCTGACTCCGTGAAATGTCAAACTATTCTAGGTGTCCTCTAAAGAAAGATTAGGCAGGGCAGAGGGACTGTGTTGGTAAGGAATTGGAGCAGTAACAATAACAAGAAACTTGGGGAACAATTGACTTTGGGGAGTTGCTGCCACCTTGTTTCACTTCTAAATGTCCACAGGGTGGGAAAGCAAGTGTTCTCCTAAACCTGCTTCTTCCTGGGGAGCAAAAGGTGAAGACCTGACAGGAGAAGTTATTTTGTGGAATAGGGAGTGGTTTTCTGGTGCCTGGGGCTCATCCACACCCCACCCCTGGACTCACTGGAGCTGACAAGGCTCCATTGGAGACCAGGATCTGGCTGAAATGCCCAGGGGAAATGAGTTCAAAGGCCAGATTAACAGGACTTTTGAGGAGCACAGCCTTTTTAAAAGTAATTAACCTACAAATAAACAACCTAGTAGATTACAGATTCCCACAGAAGAGAAATATTAAAATGTACACAATAAATTTCTAAAAGGCTATTAAACATATTAAGAGAGAAGACAACAGAAGATATTAGTAAAATAAGAAAAACTAGAAAACGTAAAAAGTAAGTAGAACCATTAGGTATGGAAAATATAATTGAAATAAAAAATAAAAGGTAGGATAAATATAACAGAAAAAATAGCTAAAGAATGAATTAGTGATTTAGAAGACCAGACTGAGGAAATTTACCAGACAGAACAAGGAATGGTCACACAACTTGGAGATTCAGGGTCACGATTTGAAACTCACAGATTCCAAAATCAAATGTTAACATTAGCTCCCACATTTTCTCATCATTCCAACAATAAGCAGGGGGACATTAATGCTAGTCATGTGACCTAATAGGGTAGCTGCAGAAATAACACCCAGCAGTATTCTTAGGCTCCAAACCCACGGTTATTTTAGTTCTTTCTTCCTTTCTTGATCCTGGCCACCATTATCTTTTCCACTTTTCCTCCTAACAAATAGCACATCCTCCATACAGCAGCTAGAGTGGTCTTTCTAAAGTGTAAATGGTAGCCCTTGACTACTTAAAACCTTCCTATGGCTTATCCATTCTCTCAGAATAAAATCTTATCTCTCCTTTCTAACCTCATTTCCTCCCATTCTTCCCTCCATTTATCTCATTCAACCACATAGGCCTTCTCTCATAATACCCCATTTTATCTTCTAGAAAGCATTTGTCATTATCTAAAATTATCTTATTTACTTGTTTCTGTTTATTGTCTATCCTCCATCACTAGAATGAGAGCTCCCTATGTGAGGCACTTTTCTAGCATGTTCTGCACAGTCCCCCAACATTGAGAAGAATGTGTGGCACATAGTAGGCAGTCAATAAATATTTGTTGATTGACAGACTGATTTCTCTACCTGGACTGTTCCCTTAAGGCTCAGTTGTTGGAAAACTGGACCAAAAAAAAGTGGCTCCATAAAGTCACAGCTTGTTGGAGCCTCAAGACATAGTTTACTCTCTTGAGCAATATAAAATAG
Source organism: Homo sapiens (assembly GCF_000001405.40). Taxonomy (NCBI): domain Eukaryota; kingdom Metazoa; phylum Chordata; class Mammalia; order Primates; family Hominidae; genus Homo; species Homo sapiens. The sequence continues at coordinate 95,404,542 of NC_000005.10, read as the reverse complement.
TCTCAGCCTGGGTGAGATTCTTCTTTTCTTTTTTTTTTTTCAAATTGAATATTTCATTAACATGGTAGTTTTTGTAACATGTGCACACACACTCGCACACTCAGAGAGATTCTTCTTTTCTATCACCTGGAAATCTGAGGTGCAAAGAAAACTTTGCCAAGGGGTTTTGTGAGTCAGATTGCATTTACCACTCATTTGGTTCAAAAATGTTCTTTTGGAAAATCACCAAATGGTACCTACCATATATAAAATCCATTCCCCTAAAACCCCCACCATGCTGTCAGTGCTACCCTGGATTGGATGTATGAGTCAGAGGCAGAAGGGAAGAAGATGCCAGGCTCTGCTGAAGGTGACACATAGCCTAGTGGTGGACTGCAGATTTGCTCATTATTTTCTTTGAGCCAGTGCTGCTTTGTGGCCTCTAGACAATCTATATCCCAGATTTGCCAGCAAAGGTATTTGGTCTCCCGGTTTTCAGTCTTGTACAGACACTTATAAATTATGCTTCATTTCCCCCCAAATTTAGAAATTGTTTTCTCCTAGATGTTCTCAGTATGGCAGATACCATTGGTTACCCTCCCAACAGCCACCCCCAACTTCTGCCTGACTTGATTCATCCTTCCTGTCCCCCATGTCCTTCTGAGGGGCAAACTAATCATAAAGATTCCATTCTTCTGGGTTGAGATGCAATTGGTTATGGTAAGAGCATGTGAAGCAATTCTGGCCCATGAGATGCAAAGAGAAACCTGCTATGGGGCTTCTGGATAAAGTGTCTTTGCCTTCAAGAAGGGATACACAGAAGAAACTTCCCTCTTCTTCGCTGAATGTTGTCCTGTCTGTGCATGATGCTTGGAACTACCAAAGGCATCTTGTGATCATGAGGAAAAAGGAAATGGCAGAGAGAAAGAATAAAAAAAACCACCTGGCTGCTTAATGATGTTCTGAAGCTACTAAATTTACCAAACTCTGGATTTTTTTTGTTATATGAGCTAATCAGTATTTCTACATTTAAACCATTTTTGGTTAGTGCTTCTATTATGTGCAGCTGAAAGCATTGTGTCTGTATCTAGTCACTTACCAATAAAAATGTCATTTCAAATAAAGATACATTAAGTACTTACTAAATATTTACTCTAGTTCATATACAATATTTACTCTAGTCCATACACACATTTACTCTAGTCCATACCTGTAATACTACATATTTACATATAATGGCTCTGTTCCTCAAGGAACTTAAGTTAATTCAGTATTTCTTATACTTGAATTGGTATCACAGGGGAGGGTGAGGGAGGGAAGCTGTTAAAATACAGATTACTCCACTCCAACACAAACCTACTGAATCAAAATTTTAGGGTAGGCGGGGAGAGTAAGAATATGCATTTTAAGCAAGCGCATAGGTGATTCTAATGTATCCTAAAGACTAAACACCACTGATTTGTTCAAGACTGGTCATGTGAATCAGCGAATAATATAAGGCAGGATATATAATGAAGTGCTAAAGTAGTGAACTATGGAATATGAGCTCTCAAGTTCTGTAGACATCCAGAAGCAGCTTGGCAGGTTGGAAAGCAAGGTAGACTGAGGGTAGAACACAGGCTCCACCACTTACCAACCGAGTGTTCTAATTGCTTCATCTGTAAACAGGGCCAACAAGGCCTATTTTGCTGTGTGGTTGTAAGTTCTGAGACAATAAGTGAGATGCATGCAGTAGAGAGGGTGGTGAAACCAATGCCACACACCTGTATGTCTGAGGTTAAGAGGGTCCCAGGGCCTCACTCTTGCGGGTGAGGTGCTATTGGCTAATGTCAAGATTATATCCAGAGAGAGCAATGCGAGGGCAGACCCAAGCCAGCAGGTCTGTGGTCTTGTCTGTCAGGGCTGATTTCAATGCTGTGGCTATTTGGCCCATCGAAGGAAGACTTTTAGGAGGGTATCACCTACTGCTATGCAAAGCTATTTGCCTGCAACCATGGAGACATTAAGTGGGATGCAAATGCTGGACTGTAGTTATTTCTTCTCCTAAATTTTTAAAGATTATTTTTAAAATTTATTTTATGTTTAAGTGGAGAGCTTTCCTTTTTGAAATTCCTTTTCAGGCCTGGGATTTACTATTAACTGTAGTCTTATTATTATTGCTAATTCTTAAGGTTTAATGAAGCACCAAATGATGGCTCTGTTTGGTTTTATTTACATGGTTCCTGAAGATCAACAGACAGCTTATATTTTTTCCCTATTTGCATTGCCACAAGGACAGAGAATATTGTTTTCCAATTGACCTTTCTAAATCAACCATGGAAGAACAAACACATGAGCATGTCTCAATTTTCTAAGAGAGATTCCTGACGAGGCCATTATTCAAATCATTAGGTATTCCTAAGGGATAAAAACTGAGGGCTTTCCCTAGTAGTAAGATGTAAATTTAAGAACCTCACTGCTTTCTTAGTATGTTATGTATGTCAGTGGGACCTAGATCTAAATTTAACTATGAAAGGAAAGAAATAACTGGATATTCCAGACTAGTGCAGATGGAGTCACCAACCACAGGAGGAAAAATTCCTAGGGGGCCTTTTCAGAGAGATATTTGGGCTTCACATAGATCATTGATTATGTAGCTGACAACTGAATCTGAACAGATTTTCCACAAACTCTGAGTTCTATTTTTCTGTAATTCGGTGTGACTTACACCAGCTGTGCTGTAGCTGGCAGATCAGCCGGTACATGGAGCCTCTCACTTCCCTGCCTGTTCTGTTCTTGTGAATAGAGCCCTAAATTTACTGGGGAGATTCTGGTAACCATTTTGGCAACCTGTAATACTCAGAGAATCAAACTTGAAAATTTAAACCTTTTTCTAGAACACAAAAAGGCATACCGAAGAAAGATTTCTACATTTTTATGAGATCTAATATATGACTAGTTACGGTCTGAGTGCAGAGAGTCCTACAAAAAAAAAACCTGAAGTGAAATCTCAGAGAATATTTTGATGCCTCACAAAAATAATCTATGAGTGTGTGTGGGGAGTGATGAAATAGAAAAAACATTTTCTATAGTTTCTGTGTTGCTTGTTTATAACCACCCTGGCAAGTGGATGTTTGTAGCTGGAGAGACTTCCACTGCTGAGTTTTAGGTAGGGCTGAATGCTCTGGGGGGTGAGGCAGGCAATTTGAGTTCTGGTGGGCCCAGTGCAGAAGGAAGTACACCAGGCCAACAGGGCTGGGCCAGCACAGAGCATCAGGAAGGGCCCAAAAAGAACTCCATATAGTGGCACGGTCCAGAAGAGACTGGAGAAAGAACTGGTTGTGATTCTTTTCCAGTGAAAAGTGATGCGCTCTATAAGGCAGACTCCTCATGTTCAGCAAAATTTTTAGTAAGATTGCAAAATGAGTGATGTGCCTGGTACGATTGGTTTTCCTTCATGTGGAGGCATCAAGGTTGACAAAGGTTCCAAACAGAGTCCCTGTATCAGTGAGGGCAGGGTGGATGTCTGGGTCATACTTACAGGTGAAGCATATGCAAACTGCAGTAGCAAATTGTTTTGATGATGTTGGGAGTTCCTGTAGCATTTGTGGCCCTCTTGAGATACCTTCCCATATTACTTTGGTCTTTGGGGGTGGGGGTGGGGAGTGTTTAATGTGAGTCTCCAGGGGAAAGAACGCTGTACTTGGAGTCAGAAGACTTGGGTTCAAGTTCTATCTCTGTCACAAGCTAACTTCAACCTCTCTGAGGTTGCCCGGAAGAGGGCTCCCTCTCTGTTCTGTGGAGAGAGGGACTCCTGACCCTCCCACCTGGCTGACGAGATCAAGTTAAAGGATGTGTACCTGAAATACTCTGCAATGTCTTGTAAATATGTCTTGTACAATGTTGTATATATGTGTTCTTACAATAATTTATAATTATTAAATATTGTTATGGGTTGAATTGTGTCCCCCCAAAAGAAACAGTGAAGTCTTAAAGCTTAATACCTCAGTATGTGACCTTATTTGGAAATTGGGTCTTGCAGATATAATTAGTTAAGGTGAGGTCCTACTGGAGTAGAGTGGGCCCCTAATCCAGCATGGCTGGTGTCGATGTGAAGATGCCTGTATGTATGTATGTGTGTGTGTGTGTGTATGTATGTATGTATGTATGTATGTATGTATGTGAAGGTGGCTGTAGGAAGACAGAAACACAGGGAGATACCATGTAAAGATGGAGGCAGAGATTGGACTGACACATCTACAAGCCAAGGAGTGCCAGGGACTCCCAAAAGTCACCAAAAGCTAGGCAGGAGACAAGGAACAGGTTCCCCTTGGAGCCCTCAGAAGGAACCAGTCCTGCTGGCACTTTGATTTCAGACCTCCAACCTCCAGAATTGTGAGGTAATACATTTCTATTGTTTAAAGCCACGCAGTTTGTGGTAGGGAGCTCCTAGCCCAGGAGAAATGTAAGGAATTTATTATAACACTATCTTATTTCTATTTAGTGCTTATAGTCAATGTATCATTTTCATTGCATTCCCACCACTACCCTGTGGCATGAGTAAAATTTGTCTCTACTTAGGAGGAAACTGAGGCATGGAGGCTATGAGTCACTCAGCAGCGAAACATTTTAGTTAGCCTCTCCTCTTTCTCCTACATCACAGCAGCTTTGCTTAGGCCAGTTAGTGGCTCTTCCTGTTACATTTGCACTTTTCTCAGAGGAGAAAGGTGTGTCTTTCCCTCTGCTTCTTCATATGTAACTTGCTGCCAACATCATGTAATTTTTCACCAAGTCACCTTTCCTGCCTGGCTCCCATCTCTCCTCGGAGTCCTAAGGGTCTTCTCAGAGGCCCAGAGGTTGGTGGGGGCTCCCTCTGTGCTCTAGAGAACTGAGATCAGCATCAGCCTGACCTCAGTGGAGTTCTCACGCTTGAGCAGAAGGTCTTAAATGTGACAAGAATCCAGACAGCCTCTTAGGAGGGACTGATCATCATTTGGGCAGCCCCTTCCCTTACTAATTGGGGGTCCCTATGGGTAATGCCCAATCCCTGTGACTGTGCCCACTCTCAGCAGAGCCTTGCCCATCACAGGTGGGTGGGGGGGGGCATGAAAAGAAGAAAGAGAAAGACCAAAAGACTGCACTGTGGCTGATAGTAGCACCATCCAACCTAACATGATCTATCCATAGAAAGTTCAACCAACAGAGTTTTGTCTTCCTTTCTCATGCATTGTAATGTGAAATATCTCTCTTCACCATGTAGTAACAAAAGCAATGCATCACGGAATAATAAAGTGTCTGCCATGGTGCTAAGAAAAACCTTGAAAATGAATACTTTCAGACCCTGAATTCCATATTCTACTCATGAGGGGAAGTCATTAATCATTTATTATTTTGCCCATTTGACTTGCTGAAAGTTTTATGTATCCAGATTTTAAATATCATTCTTTGGCTGTCAGCCAGACCCTCATCTTCACAAAATGTACTCTTGAGAGAATTCCTGAGTTATATATTGGCTATAGCCCAGCCTGGAAAACTCAGTAAAAATCCTCAGTTCCTTGGCCTCCTTTTTGTTCAGGAAAGTTGGAATTTGCCTCATGGGCAGCAGAAACTCAGGATTCATTTTCTCCAGAGACTTTCAAATAGAATCCCAGATGCTATCATAGTTCCAATTTGTATTTCCCTCCTTTTCACCCTAGCCATCCTTGCCCCCTTTCTGTTCCTGCTACACCGTAAGAATATTCCTGCCTTCGAAACTTTGCTCTTCCCCTAGATGTCCATATGGACAAATTCCTCACTTCCTGGTCTTTTCTCAAATGTCAGATTCTTAATGAGGCCTACCCCGGCCAGCTATCTAATAATTCATTTCTCTCCTTCCTGCTAGAATGGCTCCAAACGCATTATTAGATAGCTCCCTGAGGGACTGGATTTTTACTTTTTGAGTTGTTATTCTTTGCTCATAGTATTACCTGTAAATATACCCATATAGGTTTTAAGGCCAAACCTCTGAAAACCTGTAATATAAACTCAGGCCATTTAATGAGTTGATAATGACTTTTACTTAAGTACTCTGTTTGCATGTCAATCCATTTGTTGTCACCCAATGAAAACTATGAGTTGAAGGCTGAAGTTTTTTATTTATTTATTTATTTATTTATTTATTTATTTAGAGATTGAGTTTCACTCTGTGACCCAGGCAGGAGTGCAGTGGTACACTCTCCATTCACTGCAACCTCCACCTCCCGGGTTCAAGTGATTCTCCTGCCTCAGCCTCTCGAGTAGCTGGGATTACAGGTGCACGCCACCATGCCCGGCTAATTTTTGTATATTTAGTAGAGATGGGGTTTCACCATGTTGGCTAGGCTGGTCTTCAACTCCTGACATCAGGTGATCTGCCCACCTCTGCCTCCCAAAGTGCTGGGATTATAGATGTGAGCCACTGTGCCTGGCCAGTGAAGTTATTTTAAAAACCATTGTTCTTTATTTTTATTTTATTGGATTGAATATGTCAATTCAAAATGTCTGCACTTATTACTGAAATGCCCAAATGCCATTTTGCTTTTCCAGTTAATCAGCTGATTTAAGCAAAGCTATAACAATTCAATTGTTCTACCATTACTTTCCATTAAATCTGTCAACTACAGTTCATCAAGTGTATTCAGTACATCATGATAGGCTACTGGAGGGATATCAAAAATCATAAGGCCATAGAGTGCCTTCCTTTAGGGAGTTTGCAGCCTGTTCTGAGAGATGCGAAGAGAGAGACCAAAAGACAATTAACAATGTGAAATCATAAATAGAAAGTTCCAGATATATGGTTTAGATAGTAAGAGAAGGGGTAAGGGAGAGATTAAGGTAGAAATAAATGTTGGAGTGAAGTAATCTTTATCATGCTTTTGCTTTGCATTATAGACTATTTCTTCCTCTTTGTCTTCATTTTAATTTATCTGAAAGCCAAAGAAATCCAAAAAGTTTATCTTCTGCTGCTTAAGTTTGTTACCATTTTCCAGGAATTTATTTTCTCATCTCCTGGGATGTACATCACCAGCTTGAGCTAAAGAAATCCACACAGGTTTGTAATAGAATTTGACGGATCAGAAGAATGATTTTTATTTTCCATTTGTCATGTAGAGAGTCAGGTGGGGACAAGTTTCCCTTTTCTCCTTGGAAGATAAGGTTAGCTAATACATTTATTTATAATAATTATTTTTGTGCATACTACATTCATTGTCCTTAACTCAGAAGAAAAGTCATCTGTCCAAATATTGCATTTTTTAAACATTTAAAAATATTTTTCCCATGCTTAGTTTTATTTTTTTCTAAATCATAGACTCATAGTCATATAAACAAATACAAGTTATGTGGAACATGAAAAAAGGGGCTAACGCTAACATACTGTGATTGAACTATTTGGAATGTATTAAATTTAACTGGCCAAGGGACAGGGGAATTCTTGTGAAAAAAATGCAGTAAAAATTAGTGAAGAAATCTTATCATCTTAATTGTTAAAGATAATTTTTAAAAAATCGAAGTTCAAGGTGTATTTAGATTTTTCTCTTCACATGAACTCATTTCATTCATTTGGCTATTTTTTTCTTCTGTGGTCATGATTATTAAAATCAGAATTATTTTAAAGCTGCAGTAGTTTCTAGTCCAACCTCTTTGTTTTTCAAATGAAAAAACTAAAGCCCAGAGACATTATGGAACTGACTGGTGTTACACAGCAAAGTAGTAGAAGGACTGACACTAAATCCCCAGTGCCCTGAAAACATGAATGACAGCATTAGACCAAATCCTGCTTTGACATATGGAATAGAAAACAACTCAAATTAATATGCATTGCCTTTGCAATGCCACCTTCATCACTGGCATCCTTGGGTATTTTGGACAATGTGCATGTGTTAACAGTGTGTTACTCTATTTCCAAGTGCCTGGAGTTGTCCCTCTGTGGTACACCTTTCCTGGGGGAGCTCCAGGTATGGCACTGTAAATAGCAGAAACAACATCTTCTAGTGATTAGTGAAATATATCTCAAAATTTCCTGAGTTTTTATCATGAAATGTTAACAGCTTTACTTGGTTTATTTTGAAGTCAATAGTTAGCTATATCTGATATTGTTGCAATATGCAATATGTTGTATTGCTTTTCACATAAATCTACAGGAACCTATGGAGGTCATTTAAAGAAAAGGTAGTTAAATCTGCTTGTTCTGTCAATCAGAAAGGAACAGGATCAGGTTTGTCTTTCTGACATGATTTAATCTCTTCTGAATGCAGAGAACTTAAAGGTTTCATTCAGGTACATTCATCTCTGACTGAATAATTAAACACAGGATTTTTTCTTTTTTGCGTGTGAGATTTGTCACAATAAATGCAGTTAATAGTTAAAACTAGTTGTAATTTACACACTTACTTGTCAACATATTCAACTAGATCTGTAGAATTCTTGGTTGACATTTTGGCTGGAGATAATCTTACCTAAAACAAAGGTTACAGATTCAGAATATATCATCTGCTTCTTTACAGATTACTTCTATGCAGTTTATCTTTAAAGAGTTTTAATTTTAAACAAAATGTATACCATAGACCAGATAATCAGCTCAGTTAATCTTACACATGTCCCCTTTGTATTGCTAATGACTAAAAACAAAATTAAGTTCTGTGGAGATACTAGAGAGCTGTATTTCATAGATTTGGTATCACAGTCAAGAAAACCTTTTTGGAAAAGTCAAAGCCATAGATTATTCTTAGATAATTTTAAAATGAAATATCTAATGATTATTGACTGAGTTACTAAAGAAGTCTTCACAGAGTGGATGATTCCTGACATGCTGATTTCTAAGGAGAAACAGCTAATTTTCAAACACAAAGCCCCGAACTAGAAAACTAGCCTATCCAAGTACCTGGATGTCAGATTATTATAGCCAGAGCAGTCATACACATGATTTACCAACATTAAGTATAGCTGGCCATATGTACACTTAACTGGCAACTTCTAATTCAATAAAATGGTACTACTAGAAAGTTCTATTTTCATGAAAGTTGATAATTTGCAGCATTTTTATGACAGGAAAGAAGATACCCAATGTACTCACTGTTTTTCATATCTCAAAAATGCCTTAAATTCTTTTTTTTTTTTTTTTTTTGAGACGGGGTCTCGCTCTGTCGCCCAGGCTGGAGTGCAGTGGCGCAATCTCCACTCACTGCAAGCTCCGCCTCCCGGGTTCACACCAGTCTCCTGCCTCAGCCTCCTGCGTAGCTGGGACGACAGGCGCCCGCCACCACGCCTGGCTAAATTTTTTTTTGTATTTTTAGTAGAGATGGGGTTTTACCATGTTAGCCAGGATGGTCTCGATCTCCTGACCTTGTGATCCGCCTGCCTCAGCCTCCCGAAGTGCTGGGATTACAGGCGTGAGCCACAGCGCCCAGCCGAAAATGCCTTAAATTCTAATGTTCTTTTAAGTTTAAAAAAACAAGACAGATTTATCCTAATTTTAATAGCCTATTGGTGAACTGGATTCAATATGGAGAATATGAGTGGTATTCCACCTCAGTTAAAAACTTTAACAAAATATATTCCTAGGATATTTTTTCTTGCTTTATGTTACTGTGTACTATAATGGTGGGCAGAATATGTTAAGACTCACATACAGAAAGCATTCCTTTTTCAAATGCCCAAGGAATTACTACTTCTTAAGTTTTAAGAAACTTAATTGGATACCTCACTCCTTCAAAAAACCTTAAAAAAATGTGAAGTCCATTTTCAGGGATGCTGTAAAGAACGCCTGACAAAGTCTCTCCTGACCCAGCCCTGTTGGTGGTGGGCAGGCAGAAAAGGCTCGAGGCTGCTCACGAGGGAGCCTGTGAACCCCCAGGAGAGAGCTTGTACCCTCCCCGCATTGCTGAATGGGGTCTGCAATGGGTCTAATGCTGTTAAGCCACGTCTTCCCCTCGAGAATGGATCTACTGATTCACTGGGCACTCAGGTGGCCACGTTATGGAAACTTTCCTAAGTCAGAGGACCTGATGCCTTCTGCCGTGGAGAGTGTTTTCACTCCTGTTTCCCACTGAAACAGTACTGAGTCCTGAGACCTCACCTACTTCATTGCCAGTTCTTTCCTCCTCACCTTTCCACTGCTCCCTCTGGTCTGTGTGGGGATCTATTTTTGGCATTTCCTCAGCAACCGGTTGGTCCCTCCTTATATGTTTGGAGAGTAGTCCTCTCCAAGTATTTGTGGAATTAAAGTGTATGATGAATACAGTGTCCAAGGGCACTAACTTGTCCTCCTTTCTCCTTCTGAAGTGTAACAATTAGATCTATGTTTTATTTTTATTTTATTAATTTTTAAGTCTTACTTGAAAGACCACAAGTAGCATCTTCTTAAAAACACACCTACAACACACACTATTTAAGTGACAAATGTTAAGCATAACAATGGAGGAATATTTGGAAAAGTATAGAAAAGTTAAAGATACAGAATAAAAATTCTCGCTTGTAATTTTGCTACCTAGAACAAAAGCCACTGATGTTGGCTTTTGGTGCAATTTTTTAAATGTAATTTTTAGGTATCTAAGACAGTATTTAAATTTTTATATCTTTGCTAATTGAACATAAGAGTCAGTTCTGTTTTATCCTCATTCCTATAAGCTAGGATGTTATTATATATAAAAACTGTCTCACAAACAACTTGATGGCCACTATGGGAATTTTTTTACATATATCAGTTTTATCCATTTCATAATAATGCTTTGAATGTTATAGCTTTTTGGTTTTATGGGCTATGAAATACGTTCTTGTATATGACATAATTTTATTTGACATGAATGCCCTATAAAGTGGATATCATTACCTTCCCATTAGTGTAAGGATGACATTAGTTACCTTAAGAAGCTGAAACCCTTATTATGGAAAGAAATTAAGATGACTATTTTTTATAGGTGAGGAGCTTCAGGATCAGAGAAGTACGGGACTTGCCCAAGATCATGTAGATGATGATGATAATCATACTGTAGCCCTTCCTACTTGCTAAGCACTTACTTAAGTGACTCATTCAAACCCACAATAACTTTGTATGATAAGCCTAATTCACCCATTTTACAGAAGAAGAAACAGAGGTTAAGTAATCATTCCAAAGTCCCACAGCTAGTATGTGGTACAGCCTATTATATAATACATACCAAAAATCAATGTTTGATATTGTGCTAGTGCTTTATGTAACAAGTGACTGCATCTGCCTCTTGTTATGTAAATTACAAGGTGTTAAGAGAAGTGCAAAAAAAGTCTAAAAACACTGCTTTAAAAAATGTTCTTTTTAACGGAGAAGATACGACAAGTTCTAATAAAGGAAACATTCTATTTAGCTATACCGGTTTTCATGTTAGAGATAAAGATAAAGTCTGCACCTTGAGTTTATCATGGTTCCTTTTGAATCATCATAAAACATACATAATGATCAACTTAAAAGAATTTTAGCCCCATATATTAAAAATCAGTCTAATTAATGAAATTGTAAATTGAGGTCATTTTTCTTTTCAGCTTGTGTTTTCAGCAGCCATTTTGCCAAGACAGAACAAACAGGAAATGTGGGAGAACTATTCTTCCAGAACTTCTTAAACTCTCTAAGCACTCTAAACTTTAAAGAAGCTGAGCAAAGTATTCTACTTTTAATGTGAATATTGAAAAGTACTTGCTTTCTTTTCTTGGTTATTGTCTGAGCCAGGAAGGGGGCCATCAGGTTCAACTGGCTGTTCCTCTGCAGTCGCAGTTGGAGAGGCACTTTTGTTTACATTTGTATCTAGGTAACCAGAATGCTGAATCAGGTCAGGAACTATGACAAGTGAATTTTTGCAGTGCTGCTAATTTTTTTTTAATTGAGGGCAGTTTCTGTACATATAGCTTGGCTTAAAGGGAGGCTTTCAATTTGCTTTACATTTCCCCTCTCCTCACTTATCCCAATTCTCCCCCATCCCCCCATAACATCTATAGTTAGCTAGAAGAGCATTTCTTTACAGATACTTCTATAAGACCTTTAGAAACTTTTTTAGGATCAGACAGCTCTAAAATAATCAGGAATGTATTTTTTTTAAATTATACTTTAAGTCCTGGGATACACGTGCAGAACATGCAGGTTTGTTACGTAGGTATACACGTGCCATGGTGGTTTGCTGCACCCATCAGCCCATCATCTACATTAGGTATTTCTCCTAATACTATTCCTCCTCTAGCCCCCAACCCCCAACAGGCCCCAGTGTGTGATGTTCCCCTCCCTGTGTCCATGTGTTCTCATTGTTCAACTCCCACTTGTGAGTGAGAACATGTGGTGTTTGGTTTTCCGTTCCTGTGTTAGTTTGCTGAGAATGATGGTTTCCAGCTTCATCCATGTCCCTGCAAAGGGACATGAACTCATCCTTTTTTATGGCTGCATAGTATTCCATGGTGTATATGTGCGGCATTTTCTTTATCCAGTCTATCATTGATGGGCATTTGGGTTGGTTCCAAGTCTTTGCTATTGTGAACAGTGCTGCAATAAACATACGTGTGCATGTGTCTTTATAGTAGAATGATTTATAGTCCTTTGGGTATATACCCATTAATGGGATTGCTGGATCAAATGGTATTTCTAGTTCTAGATCCTTGAGGAATCACCTCACTGTCTTCCACATGGTTGAACTAATTTACACTCCCACCAACAGTATAAAAGCGTTCCTATTTCTCCACATCCTCCCCAGCATCTGTTGTTTCCTGACTTTTTAATGGTTACTATTCTAACTGGCATGAGATGGTATCTCATTGTAGTTTTGATTTGCATTTCTGTAATGACAAGTGATGATGAGCTTTTTCTCGTATGTTTTGGCTGCATAAATGTCTTCTTTTGAGAAGTGTCTGTTCACATCCTTTGCCCACTTTTTGATGGGGTTTTTTTTTCTTGTACATTTGTTTAAGTTATTACTCTGTTGTGCCCAAGCCTTCTGAGGGTCTTCATTGGGATTCATTATTTTGTTTATATGTAATAAGAAACAGAAGAAAGATAGTGAAGTAGGAGAAATTTAGAGACCTCGAATAGTCCATAAGTACCTGAACTCATGATGCTTGCTTTTCCAGCTTTATTTTTTGTAGATTTGATATTTTTGAAAAACAATCTCTGTGATTTTTTTCTTTTTTCTGAGGAAGCCAATGTACCAAGGAATTGTAATTGCATCCTAACTAAGGTCTTCCTGTTTCTGGGGCCTCTTCCCAAGGGTGACTTAGTAGCATTGTGACTGCAGGAAGGATCTATGATGTCAGTGTGGCTGGCCCTCACAACTGAAGTCAGGAAATCCCTGGGATTTAGAAGCTTTGAATGTTTTCTGTAGTGCTCATCATCATACAAATCACTAAGCCTTTCACTTCTTTGTCTCATGGGGTGGGAAGTGGCCATTGTTATACTGATATTTCACACTCTTCTCCTGATTTCATCTTCACAGTTTGAAAAGTGACGAGTTATCATCAAGCTAGACAAAGAGGAAATGAAATGCTGCGGTATGCCCAAATCTTTCTCCAAGTATGTTAGGGAGGAAGCTAACTCTTCTAGGTTAGAAGGGGACTTCACAGATAGTGCAGCACTGATGAAAAGTGACATGGGTCAGAGTTTTACAGAAATGAAAATATTGAACTTTGCCTTTGTAGGGGAAATTTTGTTCAGTTATTTAGCCAAAAGGGGGTGGATTGTTTTAGCTGTAAAATGTTTGTCTGAGTTTTAAAATTAGAATTTGCATGTTTGTTAGTACTACTTGGCCTCCATATACAGAAATGATGCTTTGGCTAAGTTGTTGTCCAAATTATGGTATCAGATTTGCCTTGTTTAAAGGCACACAATGTTCAGGATGCTGAGTGACAAACTTTGATCCCACAGATAAAGGACACCTATGATTTGGGCTTCCATGCATATCCCCTAGTCCTAAGCTAAGCCCTTAAAACTCAAAGATGCAGTAGTTCATGGTTTGCAAGCAGTCCAAAAGGCTCATTATGCTACCCTAATCACCATTGTATCTAGTGCCAAGGGAGACTGACACACAGCAGTGACTAAGAGCAGGTGGCTACAGATTCTGAGAGAGTGGATTGGAACCCTGACTCCTCAACCTACCAGCTGTTTAGTTTGGACAAAATTACATCACCTCTTTAAGCCTCAACTTTCTCCTCTGTGAAATGAGCTAATAATATCGATCCCATAAGATGGTTGAGAGGATTAAATGTAATAATATACTTACAGCGCTCAGCTGAGGGCGGTGCCAGGAATCCACTAAAAGATAACTATTATTAGCGATTATTTCACAAGGTGCCAATTATCCAAGAAACAGTCACAAGCAGAGTCTGTGTGAGAAAGAAAAACTAGATTTAACCTTGCTTAACAACTTTTTAAGATTCTTTCTCTTCTTAAATTCAGCTTTTAATCCATGGTATTTGGTTAGAAAAATGGGCCCTACTAAAATGGACAATTTTGGTAGGTTTGTTCTCTAAACATAAATGGCTATTCAATTTTAACATAACAATGCACATAATATATATGTATATTATTAATGTCTGCTCTGGTTTGAATCTCTCCACCAAAACTCATGTTGAAATGTAATTGCCATTCTTTTTTTTTTTTTTTTGAGTTGTAGTCTTGCACTGTCACCCAGGCTGGAGTGCAATAGTGCGATCTTGGCTCACTGTAAGCTTGGCCTCCCAGATTCATGCCATTCTCCTGCCTCAGCCTCCCAAATAGCTGGGACTACAGGTGCCCACCACCACACTCGGCTAATTTTTTGTATTTTTAGTAGAGACAGGGTTTCATCGTGTTAGCCAGGATGGTCTCGATTTCCTGACCTCGTGATCTGCCCACCTCGGCCTCCCAAAGTGCTGGGATTACAGGCGTGAGCCACCGTGCCTGGCCTATTGCCATTCTAATAGTATTAGGAAGTGGAGGCTTTAAGAAGTGATTAGGTCATGAGGGCTCTCTCCTAATGAATGAATTAAAGCCCTTATTGTGGGAATGAGTTAGTTATCATAGGAGTGGGCTCCTGATAGAAAGGATGAGTTTGGCTTAGTTTATCTCTTTCTGTCTTGCATTCTTATTTCCCTTCTTGCTATGTTATGATGTAATATAAAGATGTATCCTCTCAATCTTGGACTTCCCAGCCTCTGGAACCATGAGCCAAATAAATGCCCAGACTATGGTATTCTTTTTTTAGACAGAGTCTTGCTCTGTTGCCCAGCCTGGAGTGCAGTGGTGCGATCTTGGCTCACTGCAACCTCTGCCTCCAAAGTTCAAGCAATTCTCATGCCTTAGCCTCCTGAGTAGCTGGGACTACAGGTGTGCACTGCCATATCTGACTAATTTTTGTATTTTTAGTGGAGACGGAGTTTCACCATGTTGGCCAGGCTGGTCTCAAACTCCTGACCTCAAGTGATCCACCCATCTCAGCCTCCCAAAGTGCTGGGATTACTGGTGTGAGCCACCATTCCAGGCCCCAGACTATGGTATTCTGTTATAGCAGAAGAAGATGGACTCAAATAGCTTCCCACTTGTCTAAAATGCATATGTAAAATCCTTCTCAGAAGTCAATAATCTTCATATATCTTTTCTAATCTAGGGCTAATAAAAGCACAGAAATTAAAAATGTTCAATTTCAATCTTTAAAGTGGCCTTATACTATAGTATATTTAATATAGATCTAAAGACATAATCCTGACATGGTGGTCAGTGATGGGGGATAGTCAGTGTTGAAGGTCATCAGACAGAAACGCTATGTGTTGTGCACTACACAACCCTCTGGGGCACTCATGGTAACACTGTAGATTTTCATATTTGTTACAGTAATTTTTCAGGCATATATCAAGAAAATATCTCATTTTACCAAAGAAAGTCAGGATAATTTTCTGACATGGAAGTAAAGGGTTTTGAGAAAGCGGCACCTATTTTTAACTCACACAAGGAGTGTACAGTGAGGCACTGTCAATGACCAACTGCATATATGATGGTGGTCCCATAAGATTTTAGTGGAGTGGAAAAATTCCTATTATCTAGTGATGTTGTAGCCATCATAACATTGCAGTGCAATGCATTACTCATGTGTTTGTGGTGATACTGGTGTAAACAAACTTGCTGAACTGCCAGTTGTATAAAGGTATAGCACATGCAATGCTGTACAGTACATAATAGTTGCTAATGATCATAAACAACTATGTTACTGGTTTATGTATTTACTACAGTATACTTGTTATCATTTTTTAAAATTTTTAGTTGACACATAACTGTACATATTTATGGGCTACAGAGTGATATTTAGATACACGTATACAATGTGTAACAACCAAATCAGGGTAATTAGCATATCATCACCTCAATCATTTATCATTTTTTTGTGTTGTGAATATTCAAAATCCTCTCTTCCAGCTTTTTGAAAATATACAGTAAATTATAGTTCACCATTTTCACCCTACAGTGCTGCAGAACATCAGAATCCATTTCTCCTATCTAGCTGTAATTTTGTTTTCATTAACACACTCTCCTCATTCTCTCCTCCCCTTACCCTTCCCAGCCTCACGTTTCTATTCTTTATTTCCATGAACTCAATTTTTTTTTTCTGCCACATGTAAGTAACAACATGCAGTATTTATCTTTCTGTTTTTGGCTTATTTTGCTTAACATAATGTCCTCCAGCCTCATCCACATTGCTGCAAATGACAGGATTTCATTCCTTTGTATAGCTAAATAGTATTCCATTGGGTATATAAACCACATTTTCTTTATCCATTCATCTATTGATGGACATTTAGGTTGAAACCATATCTTAGCTATTGTGAATAGCACTGCAACAAACATGGGAATCTAGGTGTCCCTTTGATATACTGATTTCCTTTCCAGTAGTGGGACTGCTGGATCATATGTTAGTTCTATGTTTAGTTTTTTGAGAAGCCTCTACAGTGATTTCCATATTGACTGTACTCATTCACATGCCCACCAACAGTGCATAAGTGCTCTCTTTTCTCTGCATCCTCACCAGCATTTGTTAACTTTTGTCTTTTTGATAATAGGCATCCTAACTGGGGTGAGGTGGTATCTCATTGTGGTTTTAATTTGTATTTCCCTTATGATTAGTGATGTTGAGCATTTGAGCATTTTTTCATATTTCTTTTGGCCATTTGTATGTCTTCTTTTGAGAAATGTCTTTTTTTTTTTTTTTTTTTTTGGCATGGAGTTTCATTCTGTTGCCTAGGCTGGAGTGCAGTGGTGTGATCTCAGTTCACTGCAACCTCTGCATCCTGCGTTCAAGTGATTCTCCTGCCTCAGCCTCCCTAGTAGCTGGAAGTACAGGCGTGTGCCACCACGCCTGGCTAATTTTTGTATTTTTGGTAGAGATGGGGTTTCACCATATTGGCCAGGCTAGTCTTGAACTCTTGACCTTGGGTGATCTGCCTGCCTCGGCCTCCCAAAGTATTGAGATTACAGGTATGAGCCACTGCACCCGGCGCTTTGCCTACTTTTTAGTCAGATGATTTGCTGCTGTTGAGCTGTTTGAGTTCCTTATATGTTCTGGATATTAATCCCTTGTCAGATGAATAATTTGCCAATATATTTTCTCATTCTAATAGTTGTCTTTTTACCCTTTGATAGTTTTCTTTGCTGTGAAGAAGTTTTTGAGTTAAATATAGTCCTATTTGTCTATTTTTGTTTCCATTGCCTGTGCTTTTGAAGTCTTTAAAATCTTTGCCTAATGTCCTGAAGTGTTTCCCCTATGTTTTCTTCTAGTAGTTTTATACTTTCAAGTCTTACATTTAAGTCTTTAACTTGTTTTGAGTAGATTTTTAAATATAGTGATGGATAGTGTTCTAGTTTTGTTCTTCTGCATATGGATATTCCATTTTCCCAGCACCATTTATTGAAGAGAGTATCCTTTTACCATTATATTGTGCTTGGCACCTTTGTCAATAATCAGCTGGCTGTAAATGTGTGAATTTATTTTTGTTCCATTGGCTTATGTGTCTGTTTTTATACCAATACCATGTTATTTTAGCTACTATAGCTTTGTAGTATATTTTGAAGTCAGATACTGTAGTGTCCCCAGCTTTGTTCTTTTTGCTCAGGATTGCTTTGGCTATTCAGGGTCTTTTGTGGTTCCAAATTTTAGGAGTTTTTTTTTTTTCTATTTCTGTGAAGAATGTTATTAGTAATTTGACAGAGAATGCATTGAATCTGTAGATTGCTTTGGGTAATGTGGTCGTTTTAAGAACATTAATTATTCCAAGCCATGAGCATTGACTGTCTTTTCATTTGTTTGTATCCTCTTCAATTTCTTTCATCAGTGTTTTATAGTTTTCAGCGTAGATGTCTTTCACCTTTCTGGTTAAATTTATTCCTAGACATTTGATTTTTTTGTTAGCTATTTTATATCTTTTTCAGCTAGTTCATTATTGATATATAGAAATGCTACTGATTTTTGTATGTTGATTTTGTATTCTGCAAATTTACTGAATTTATTTATTAAGTCTAAGAGTTTTTTTGTGGAGTCTAGGTTTTTCTAAATATAAAATCATGTCATCCTCAAAGAGGAACAATTTGACTTCCTCTTTGCCAATTTGGATACACTTTATTTCTTTCTCTTGCCTAATTGCTGTGGCTAAAGCTTTCAGTATTATGTTGAATAGGAGTGGTGGAAGTGGGCATCCTTGTCTTGTTCCAATTCTTAGAAAAACGGCTTTCAACTTAACTGCATTTTTTCTAATTTTTAAACACTTTTGTTAAAAACTAAGACTAACATACACATTAGCCTAGGCCTACACAGGGCCAATATCATCAGTATTACTGTCTTCCATCTCTTGTCCCACTGGAAAATCTTCAGGGGCAATAGCATATAATGTTAGCTGTGAGTTTGTCATATGTGGTCTTTAGAGTGTGAAGGTATGTTCCTTCTATGCCAGTTTGTTGAGAGTTTCTATTATGAAGCAATGTTGAATTTTGTCAAAAGTTTTTTATGAATACATTATGATGATCATGTCATATTTTTCTGCATTCTTTTGATATGATGTATTACATGTATTGACTTGCATATGGTGAACCATCTATGCATCCCTAGGATACATCCCACTTGATCATGGCATATGATCTTTTTGGCATGTCATTGTATTTGGCTTGTTGTATGCGTGATGCACATAAATGCAAAATTTCTCAACAAAATATTTTGGGACAAGAAATGGAAGACAGTATAGGCCTAGGCTAATGTGTGTGTGTCTTAGCTTTTAACAAAAATGTTTAAAAATTAGAAAACATAAAATTTTAAAAATAGAAAAAAGCTAGGATATAAAGGATGAAAAATTTTTTGTACAGCTCTATAATGTATTTGTGTTTTAAGCTATGTGTTATTACAAGAGAGTTAAAACTTAAAATGTTAAGTAAAAAATTATAGTAAGCTAAGGTTAATTTATTATTAAAGAAAGCAAAGGTTTTAAATAAATGTAATATAGCCTAAGTGTACAGTGTTTATAAAGCCTACCGTAGGGTACAGTAAAGTCCTAGGCCTTCACATTCACTCATCTCACTCATCACTCATACACTGACTCACCCAGAGCAACTTCCAGTCCTGCAAGCTCCATTCATGATATGTGCCCTACACAGGTAGGTCATTTTTTATCTTTTATACCATATTTTTACTCTACGTTTTCTATCTTTAGATACATACATACTTACCTTTGTGTTGCAATTGCCTTCAGTATTTGGTACAGTCACATGCTGTACAGGTTTGTAGCCTAGAAGCAATAGGCTATACCATATAGCCTAGGTGTTTGGTAGACTATACCATGCAGGTTTGTATAAGTGCACTCTATGACATTCACACAATGATGAAATCACTTGACAGAGTTCTCAGAATCTGTCCATTGTTTGACCTTTGTAAAGCAATACATAACTGTATTTGGGCCACTGACAGCCAGTACCCTGGGTGTCCTCTGTTGAACCGGCCTTAACTAGTCATGGGCCAAAGCAGCCAGTCGTCATTGGCAGGCTGTGTCCTCCTCGACTCTCTTTTATTTGTTTCTTACTTTTGCCTAACCTCCTACCTGTTGTCTCAAGAGCTCTTAGGGTGTCCTTTGGGTCTCCCTTAGGGCTCCTCACCTTTCCTTGTGCTATTCTGATTTTATCTGCTCTGGCCTTCTAGTAATCTCTAATGTGTTTAGCACTTAATATTTAGGCGATGTTCTTCATGTTTCACCTCATCATTCTTACAGGTGAGGCTGCACAGGTGTGAATATCCTGATTTTACAAATAAGAATACAAGGAGGTTGAGAGAAGTCAAGTGACTCACTGAAGAAACTAGTAAAACTCTGACTGAGTAGACCTCAGGCCTGCTGACCCTTAGTCTTGTGTACCATTCCTCCCGGATGCATCACACCGAATTCCACTCAAGTGTAGGGCTTTGACTTCCATTCTCTTCCATTCTGTGTTTGAACCCAGTGGAGAGACTAGGGTTGCTATTTCAGTTAATGGGGTATTTTTGAGGCAGGGTATATTTTCATTCCCCTCAAGCTGAGTGACTGATTTCTCTAGTCTTGAGGGAGATAATATGGATCATGTGGTAAAATAGTTAGAAACATGTTCTCTGGCAACAGACTACCAAATTCAACTCTCCTCTCTGCTGCTTACCAGCTGGATAGTCTTGCAAAATGATATAATCCTGCTTTCCACCTATAGAATGGGATGATGATAATAGCACAATATTAATGATTCTGTAACAATATAATATTATAGAAATTAATCAGATATGTAAAGCTGTTAAAACATGGGCTAGAGCACAGTAAGCACTCAATAAATCTTAGCTCATGTTCTCTTAGGTCTAACCATGTCTGTTTTATTGAATTTTCTAGGTGGGTTTCTTAGCAGGGACTCAATAGCTGTTAAATGAATAAATGAAAGACTTTGTACTTTAGCCGTGAAAGATCCAGCCTGTGAAAGGAGCCAGAGGCCAGTTTCCATGCACTATTTCTGAACGGCCCCAGCTTCTCTCCTAGTGAGTGGATCTGGCCCGTCTCCCATTACCACAAATCTCATTCTAGGAACCTCTACCACTAACTCAGCATCAACGGAATTCTCTAAGATTTCTAGAACCATTTATTGAAGAACAATTCTCAGCACCTCCTAATTTAAGGCATTGATTGTTCTGGGAACATTAAGAAAATGTTGAAAGTCTCCTTTTCTCAAGAAACTTCATTTCTCTGTAGGGGAGAGGGGTGAGCCCACAGCTGACTCTAAATCAAGGCAGCCAGGGCTACATTATATGGTCAAACACTTCCATCATCCTGTGCTTCTCAAGCTTCCTCAAACTTTCTTGGCTAAACCAAACCCAGGCTAAATCCATCTGTCTGCTCACTCTGCCTGTATTTTTGCAGCAGAACATGGCTGGGAGAAAACATGCAACCATGTTGACTGGTCTCAAAATTTATGACCACAAACCTTAAGTGGGTCCTTAATGCTTCCTGGCAATTATAGTATCAGATTTCCTTAGTTCATCACTCTCCTACTTGCCTAGATGACTCTCATGCCTTTTCCTCTGACCTCAAACTGCCATCAACAACCCTGTCACCTGCTGACCTTTCCGTTTTACTTCCCCAATTAAACAGAAATAATCGGAAGGAAATTTTGACAAGCTCCACCCCCACCTCCACATCTATCCGTGACCTACGTGCACCCATGTCCATATATTCTGCCTCCTCCTGTTCAGCAGATGAACCATCTGTGCTCCTCTTCAGGGCCAATGCCCCAGTGGTCCTCAGATCTCACTCCCTCTCAACTATTCAAAGACATTGCTCCAGGGATTTTCCCCTCTGCCCTCTTTATTGGCTCATTCTCATTGGCGTGCAAACATACATTTATTTCTCCCACTCACCTTAAAACAAATAAACAACTTTCTCTTGATCCTATAATATATCCCCTTCCAGCTACCACTCAATTTGTTCCTTTTCTGCACAAGAACATTCCCTGAAATGCTGTTTATATTTTTCTCTTCATAGTTTCTCTCTTTGCTATGGTCTGAATTGTGTCCTGCCCCCTCTGATTCTTACGTGGAAGCCCTAACCCCCAATGTGGAGATATGGTCTTTTGGAGGTAATCGCATTTAAATGAGATCATAGGGTGGGGTCCCAGTCTGACAGAATTGTGGCCTGAGAAGGAGGAAGAGGCTGAGCATCATGGCTCACCCTCATGCCTATAATCCTAGCACTTTAGGAGGCTGAGGCAGGAGGATCACTTGAGCCCAGGAGTTCAAGACCAGCCTGGACAACATAGTGAGACCTCATCTCTATAAAATATTTAAAATTTAGCCGGGCATGGTGGCAGCGAGTGCCTATAGTCCCAGCTGAGTCTGAGGTGGGAGGATCGCTTGAGCCTGGGAGGTCAAAGCTGCAGTGAGCTATGATTGTGCCACTACACTCTCTCCTGGGCAACAGAGCAAGACCCTGTCTCAAAAATATAATAAAAATAAGGAGGGAGAAAGAGAGATCGCTATCCCTCTGCCATGTGAAGACACAGGGTCTGCAAGCCAGGAAGAGGGCCTCACCAGGAAACAAATCTGCCAGTGCTTTGATTTTGGACTTCTAGGCCTCCAGAACTGTGAGAAAATTAATTTTTGTTGTTTGAGCCAGCCTGTTTGATATTTTGTTAGGGTAACCCAAGTAGACAAAGACACTCTTGAACCAGTGTTTTCTCGGCCATGTTCTGCAGTACAGATACGGGCGGGAGTAAGCAGAGAGATGGATTTAATCAGGGTTTGGTTTAGTCAAGAAAGTCTGAGGAAGTGTGAGAAGCACAGGATGATGACGCTGTTTGACCATATAATGTAGCCCTGGCTGCTTTGATTTAGAGTCAGCTGTGGGCTCACTTTCTCCCCCATGGAGAGATTAAGTTTCTTGAGGACAGGGGCTTTTTTTTTTTTTTTTTAAATATTTATATTTCTCCTTACATTTCTCAGTGACCTCAGCACAATCGATGCCTTTAATTAAGAGGTGCTTGGAATACTTCTTAAAGAACTCCTAGAGAATCTCCTGATGCTGAGCCACTAGGTAGAGGCTTTCTATCTATCCCTTGTAACTTCCATTGATGCTGCTCTTGTCAAGATCCCCTCTAACCTGTTTATCAGTAAATCCAGTGGTTAATTCTCAGCCCTCATCTTACTTGCCCCCTTATCAGCATTTGACAGAGTTGACAGCTGTCTTCTCCCTGATACTCTTCCTTTACTTCTCTCCCACTTTTCTGCTACTGCTTTGCATGGATTTCTCGCTCATCTCCCTGACTTCTGAGTGGTTGATCCATCATCTCAGTTGCCTAGACCTTTCCTGAAAATCCCGCATCCTTGGAAACCCCTCCTCTACCTCTGAATGTTGACGTGCCCTAGAGCTCAATCCTTGGACTTCTGCACTCGCTACCTTGATGATCTCCCCTAACCTAATGGCTATAAGCTGATGTTCCCTCAAATCCCCTTCCCCTAAAAGCTGCTCCCTATATAGTGTTTTCCATTGCAGTAAATGGCAATAGGCTTTTTCTAGTCTGCTCAAGCCCCAAACTTTGGAATCCTTCTTCACCCCTCTCTTTCTCTCATATCCTACTTGTTTACCCCACCTTTAAAATATATTCAGAATTGGGAAGTTTCTAGCTGTTTCCTCTGCTAGTCCAAGCCACCATTATGCTAGCCCAAGGCATCATTCTTTCTCCCCTGGAAGATTGCAATGGCTTTCTAATGCATTTCTTATTGCAATGGCTTTCTAAAACCAATCTTGCCCCCTCTCATAAATTATTTTCAACAAAATAGTCAATAAGGTCAAAGTTAAGACTGAAGATTTTCCATCTCGCTCAGAGTAAAGGGCAAAACTTTTCTAAGATCTGCAAAACCTTCTGAGGCGACGAGACAGGGTCCTCCCGTAGCTGCTGATGCCATCTCCTGCTACTTTTTCCCTTGCTTACTCTCCTCCAGCCATGGTGGCCCCCTTATGATTCTTTGAGTACACTGGCAGGCCCTTGCCTCAGGGCAGTTGACCTTGCTGTTGCCTCTGTTTAAATGCACTTTCCCTAGATCTTTCCTCTTTACCCCCTTTCTTGCTTCTCGACTTTACTCAAATATCACTTTCTCAGACAGCCCTTCCCCGGCTATCTAAAACCACTGTTTCCTTTCATATGACACATATACTTCCTGTTACTATTTCCCTCTGAGTATTTTACCTATCTAATATATGTAAGAGTTAAAGAAAGAGGAAAGAAACATGAAGAGTGACTCAACAGTCAAAGACAGGTTTATTTTGGAGGATAAGCCTGAGAGGGACTTCTGACCAATTTCAGTCAGGAGCGCTCTCACCGACTAAGAGTATTTAAGAGTTCAGGGTGGGAGAACTTATCACAGGCTTGGAATGTTTCAGTGTGGAGGAGAAGTTTATTGCAGAGTTGAAATGTCTCTGGTTGGAGGGGAGGTTATCCGGGGGCTGACATCTCTCTGGTCATAGGAGAGGTTATCTTGGGGCTGGCATATCTCTGGTCAGGGAGGGGTTCATTTTAGGGTTGGAATGTTTCTGGTTGGAGATGTCATTTGTGGTTTATGGTTATGCTGACATTAGCCATTAGGCTGATGCCCTTTGGATTGGATTTAGGCAGTTTTTGATCAAGGGGAATTTTAAAATGGCAGTGCTTGTGAAAGATGGTGATGCTCCTGCTCTGTCAATATACATTTTAATTCTTTACCCCGCTAGAATCTAAGCTTCATAAGAGCAAAAATTTTTGTCTCTTTATTTCACTGCTCTGCCTCAATGCCTAAAGTGGTGTCTGGCACATTATAGGTGTTCAATAAATATTTTAACAGAATTTGGCACAGTCTGTCACACATATTCACATGTGCAGAGTAAAACAAACAAACAAAAAATGACTAAAAAACAGATGAAATCTCATGTGATGGCAAATGCAGTACACAGATAGGTGAGCTAACAATTCAAAGACAATGACCACTCCTGTGGCTGTTTATTTATTATGTTGTCCCCAGGTATAGGACTCATAGGCCTTTGTGGGGCCAATAAAAGCTGTGCTCATTGTTACTTTACAGAATCTATATGTTGTAGGTCTATATGTAGTAGATCTATACTATATGGCAGTAGGAATATTTAATCTAGCTGCAAAAATCTTTTTTCCTGTGGAGAAGTTTCTTGTTCTGCCAGAGAGGCTCTGAGCAAGCCCTTGTGGACCCAGCAGTCGGCTCTGAAAAATGCTTAGTCAGCATCCCTGAGACATCAGCCTACCAGGACCAGGCTGGTGGTGGGCAGCCATCCTAGATTGCTGCTCTAATGATGAAGATCTATTTTTGTTGTGTAGCAAGACTGGTGTCCCCAACTCTCCAGCCTGACACAAGCACCTGTACTTCAAGGTGACCAGAAATATCTGTTTAAAATGCGTATAAATAGATTCTAATTCCAAAATCAATGGATGTATTTTTGGCCCTAGACATCTACACATTTAGGCAAATGGCTCTAGGACAGAAGTTAATATTGTATCTGTTTTGTCTCATCAATTTAAAGAATAATGAAAGCCATAAGAGAAAAGTTTTCCTGCGCTCTGGGAATACCTTTTTGTCCCGCCATTAAAATATATATGATTCTATTCTGTACAAAACTTACTCCCGAGGAACCCTCTCTTCTGAAGAAAGGCCCATTTCAATAGAGGCTACATACCCACATCTCCCTATGGCCATGATTACTTACCTGGTAAGAGTTTGGGCATCTTCCATTCATTATTGTTGCTGTCTAGCATGCCTTATCTTTTTAAAAATCAAAGTAAAAATAATTTGTCTAATGCATTTATTTCCCTAGAAATGTGTGATTGATTTTCATAGGTATAGAAACACCTAGGCCATATTGTAGAGTAAGGAGATAGGAACAAGTCAAACATTTTACTGAATGCCTACTATGTGCAAGGCATTCTACATGTATACTCATATATTTATAATTCAGCCATTCTCATAACAACCCAATGAATATATTATCCCATTTTACAGGTGCAAGCTGAGAAACTTTCTCAAAATATGACAAATCCATGCTCTTCCCATCTTACCAAGCACCTTATCACTAGGTCTCTCTATATCTTGTCTTCTTCTGCCCCCTTCTTTTTGGCACCACTTCTGCCCTTTGCCAGGCACCTTGTGCTTAGATACTCAAGTTCCCCACTGAAGTCATCCAATCATTCATTCTCTCATTCATTCAGGCATACAAGTATTCAAACATTTATTGGGTATCTTCTATGCACTTTTCTAGGTCTTGAGAATACAGCAATACCAAACAGAAAAACATCTCTGCCCTTGCCAACATTCTAGAAGGGAATGGTCAATAAGTACACAGATAGCTAAGATGCAGTGTGGTGAGTGCAATTGAAGAGGAAAGTCCTGTAGCTGCAGGAGTGGAGAGAAGGAACACATAGAGGCCTGCAGGGAAGAGGGAGGGAAGAAGACTTCTTGGAAACTGTGACATCTGAGGGGAGTTTTGTGGCCCTGTGAGAATTAGCCTCATGCAGTGGACAAAGCATTTCTGCTCAGTGAATGTCCATTCCCATAATAGGTAGTGCAGGGTGGCAGGACCAGAGCGTTGACAATCAGAGATGAGGCTGTACAACTGAGTAGAGGCAAGACTCTGAAAGGCCTTGTATCTTTGTAGGCATGATAAAGAGTTTGCAATCTATCCTGCAGGTGATGGGGAGCTGAGTTGTCAAGTAGTGTTTATTGAGTCCTTGAGTCCTGTGGATGCACTTATGTGCTACAACAAAGCCTAAAAAGATGCTGATGAAATGCAAACATGGGCAAATGTATGAACTCTGATTCTACTTTGGTGTAAAGGTAAACTTAATACCTCAAGTCAACAATGTAATATATGATGAAAACTTAAGTCCTTGTGGAAAATTCTGTTATATTTCTTCCTTGTGTCTAAAACTGCTGTTTTTTTAACCCCTTCAAACTATTTGGAAACTTGGGACCCTGAGGCCACATTACTGCTGAGGAGTTTCACAGCACTTTGTCAAAGAAATACCTATTAGTTACAAAGCAGTTTCATTTTTGTGACATGAAAAAATATACATATGAATTTGAAAAGTCTCTGTGCAAAACAAAAAGACAAAAAATCAACTTTGAAAAATTATTTCCCAGAATTGGGGTGCCTCTGTAATTATTTTTATGTTTTAAATGTTATATTCAATTTTCACACATATATAATTTTACATAAAAGTGTAAATGTTGTATAGCATAGAAATAACAGAAAGGATTAGTATTCTGAATATATAAAAACATATTCCAAAGTATACAGGAAGGGACACCTGTAATTATCCCTTTTGAAATAATCACTGTATACATTTTTATGTGTTTCTTTCTATTTCTATGAATGTGTATGTATGTGTATGTATGTATGTGTATGTATATACATATGTATATATATGTGTATATATACATATATACACACACACATATAATTGAGATCACATTATATATAATTTTATATCTTGACCTTTTTCACTTAACCTTAATTATAGGCTATATTTTAACTTCTCACTTGTTATTACATATTTTTGAAAATCTGATTTTATTGGCTGTATAAAGTACATTCTATGGAAAATATAATTTTGTTTATCTGCTTTTTTTATTTCAGGGCCTTTGAATTGTGGTCTTTTTTGTGGATATAGTACTCCAATAATATTGTAAACAAAATCTTTTCATATATTTCTTATTGTTTTCTAAGTAAATAGTGGACTGATATGGTTTGGCTGTGTCCCCACCCAAATCTCATCTTGAATTGTAGTTCCCATAATCCCCACGTGTTGTGGGGAGAACCCAGTGGGAGGTAACTGAATCATGGGGATGATGGTTTTATAAGGAGCTTTTCCCCCTTTGCTCGGCTCTCACTCTCCCTCCTGCCATCCTGTCAAGAGGTGCCTTCTGCCATGATTGTAAGTTTCCTGAGGCCTCCTCAGCCTTGTGGAACTGTGAGTCAATTAAACCTCTTTTCTTTATAAATCACCAGTCTTCATAGCAGCATGAGAATGGACTAATACATAGACCTAAGGGTAGAAATATTTGTGAGGATATTGATAGATACTGCCAAATTGCTCTAAAAGAGATTATTATATTTTTGCAAAGCAAATTAAAACTATGCAACAAGAAACAAATTTTCATACCCAAATGCAGTGATTACAGGTCTGAAAATATGTCCTAGGGAAATAACCCAAAGTAGAGAAGAAGACATATATCAATGTGTTCATCACAGTGTTAAAATTACCAAAAAGTGGAACTTGCATAATTTTAGGAAATCTGAACAGTATTACTTTTGTAGGACTTAGTTATAATATGACAACCATGAAAAAGTATTTATTAATAATTACTTATAATATGGAAAATGTATACATTACAATGCTAAGTGAAAACTCGGGATAAAAAATGTCATATACAGTTTATTGTATTTTTATTACTTTTTTTATATTTTAAAAAGTGACTAAAAGACAACTCTTCCTTTGTTGTACAATTATACTTTTTTATTCAAGTTTCCTTACCATTGTCACTTTTTGTGTAAAACTTCAGTCATCTTTTCATTTTCTAATGGTGTACTCCAGTTTTTACGTTTTGCTAAGTCATGATAGAAATCACAAGAACTTTCTAACTGCAGCCTGCCTTGAAGTAAACAGCCTGAAGATTTCTGCTAATTCCAGAATGCTTTCACAGATTCTAGCCGATAGAGATAGATGTTTAGAATCAGGAATTCCGATTTGATTACTGACTTGCCCAGCTCTCTGCATCTGTTAGAAAGCAGCGCAGGGGAAGTTTTGTCTGGTCTATGATTGATCTGTGAAGCATGCAGGAAAGCACTTTCAGAGGAGAATGATCAGCTTCAGACTGAGAAAGCACTTTTCCCTCCAAATCTCAGCCTTGCTTTTCATCAGTCAATAATACATTTTAGATTTTAGTTTGTTTTTATTTTTTAAGATGGAAGAGAAAATTATTTGATGTGACATAAAATGAGCAATGTTTTGAAGGCTATTCAGCAGGAGAGCTCTAAAATTTTTGTAAGAATTGGGAGGTTGCTGTAATTATTTTTATGTTTTAAATGTTACATTCAATTTCCATATATAAGCATATAATTTCACATAAATGGTTGAATGTGATTTTTTTTCAGTAGAGTCTTTTTTTTCTTACTATTTTTACTTCCTTTATCTTCTAGCCCTCTTACCCATGTAGCCTTGGTAGGAGACCTTTCTAACTTCAGAACATGTCAAGTAGGTTAAAACACCCCTATTCGACTCAGATTTTTGGGCGGATACTGCACTTCAGATGTTAGCCAGGTTTGGAAGCTCTGTAGCAACGGATTCTCATTAGTAGTCTGCTAAACCTATACTTCGAGAAGTGTTATCTGATTTTACACAAAGAATTGAAGACCTAAAGTTGCTGGCAGGTAAACAGGTTCTTTTTTTTTTTGTGGTACTCCGGTTTAAAAATGCGGAAATAGGCCAGGTGTGGTGGCTCACACCTGTAATTCCAGCACTTTGGGAGGCCAAGGTGGGTGGATCACCTGAGGTCAGGAGTTCAGGACCAGCCTGACCAACACGGTGAAATCCTGTCTCTACTAAAAATACAAAAATTAGCTGGGCATGGTGGTGCATGCCTGTAATCCCAGCTACTCAGGAGGCTGAAGCAGGAGAATTGCTTGAACCTAGGAGGCAGAGGTTGCAGTGAGCCAAGATTACACCATTTTACCCCAGACTGGGCAACAAGAGTGAAACTGTCTCAGAATGAATGAATGAATGAATGAATGAATGAGTAGAAAATAAAAATGCAGAAATAAATGTTATGTGACTTAAAAGATCATCCTGTGGGCATTGACAGGGAAGGGCATAAGAGGACCTTTCGGGCTGATGGAGATGTTCTAGAGCTTGAACTAGTGGTGGATACATGAGCATAGAGGATTTATCAAACCCGGCCCAACTATGTGCTTAAAATAGATACAGTTTATTGTAGGTAAATTATACACAAATGAAGGTTATAAGACAAAAGCATTTCTATTCATTTACACTCTGGGTTTTGGAATTTGCTGTGAAATCCTTTCAAAAGAGCTCCAGAGTCTTGATAATAATGTCAAGGATATACCTACGCGTTTATTGTCACTACAGTCCTCATCCCTCCTCCACTGGTGGTAACGTGAGTTTCAGATGATTTATTCTGTGGAGCCACTTAAGGACTAGGAAGGGAGGGTGTAGCAAAAGTGGCTCTGCGGGTGACCAGGCGCCACTCAAGGAAATGTCAGCAGCTGTGGGCATTGCACCCTCATTCTGCTACAGAAGTGGCTCGGCTCTCTGTTCTTCCACAAACATCTTGCAGGTGGTAGCAAAACATGTAGAAAGAGGCAGTTCTTGATGTGGTATCATGGAGACAGAGTACAATTCTCTCTCAATTTCTTTTTCTCTCTCTCTTTCATTACTATATCAAATATAGGTCAGGCGGAACAATTGGTACAAGTTAATAAGACATCATTGTTTCTGATGCAAGCCAATCTCCAACTACTTGTTACCATTTTGCTTAAGGTGGTTTGGGGCTAAACTTAATTGTGCTTTTTGTTCTGTTGTTTACTTTAATCATGATAACCAATAAGTTATACTTCAAGGAATGATTTCATAGTATGTCTGCCCGAAATTCCCCTTGGTTAGAAACAGTGAAATTTAGACCATGAAAGGGGCAAAGCAGATAGTCTCATTTCCCCTAGCCTCCCAACATTTAGACTTTCATTAAACACTGTTCTCCCTGTATGTTATCAGGGAGACCCTGCCTTACATCTCAATTTTTGTTAAATGCAACAATGCCTATGTTCATGTACGCTCTTCATTTGCTATTACTAAGTCCCAGAGAGGGTCCAGTCATAATTCTGGCTTCAGCCAAAGCAAAGGAGCACAGTAGAGTCAGGGAGATCTGGTGGGGCTGGAAAATGCAGAAGGTGGAGGAAAATGTGGCAGTGAGTGAATCTGATGGGGATCTGGGATGGGAATTGTGAGAGAGGTAGGGGATCTGGGCGAGCATGTAGCTGGCATGGGAAAGCACACTATCTACCCAAATGTCTCCACCACCTCCGATGAAACCTCTAAACCATGTTTCCCAATTACTTTTTAATATTCACAACTACAGTTCACAAATGTAAAGTCTGAAAATAATGCAAATTTGTAATCTAATATTGGGTGTGTAACACTGAATCAATGAATTTTTTATGCTCATAACACAAAGAAAAACTTAATTCAAATTGGTTGTATAGAATCTATGATAGTTTATGGAGTTTAGGTTGAAGTTTTTGATAGTGTTGTCAACCCTTTTAAGAAAAGCTCTAGAGTCTCAATAATAATGTTAAGGATATACACAAAACTGAAGAAAGATACTACAGATACTCATGAGGAAAAACTTCAACCACTTTCAAGAAAGTCAGAAAAATGGATTTATGGATATCTGTCTGGTGTGTATGTATGTATGTATTTTAAATATCTCAACAAAATCCCTAGGAATTCCATTGAATAATTTTTTACTAGCCTAGTTTAAGTAATAAATAACAAAACTATATATTTAAGTAATGAAACTATTCAATAATGAAGTTTTCATTTTATCCAAATTGAGAGAAAGAGACCAACAGATATTTACATTATAACACTTAATAGATACAATAATGGCACTGACCAAATGATAAAAGCTGTAAGAAGCCAATCAATTATCCACTAAGATTCTGTTCTTTAACATTTCTCCAGGTGGCACACCCACAGTAGGAAGGACCTGGAGCTGCTACCACAGTTGGTGGGAGGGGTGGGCCAAAGGGGAAAATATTGCCCCTCTCTAGGCCTCTAACCCCTCAGGAGATCTTCCTCATCAGATTGGATACGAGTATGACTAAGATGAAGATAATTGCTTTTTAAAGGAAAATGCCAGTGAGTGCTGTCAGCAAGATGAGAAAATAAGACTTCCCAGCTCTCACCCTCTTGCAAAAACATTAATTTGAACAACTATCCATGCATGAAAATACCTCCACAAGAGCTAAGGGATCCAGGTGAGAGATGATAGCACCTGAGTGCAGCACAGAAATAAGAAGCTGCATTGAAGAGGGTAGGAAAGATAGTTTCACATTATCCTCGTCACCCTTCACCTAAGCTCACACAGTACAGTGCAAAGATACTGTCTACCTGATCCAATTTTGGTCAAAACCAAACTTTTGTCAGCTTTAGGATGACTTCAGTTTTAGGATG
This sequence comes from Homo sapiens, assembly GCF_000001405.40. Taxonomy (NCBI): domain Eukaryota; kingdom Metazoa; phylum Chordata; class Mammalia; order Primates; family Hominidae; genus Homo; species Homo sapiens. Next base: position 95,372,309 of record NC_000005.10, on the reverse strand, counting down.
ACACAAAATGTGAGAGACAGAGCAAAAGATGAAAATAATACAGGATCCTGGGTGACTTTATTGAGCTACTAAGTCAAACATTTCTTGAAAACTTTATTACTTTAGACTTTCAAGTTTTATAAAACAATATATAATCCCTTTATTGTATAAATCAGCTGGAATAGGATTGTCTGTTACTTGCAATAGAAATATCCAAACTGATATGTTTTTAAAAAAGAGTATTATTACCACATATATCGGTCATACTCTTTAGCTCTTAGGTATAAACATAAGTAAATGACATGATTATTTTAAAAAACTTTGGATAAGCAAATCAAAGTTGTAAGACAGACCACTGACTTAGTAGTATTTTATTTGTGAGATAGATACTGAATCACTTGATGTAGAATAGTTTTTAATGTTTTTAATATCTTTTTGAAAGGGATTTGAACATTAAAAAATATAAAAATTTTACCTTGCCTTGGCAACATGTTTAGATCTCAACACCAAATTTATGTTTCTCTCTCTCTCTCTATATATAATATATATATACATACACACACGTATATATACATGTGCGTATATATACATGTATATATACAGAATATATATATGTGTGTATATATACATGTATATATACAGAATATATATATATAATCATAGTTTTAAAATACATATTGATAAAACATGATCAATCTAGTCTGGGATAAACTTAAATTAACTTCTCTGTTTGCAAAAAGCAAAATTATTTTAGATTATTTCTAATTGCTAATGAACCTGTGGTGCTTAAGGGTATTAGGGTTTTCTAGAGGGACAGGACTAATAGGATATATGTATATATAAAGGGGAGTTTGTTAAGGAATATTGACTCACATGATCACAAGGTAAAGTCCTACAATAGGCTGTCTGCACGCTGAGGCTGTCTGCACGCTGAGGCTGTCTGCACGCTGAGGAGCAAGGAGGTCAGTCCAAGTCCCAAAACCTCAAAAGTAGGGAAACTGACAGTGTATCCTTCAGTCTGAGACAGAAGGCCCAAGAGCCCCTGGCAAATTCCTGGTGTAGATCCAAGAGTCCAAAATCGGAAGAACTTACAGTCTGATGTTCGAGGGCAGGAAGCATCCAGCACAGGAGAAAGATGTAGGCCAGAAGACTAAACCAGTCTAATCCTTCCACGTTATTCTGCCTGCTTTTATTCTAGCTGCACTGGCAGCTGATTAGATGGTGCCCACCCAGATTGGGGGTGGGTCTGCCTCTCCTAGTCCACTGACTCAAATGTTAATCTCCTTTGGCAACACCCTCACAGACACACCCAGGAACAATACTTTGCATCCCTCATTCCAATGAAGTTGACAATATTAACCATCAGAGATGTGGAACAATTTCTCCAAAGTACAAACTTAAGCTTTTTTTCCTCCCCGTACCTTTCATAATAACTCAGGTTTTTCAAGTTTCAGGAATGAAAATATTTCAACTAACCGAAGAGTTATTAAGCTGAGAACATAGATAAAATCTTACTATTTCAAGTAGAGCAATGTAATCATAAACCACTTGAACATTAGCCAGCTTGTAATATTATTCTGTATGGCTGAAAGAGCATGCCACAAGTTGTCATGAAAGAAGAAGTTCAGAATATCAGTTCTTTTCATGTAAACTCATCTTTCTTGTCCCTTTGATGTTTTCACCTCCAAACAGGAGAAGCAGTCTTGGGAATCTGAGCCATTTTCCCTCTAGCAACTTTCATTAACCTTTAAGATTGTTTTTCTTGTTTACTGAAGAGCTGTGACTTGTCCTATTGAAATCTTGCTCTTGACTCAAGTCTCTGTTACTGCCCCTCGTCTGAGAGACTTGCTACAGCAAGAGAGAAAGAAACGGATAGAGAGAAGTTGATATAGATGTGCATTGTGTTTTCTCTACACAGTAAACATCTGTTCATAGAGCATAGCTAAGTATTTCTCTGTGTAAATGTGGAAGGGTGGGTTCAGGAAGCTGTGAGACAGCAAGATGTTTCTGGAAGGAACTGTATCAGACCAGGAGGACCTATTGGCCACATTGGTCACAAACAATAACTAGATGAAAAGAGGACCCACAGGAGTTACTGTAAGAAGATGGATGTATCAGCTCACCCTAGGGAGCATCTGACTGTGCTGCCTTATGTCACGACTGCAGGGAGATAAGGTCTTTAGGTGACTCTCCTCATTATAATGAGATACTAATAAGGCATAATGAAGGAAATAGTAAACCCAAGTGGGACGTTTGTGACCAAGACTTGGAGGGGCCTAGAGGTGGAAAGAGGAAGCTTTAGCAGGGAGCTTGGAGGTACTGAAGGGGAGGAGTCAGGAAGGGGAAGAGCCAGACTCCTCACCATGTCACTGAGTCTTAGGCTCCAGCTGGTTACTAGGACAGCTTGAGGCAAGTGCTTTCAAGCAGGAATTCACAGGAAAGGAGGTTCTGCTACTCTGACTCTGTGCTTTTACTGGAAAGACTACTGCCAAACGCTATTTGGCTGAGAACAGGCAGACCAATCCAAGTTTGTACAGGACTTTCCCAGTTTTAGCACTAAAAGTCTTGGGAAACTTTTCAGTAGTTGGCCACCCTAGAACCCTGTGGAGTTGGATTTGGGCCTGGTGCTTAGCGACCTTGCAGGAAGTGGTGCTCTCTTGGATGCCATATTACTGACCAACACAGGTCAAAGAAGAATCAGTGGAAGAAAATTTAAAAAACATAGTTTATATAGGAGATTTACTTTTCTCTGCATTTTAATTTGGGTTCCAGGTGCCCTTGATCCAGGGAAAGAGGGACAGAGTCATTACCATTGAGGTTCCAGATCATACTTCCAATCTTCCTCCAGGCTAGGTAAGGCATCAGTGATCAACAGACCTGCGTTCTGAATTCAGGGGACAGAGAAAAGATTTAGGACTATGAGGTGGAGGAGGGTGGGAGTAGATGCCTGGTTATGGAGTAGGTTTCTTCTTTCCCCCACCTCTGCCACAGCAAGAAGCTGGCTATTCATTCAATTTTACTCTTTCTCCTGATGGAAAACAAAGTGTATGCCACAGTTCTTGTTGGGAGAAGCCATTACTATTTGAAAATATGGAAGAGGGGATCAAATTATACAAAAAAAAAATCCACTGATTTCAACTAAAAATATGTGTGCATGTGATAAAAAACAGCTGGGGAAAATATATAAGATAAAATAGTGCCACGGAACAAAGAAGAGTCATATTAACCTGTAGGAGCAGTTACCTGTCCTTTGTGGAAATTAGAAAACAGAACAGTAACACTCTTTCACTCTAGAAAAGGCTGTCCAGCACGTGGGTGAGCCTCTGCTGATGTGAATATATGATGGATACAGAGCTGAAGAGCTCCTAGTGGGGTGGAGTGGGACATAGAAGAATGGGTAATTTACCTTTGAAGCCTTTGAAGCTGCTTCAGTGGCTTCAAATTATTCATTGGGATATAATACTTTTTCCTTGATGGAAGACTTCATGGTCAAATAAATTTGGAAAACACTTCCCTTAGCTCTCTTTACAGTATGTACTTTAGCATATCAAACTACTTAAATTTGTTTAGCTATTTTCAAAAACCTTATTTTATTATAAATTGGGAAACAATTATTATCATCTCAGGGATATAGTGACCTACAGAACACAGTTTCAGAAATACTGCCTCAGAAGGTTTGTTTCTAGAATAATACCAGTGAAAATCTTAGAAAAGAATGTCCTTGAAATTCTTTTAGAGGTCAATGGCATCTTCACTGGTAAATTTCCAAAATGGAACCTTCTGCAATCAGAGGTATAGGACCAGTGTCAATACCAACTGCCCAGGAAATTCGGTCCCTCCACTTAAACCCAGGTTTGACATTGGAATGCCTGCATTTTCAGAAAAGAAGCATTATCTTATTTCACTGGAGCTCTGAATCACTGAATCTTTGTGAATTCTCTTGTTAAACAAATCTTTTAAATCCAAAATCTAAAATGAGACATCTTTCAGAAATGTTGTAAACAAGGAAAGGGTTTAAAAGGCAAATATGATAATTGAAGTGGCCATTTCAAGGTCCAAGTGATAATTTAAAAAGAAGATTTATCACTTAAGACAATTGTTGAAATCCTTTCTAAAATTTAGATGGAAGAAAAAATAAAAATTATGTTGAATAAGGGCCCACTGAGAAAAGATTGCTATTTACTTGGGGAAATAGTTGAACTAGTTAAATACAAATATAATTTCCACTCAAACACTACCCTTACAATTGCAAACTTGTTGAAAGGGCAAAACATAGGAAAATTACTCTATAAATATTTTATAACTAGGGAACATTTTAGCTGAGCAGCCTAAACATAGCCTTTTAGGTTAGAGACAATCTACTCTCATTTTCATATGATGTAAATAGGTCATCCATCATTATCCGAGATAATTCTTTTGCATTTAACTAGAAAAAAGGCTTTGTTCCGATGAAACAGTAGGCACTGATTAATAATATTTAGAAACAAGATATATTTTCTTTCAAGAATTCTTCCGAAGATCTGTCTTTATTGAGTTTTCCTAAGATGTATGAATCTTTGTACAGATTTATTATATTTGACTAAAGTCTTCTTGAAAAGCAGTTTCTCTCTGAGAGTCATGAGACACAGGGAGAAGAGTAGATATGTGGGCCTTGGATGACCTTCTGTGTTCTTTCTGGAATTGTCATGTTCATACACTGAACCATGCCTGGGAAAATTTGTGAATGGTGTTTTTCTTGGGGACTTTCACACCCCCCAAGAATATTTCCCCTCCCCATTTTATAAGCTCCACAGGATCCAGCCCTTTAGTTCCCTGACTTCCCAGAGATCCTTCTTAGGTACTCCACCCTGGCCTGCTTAATAATTCACCTTTCCTATATGTCATTGAAACTTCAAATCTTACCCTCCTACCTTATTCACAAGAGCAAAACATTGGAAACAAATGTGAAACAGTAAGGAAATTTAAAAAATAGATTCTTATGAAATACTAATAAATAATTAAATGGATATTTTGATCACTAAAGAAATGTTAAGCAAAACAACTCAGACGCATGAAGACAAATGCCACATGTTCTCAGTTATAAGTGGGAGCTAAATAACATGTACACATGGATGCAGACTGTGGAATGATAGACACTGGAGACTAGGAAGGTGGTGGGGGACAGAAGGTGGGTGGATGATGATAAATTACTTAACGGGTATAATGTGCGTTGTTCTAGCAAGGGATACACTAAAAACTCTGACTCCACCACTATGCAATCTATACATGTAACTAAATTACCTTTGTACCCCATACATGCATACAAAAATATTAAGGAAAAAACAGGATATAAATTCTGTGCATTATATAATCCATATATTAAATTATTTTTAAATATATTCTACATATGTATGTATATATGTATATAAAATATGTAAATTCTATCTATTCTCCCTATACCCATGTATCTATACATACATGCACACACACTGTTTATAGCACTTATCTCTTTAATTACAGTTGATTTTTGTCTTCTTTATGTTTTATTAATTCCAATTTCCTACAATGAATGTGTATTACTTTCCTAGAAAGAAAAAATGAAAATGGTTGAAAATAATAGAACTATATTCTCTGTGGTTCATGTATTTGAATCCTTGGTTTTTGCTAGAAGAACTGAATCTATTTCTGTTCCTCCAGCAAACTGATATTATGTTAACGTCTGTCATGCAGACCTTGAATTTTGTGTCAAGAAGTCTGGAGAATAGACTTGGCTCTCTGCTGATTGGCTCTGTGACTTTGGGCAAGTTCCCTGGCCTCTCTGAGCCTCAGTTTTTTCACCAATAATAGAAGAGGTCTGGGAGGATCACGGCAGATGGGAAGCAGGACTAGACTGCAGCTCCCACTTGGACAGACAGAGCAGTGTATGGAGGTTCGCATCATGAACTTTTGCTCCAGAACGATTGCAGGAATAAATCAGGAAAGCCAAGAGAACCCACAGCGCTCTGAAGGAAGCAGATTGCTCCTGCAGGACCCAGGGGACACCCCAAATACTGTGAGTGCCCAAAGTGTGGAAGTGGGAAAGAGGGATCATCCGTCCCTGAACACACACTCTCACTGGGGAACCTGAAGGTCTAGATCATGGGAGAATATTCTGACCTTACTTGGAGCTGAATCAATCTAGAGAGCCAAGCAAAATACAGGGGTAAAGCCCTGTGGGCTCGCTGGGTCCCCCTAGCAAGCCATTCTGCCTTGCCTCACAGGGATCCTTGAGGAAAGCTGCCAGAGGCACTGGAAAAGGCCACTGCAGAAGAAAACCTCCAGCTGAAGTTTGTAACAATTTGAACCGACAGAGAAGTCTCCTGGCCAGAACTCGGGGGAGGGCATGAATCCAGTGTGCAGACTTCACAGGTAGGGGAAGCACGAAAGCCCTATTTACTTTCACAGCTGGGAGGCAGGTTGCCTGGGGCAAGTTCTCAGCCCTGCTCACCCACTGCCTGGAAATAGACTTGCTACTGTTAGGTGGGGCATGGTGGGAGTGAGACCGGCCCTTTGTGTTCCGTGGGAGCTGGGTGAGGGCTGTGACTGCTGGCTTTCCTTCACTTCCCTGACAACCCGCATGACACAGTAGAGGCAGTCATAATCCTCCTAGGAACACAGCTCCATTGACCTAGGAATCACACCCCTATCCCCAGGAGCAGCTGCAGCAAGACCTGCCCAAGGAGAGTCTGAGCTCAGACATGACTAACCCTGCCCCCACCTGATGGTCCTTCCCTACCCACCCTGGTAGCTGAAGAAAAGGGGCATATACTCGTGGGAGTTCTAGGGCCCTGCCCACTGCCCCATACTACCACAGCTGATGCTCTCTTGAAAGCGCTGCCTCCTGGCAGGAGGCCAACCAGCACAAAAATAATGCATTAAACAACCAAAGCACAGAATCCATTTCACTCCCCTGCCACTTCCACCAGAGCAGGTGCTGGTATCCCCAGCTGAGAGACCCACAGACAGTTCACATCACAGGACTCTGTGCAGACAACCCCCACTAGCCCAGAGCTTGGTAGACTTGCTGGGTGGCTAGAACCAGAAGACAGATAACAATTACTACAGCTTGGCTCTCAGGAAGCCACATCCCTAGGAAAAGAGGGAGAGTACTACATCAAGGGAACACCCTGTGGGACAAAAGAATCTGAACAACAGCCTTCAGCCCTAGACCTTCCCTCTGACAAAGCCTACCCAAATGAGAAGGAACCAGAAAACCAACTCTGGTAATAAACAAAGTTCTTTAACACCCCCGCAAAATCACACTAGCTCACCAGCAATGGATCCAAATCAAGAAGAAATCCCTGATTTATCTGAAAAAGAATTCAGGTTAGTTAATAAGCTAATCAGAGAGGCAACAGAGAAAGGTGAAGCCCAATTTAAGGAAGTCAAAAATTGATACAAGAAATGAGGGGAGAAATTTTCAATGAAATAGCATAAATAAAAAACAATAAAAACTTCAGGAAACAATGAACACATTTATAGAAATGCAAAATGCTCTAGAAAGTCTCAGCAATGGAACTGAGCAATCAGAATAAAGAATTTCAGAGCTTGAAGACAAGGTTTTCGAATTAACTCAATCCAATAAAGATAAAGAAAAAGGAATAAGAAAATATGAACAAAGCCTCCAAGAAGTCTGGGATTATGTTAAACGACCAAACCTAAGAATAATTGGCATTGCTGAGGAAGAAGAGAAATCTAAAAGTTTAGAAAATATATTTGGGGGAATAATCGAGGAAAACTTCCCCAGCCTTGCTAGAGACCTAGACATCCAAATACAAGAAGCTCAAAGAACACCTGGAAAATTCACTGCAAAAAGATCATCGCCTAGGCACGTTGTCATCAGGTTATCTAAAGTTAAGACGAAGGAAAGAATCTTAAGAGCTGTGAGGCAAAAGCACCAGGTAGCCTATAAAGGAAAACCTATCAGATTAACAGCAGATTTCTCAGCAGAAACCCTATGAGCTAGAAGGGCTTGGGGTCCTATCTTCAGCCCTTAAACAAAACAATTATCAGCCAAGAATTTTGTATTCAGCAAAACTAAGCTTCATAAATGAAGGAAAGATACAGTCATTTTCAGACAAACAAATGCTGAGAGAATTCGCCACTACCAAGCCTCCACTACAAGAACTACTAAAAGGAGCTTTAAATCTTGAAACAAATCCTGGAAACATATCAATACAGAATCTCTTTAAAGCATAAATTTCACAGGACCTATAAAATAAAATACAATTCAAACGAAACAAAACAAAATAAAAAACAAGGTATACAGGCAACAAACATGGAATAATACCTCACATCTCAATACTAATATTGAATGTAAATGGCCCAAATGCTCCACTTAAAAGATACAGAACTGCAGAATGGATAAGAATTCACCAATGAACCATGTGCTGCCTTCAAGAGACTCACCTAACACATAAGGACTCACATAAACTTAAGGTAGAGGGGTGGAAAAAGACATTCCATACAAATGGACACCAAAAGCGAGCAGGAATAGCTATTCTTACATGAGACAGAACAAACTTTAAAGCAATGGCAGTTAAAAAAGACAGAGGGACATTATATAATGATAAAATGCCTTGCTCAATAGGAAAATATCACAATCCTAAATATATATGCACCTAACACTGTAGCTCCCAAATTTATAAAGCAATTACTAATAGACCTAAGAGATAGACAGCAACACAATAATAGTGAAGGACTTCAGTGCTCCACTGACAGCACTAGACAAGTCATCAAGACAGTCAATAAAGTAACAATGGATTTAAACTATACCCTGGAACAAACGGACTTAACAGATATTTACAGAACACTCTACCTAATAACCGCAGAATATGCATTTCATTCATCAGCACATGAAACTTTCTCCAACATAGACCATATGATAGGCCACAAAACGAGCCTCAATAAATTTAAGAAAATTGAAATTATATCATGCACTCTCTTAGACCACAGTGGAATAAAACTGGAAATCAACTCCAAAAGGAACCTTCAAAACCATGCAAATACATGGAAATTTACCTGCTCCTGAATGAGCATTGGGTCAAAAATGAAATCAAGATTGAAATTAAAAAAGTCTTCAAACTGAATGATAATAGTGACACAACCTATCAAAACCTCTGGGCTACAGCAAAGGTGGTGCTGAGAGGAAAGTCCATAGCCCTAAATGCCTACATCAAAAAATCTGAAAGAGCACAAACAGACAATCTAAGGTCACACCTCAAGGAACTAGAGAAACAAGAACAAACCAAACCCAAAACCAGAAGAAGAAAGGAAATAATCAAGATCAGAGCAGAACTAAATTAAACTGAAACAAACAAACAAACAAACAAAAAATACAAAAGATAAATGAAACAAAAAGCTGGTTCTTTGAAAAGATAAATAAAATTGATAGACCATTAGCAAGCCTAACCAAGAAAAGAAGAGAGAAAATCCAAATAAGTTCAATTAGAAATGAAATGGGAGATATTACAACTGACACCACAGAAATACAAAAGATTATTCAAGGCTACTATGAACACCTTTACGTACATAAACTAGAAAACCTAGAGGAGGGGCATAAATTTCCGGAAAAATACAATCCTCCTAGCTTAAATCAGGAAGAATTAATTACCCTGGATAGACCAATAACAAGCAATGAGATTGAAATGGCAATTAAAAAATTTTCAACAAAAAAAGTCCAGGGCCAGATGGATTCACAGCAGAATTCTACAAGACATTGAAAGAAGAATTGGTACCAATCCTATTGACACCATTCCACAAGATAGAGAAGGAGGGAATCCTCCCTAAATCTTCTATGAAGCCAGTATCACCCAAATACTAAAACCAGGAAAGAACATAATCAAAAAAGAAAACTACAGACCAATATACCTGATGAACATAGATGCAAAAATCCTTAACAAAATACTAGCTAACCAAATCCAACAACATATCAAAAAGATAACCCACCATGATCAAGTGGGTTTCATAGCAGGGATGCAGGGATGGTTTAACATATGCAAGTCAATAAATGTGATACACCACATAAACAGAATTAAAAACAAAAATCTCATGGTCATCTCAATAGATGCAGAAAAAACATTTGACAAAATCCAACATCCCTTTATGATTAAAACTCTCAGCAAAATCGGCATGCAGGGGACATACCTTAATGTAATAAAAGCCATCTATGACAAACCCACAGCCAATATACTGAATGGGGAAAAGTTGAAAGCATTCTCTCTGAAAACTGGAACAAGACAAGGATGCCCATTCTCACTACTTCTCTTCAACTTAGTACTGGAAGTCCTAGCCAGAGCAATCAGAAAAGAGAAAGAAATAAAGGGCATCCAAATCGGTAAAGAGAAAGTCAAACTGTTGCTGTTTGCTGATGATATGATTGTTTATGTAGAAAACCCTAAAGACTCCAGAAAGCTCCTAGAACTGAGAAGAGAATTCAACAAAGTTTCCGGATAGAAAAATGTACACAAATCAGTGTAGCTCTTCTATACACCAACAGCAACCAAGCTGAGAATCAAATCAAGAACTCAACTACTTTTCAATAGCTGCAAAAAAATTAAAATACTTGGGAATACACCTAACCAAGGAGGTGAAAGACCTCTACAAGGAAAACAACAAAACATTGCTGAAAGAAATCATAGATGACACAAACAAATGGAAACACATCCTATGCTCATCAATGGATAGAATCAATATTGTGAAAACGACCTTACTGCCAAAAGCAATCTACAAATTCAACACAATTCCCATTAAAATACCACCAAAATTCTTCACAGAACTAGAAAAAAACAAACCTAAAATTCATATGGAACCACAAAAGAGCCCACATAGCCAAAGCAAGACTAAGCAAAAAGAACAAATCTGGAGGCATCAGATTACCTGATTTCAAACTATACTATAAGGCCATAGTCACCAAAACAGTATGGTACTGGTATAAAAATAGGCACATAGAGCAATGGAACAGTATGCATAGCCCAGAAATAAACCCAAATACTTATAACTAGTGATCTTTGACAAAGCAAACAAAAACATAAAGTGGGGAAAAGACACCTTTTTCAACAAAAGATGCTGGGATTACTGGCAAGCCACATACAGGAGAATGAAACTGGATCCTCATCTCTCACCTTATATAAAAATCAACTCAAGATGGATCAAGGACTTAATTCTAAGACCTGAAACTATAAAAATTCTAGAAGATAGCATTGGAAAAACCCTTGTAGACATTGGCTTAGGCAAGGATTTCATGACCAAGAGCTGAAAAGCAAATGCAGTAAAAACAAAGGTAAATAGCTGGGACTTAATTAAACTAAGGAGCTTTTGCACGGCAAAAGGAACAGTCACAGAGTAAACAGACAAATCACAGAGTGGGAGAAAACCTTCACAATCTATACATCTTATAAAGGACTAATATCCAGCACCTACAACAAGCTCAAACAAATTAGCAAGAAAAAGCAATCTCATCAAAAAGTGGGCTAAGGACATGAATAGACAATTCTCAAAAGAGGATATACAAATGGACAACATACATATGAAAAAGTGCTCAACATTGCTAATGATCAAGGAAATGCAAATCAAAACCACAATGCGATACCACCTTACTCCTGCAAGAATGGCCATAATAAAAAAATAATAAAAAAAATAAAAAATTACAGATGTTGGTGTGGATGAGGTGAACAGGGCCCACTTCTACACTGCTGGTGGGAATGTAAACTAGCACGACCACTATGGAAAACAGTGTGGAGATTCCTTAAAGAACTAAAAACAGAACTACCATTTGTGTATATATATATATATATACACACACACACACACTATATATACACACACACATATATGTACACACACACACAACACACACACATACACACACATATATACACATATACATACACATACATACATATATATGTATACATATATATATTCTAGAATACTACTCAGCCTAAAAAGGAATGAATTAACAACATTTGTAGTGAACTGGATGATACTGGAGACTATTATTCTCAGTAAAGTAACTTAGGAATAGAAAACCAAACATTATATGTTCTCATTCATAAGTGGGAGCTAAGCTATGAGGATGCAAAGGCATAAGAATGACACAATGGACTTTGGGGACTCAGGGGTAAAAGGTGGGAAGGGAGTGGGGGATAAAAGACTACAAATTGTGTGCAGTGTATACTGCTTAGGTGATGGATGCACCATAATCTCACAAATCACCACTAAATAACTTACTTATGTAACCAAACACCACTTGTTCCCCAATAACCTATGGAAATAAAAAATGGAAAAAAAGAGGTTTGGAGGAGACAACCCTTGAGGTGCCCCTCTAGGTCTGTGAGTCTGTGGCTGTAACTCCCCCTAGTAAGATATGGCTACTGGAAGAGTCTTGTGCTTTGGTCCCAAGGAATAAATTTAAATGAATAAACATTTTTGTAACATAAATGGAAGTTTTTTTGTGAGAAGTATTTGTGGCCATGTAGGCTGTCCTGGGCCCATATTTATTACTCTAGGATAATAGTTCTCAAACATATGTGTTTATCATAATCACCTGGAAGCTTGTTAGAATGCAGATGGCTGGGTTCCAACCCAAGAGTTTCTGGTTCCATGGGTCTGGGGTGGGGCTGGAGAAACAGCATTTTTACAAGTTACCAGGTGATGTTGATGGTCTGGAAGAACCTACCTAAAGAGAATATCCTGCTTAGGGAAGGACATTTCTAAAATCTGTAAGTGTTTTGGATCTCTCTCTCTCTCTCTCTCTCTCTCTCTCTCTCTCTCTCTCTCTCTCTCCTCTCCCCTCCCCTCCCCTTCCCTGCCCTCCCCTCCCCTCCCCTTCCCTTCCCTTCCCCTCCCTTCCTTCCTTCCTCCCTTTCTCTCTTCCTTCTGTCCTTCCTCCTTTCCTCCCTTCCTCCCTCCCTCCCTCCCTTCCTAGAATTCTTGGAAAAGTGTTCTGAGAGTTACTCGAGGATACCTTCAAGGATCTTTTTATTTTAAAATAAATGTATTTGAAAACATTATTCCTCTGAATGCACTAAGTAGGAACAAAGGAAGGAATTAATGAGAGGCTGGGGTCTGAGGGTGGAATAGGGAAGAGAAAGTTGTTGCAGTTGACTCCAGTCTACTGCACGTAACTGTCACATAATTTCTTTGACTAATTAATTAAACAAGAAAGTGAGATGGCTTTCTCAAAGGTGCATGTTTAACCTAAACACCAGGATGGTTTCAAGATGTCACAGTTACTTGATTGGCACCTGGGTAAGCCCTCATGCCATTTCCTCTTTCTTTTTACTTGACTTACAAAATCCGTGGCAGCCTAGAGGTGTGTGCATCAGAGTCAGCAAACTCACACAGGGGTGCTGACAAGGCAGCCTCCTCTGCCTATGGAACTAGTTCCCATTCCAGAAATAAATCAGGTATTGTCACCTCCTAGATTGTTGCACACACCACTCCCTTTTCCTGGAGTGCCTAAGACTAAGCAACTTCTTTTTCTTTATTTTGTTCTGAGAGCTCTTTGTAAATCATTTTATTGTAGTACTTACCACATCTTACTGCCATTGCTCAATGATGAACTGCAAATATCTTAAGTGCAGGGATGGTCTCTGTATCTCCAGAACCTAATAGAGTATGTAGGAAGCATTTGCTATTGAAAATAGGGCCATGGATATTCATTCACAGACACAATTTTATCTTTAATATAAGTAAAATGATCAATAAACAAGACCACAACTCAAGAGCGAGCAAAGTGTGAGAGATCAAATACCCTTGTAACTATCTTCCTGTTCAAATGAAGCATAACCATAAACTTCCTCTGGTCCCCAGGCACTCTCAGCTCTCAGCCTCTCACAGTCTCTCTCTGCTCCAGTATCTGCCAGTGCTTTTGTGGAAATTGCAGGAATCTGCCTTGGCTTTCTAATCTAACTTTTCCCCAGACATCTCCGAAGGGGATTCCCTTTTTTGCTTCTTTTCTTAGAGACAAAACAGAGCCCTGATATTTTAAATGAATGAAATGCAGTATAATGTAATTAATGCTTAGAAAGAAGCTTGGATGTATTTGATGGTATTTTCAATTGTATTCTTGCTTTTAAAAGAAGGAGGTATTTCTCTCCATTTATCTATCTAGCTATTTAAACTAGCTATCTATTATATATTCGTTTGTATGGATAGAACCGTGTCTAAAATGACATTTATCTCCTTTTAATCATGGATATTTTAGATGGTAGAATTCAAGTATTTATTTAGATGCTGTTCTTTATCCAGGTCAGCATTGGTACTTAATTAGTGAGCATGCATTATTTTTATAATTGCTATTCCAAAATAATTAAAGAACCTACTGCTTCTGTAAATATTTAGAAGACTCCATGCCTCATCTAATGTCAAACTATGGATTTATCTGCCCTGTTATTTAGAGGGCCCCAAACACAAAGATGCATAGTCTTGAATTACCAAACTTCAGAATGGAAAGATGTCTTGTATTTATTTATAGCAGTTTTGACTTTTGAAATGCTGCTGAGCTGAACTTGGGTGCCTTTTTAATCTGCAGTACACATGGGGAATGAATCTGACACTATTTACCAGGTAGATTAAAGAGAGGGATATGTCAGGCAGCCAAGGTGGCTTGTGTTTAGAATGAGTCAAAGCAATGGTGTTCATCAAGCTCTCTCCCCAAAAGGTATGTAGCTTCAGAGACTAAAACATAGTGTACAAGGTGGTCATGAAGTGATTGTTCTCCAGATGTGATATTATGGAGGGTTGTTGTCTTAAACGTAGTTGGTAAAGGATCTTTTTTATCTTGCAGACTTTATGGGGTTTTGGTGCTGCTATGAGCTAGCTATTAGTTCTTGCTGGGAACCGAAAGTTAAAATGGAAGTTTTGGCTGAATCCTTGGGTGATAAGTATCACATCAAAATATGAGCTGTGAGAGCATCCTATAGGAATTTCCAAGCAAATACCCCAAAAGTAGTTATATGATTCAGACACCTCTCTATTACCTCAAGGATAAAGAAGGTCAGTTGTTGGAGATCAGGGAGAATTTGTGAAAAGGATTTCATCGGACACCTAGTCCTCAAGGAGGAAAGGTTTATATGTGTGTGGGTACTTCCCTTGCAGGCCGAGTCAAGAGAGAGGGGCTTTGATGGGATCTGTTGGAGAATATGACATGTGTCCCCTTAAGTTAGGAGGACACACTGAACTGGTGTCTGACTCCTTCCTAGGAAATATTCAGGGTGAGAGATGGGCTGAGGACCTGCTGTGGTCTCACTGAGCCTGTAGGATGGAGTAAAAGACATACATTAGAATGACAGGGAATGAAGGTGGTCTGGGGACAGAGCTCTTCGTCTCCCTTTGGGATAGTGGCAGAATGCACCTACCGCAGAAAGTGAAGTCTCAGAGAAAATAACCCTTTGACTTAGTTATGGCCCAGGGACAATAGCTACCCTTGTACTGAGATTAAATCTATGCAATGGCTTGCTCCAAAAGGATGACAGGTCAAAGGCGGGATAAGAAAACATGTCAGTGGAGTCACTAGTTTATAAGCCATGTTAAGATATACTTGGGATAGAAACCATAAAAACCCTAGAAGAAATCCTAGGCAATACCATTCAGGACATAGGCATGGGCAAGGACTTCATGAGTAAAACACCAAAAGCAATGGCAAGAAAAGCCGAAATTGACAAATGGGATCTAATTAAATTAAAGAGCTTCTGCACAGCAAAAGAAACTACCCTCAGAGTGAACAAGGCAACCTACAGAATGGGAGAAAATTTTTACAATCTACCCATCTGACAAAGGGCTAATATCCAGAATCTACAAAGAACTTAAACAAATTTACAAGAAAAAATCAAACAACCCCATCAAAAAGTAGGCGAAGGATATGAACAGACACTTTTTGAAAAAAGACATTTATGCAGCCAACAGACACATGAAAAAATGCTCATCATCACTGGCCATCAGACAAATGCAAATCAAAACCACAATGAGATACCATCTCAAACCAGTTAGAATGGCAATCATTAAAAAGTCAGGAAACAACAGGAGGATGTGGAGAAATAAGAACACTTTTACACTGTTGGTGGGACTGTAAACTAGTTCAACCATTGTGGAAGACACTATGGCGATTCCTCAAGGATCTAGAACTAGAAATACCATTTAACCCAGCCATCCCATTACTGGGTATATACCCAAAGGATTGCACATCATGATGCTATAAAGACATATGCACACGTATGTTTATTGAGGCACTATTCACAATAGCAAAGACTTGGAACCAACCCAAATGTCCATCAATGATAGACTGGATTAAGAAAATGTGGCACATATACACCATGGAATAGTATGCAGCCATAAAAAAGGATGAGTTCATGTCCTTTGTAGGGACATGGATGAAGCTGGAAACCATCATTCTCAGCAAACTATTGCAAGGACAAAAACCAAACACCACATGTTCTCACTCATAGGTGGGAATTGAACAATGAGAACACTGACACAGGATGGGGAACATCACACACCGGGGACTGTTGTGGGGTGGGGGAAGGGGAGAGGGATAGCATTAGGAGATACCTAACGTAAATGACCAGTTAATGGGTGCGGCACACCAACATGGCACATGTATACGCATGTAACAAACCTACACGTTGTGCACACGTACCCTAGAACTTAAAAGTATAATAAAAATAAATAAAAAGAAAATACTATGTTTGTCAGAGTTGTTTAAAAGTAAGAATATGATATTCTCAGCAACAATAAAAGGAAAGAATGAAAAAAAAAGATATACTTGGGATAAGTCAGAATTATGGCACCAGTTACTTTGGGTTTCCATATGCAACCTCTTACATAATTCCTGAAACATTAATTGGTCCCATACCTGCTGAAGAAATCATTACCCTCAAGTGGAAATTAACAACAATTACAACATGAAACCAAGCAACCAATGAACAAAAACTGCTTGCTGGTAGTTCACACATCACTAAATATTGAACAAACTTAAGGAGTATCACTTAGGGCACTAGATGATTAGTTTGACCTGGGACACCCACATGTTATGGTTTAGCCTTGTACTTGGGATTTTGGTGACTCATAGCTTGGTCCTAAGGTCATTCCTTCACTCTTTAGCACAGGTCTTGCCCCTAACACCATATCCCACACTATCTGCTTCACAGAGAAAACACAAGATTGGGGCATTTTGAGAATAAACCTGTAAAATCAGGAAATTATAAGCCTGATTTTATTTAAATCAACTTTAGTTAAAGAGTATAACTAAAGTTCACAGATTATCAGTTCCAAATAGCAATTGTTCATAAAGAACCAGGAAAGAATGGGAGTCTGTTGACGCTTGAGATTTGTGAGGATAAGTCTTGAATGGGCCATTACATCTTAGATAAATAAGATAAGGTGACAAATATTATCATAATGGTTACTATAAAATGATAGTTGAAGATAAACTTATTCTGTGTCTTGTCATCATAAAATTGAATATTGTCTCTGTTTACTATGGAGGACATTCAGCTTTCTTAAAATATTGAGATGCTGATTTGAGTAATTTCAAGGAATGTTGACTTGTAAGTTCCAGACTAGACTAGACTATGATATGTATAGAAACCCAATTTATTAGAGTATTTGTTGCAGAAAACTATGTTTTTACTTACATTTGTAAACTATGTTTTTCATGAGAGGTTGATTTACCATAGAAGGTTAAGTGTTGGTGATTATTAACTAATGGTATGACTAATGTAGCTCAGATTAACTCAGTAAGAAAAGAAGGACTGTGGATTTTTTAAAATTAGGAGCATACCTAAATGCATAACTATAACTCTTCTTTATGATATTTATTTACAATTAAAATAGAGAATCTAACATATTAACTTGGAAACACTAAGAAAATTTTGAATTCTTTTCTGTATCTTACAGTAACTTTTACCCCTGTCTAACCAACCAAGTCTACCTCCAGGGTAGAGGTTGTAACAAGATCTGACCCTGAAATCCAGACAATTTCCTTGACTCATTTTTGCTTCTCCACTTGTCTATTATTCAGAATTTTTGTTACAATTTATCAATAATTTAATTCTAAATGACTCAAGCAAAAGAGTTTAACTCACACAACTGTAAGGTCTAGGCAATATGTTAGGCAAGATCCAGTATCGCTGGGATTGGCTGTCTCAATCCCAGCTCTGCTTCCTCATGTTGGCTTTGTTCTCAGGCAACTTCTTCCCTCAGTATGGTCTGATGGCCACTAGCAGCTCGTGCTTCCATTTGAACAACTTAGTGGGAAAAGAATTCTTTCTTAACTCTTCCAATAAAAGCCCTGGAACTGATGGCTATTGGTTCTGATTGGCCTAGTCTGGGTCCACCCCAAACCAATCACTATTTTAGAGAGATGCAACACTCCAGTTGGCAAGGTCAGGGTCACAGCTCCCCTCCCTGTGAACAAGAGGAGGACCTGCCTATTAGATAGACCTAGAGAGCAGTGTGAAGGGGATGTTTCGAGTAAGAAACAGGTCTCTCTGGTTTATGTACAGCCTTGTCAGGCCTGGCTTGCTGTTCTTCCTTCTTTCCTGACAAACTGGTGGAGTTTGTCAGTGTGCACACACTGTGCCCTCACACTATGCCTGGCCCCTATCTGCTCATCTCTAAGCCCTCATAACCTTAGCCCCGCATTAGAAGCTACATGGGACACTTTAACTTTAAAAGTTAATGGTACCCAGGCCCACCTGAGAGATTGTAATTCAATTGGTCTACAGTAGAGCCCTCTTGGCTGGGTTTTGCAAAAGCTTCCTAGGTGATTTTAATGAGCAGGGTTGAGAACAGCTTCCTCAAGCTAAACTTGATGCTGGCAAGAACTTGTCCACCATTCACACCGAGGAAAATAGCTGTCCTAGAAATTTAACCAGACCCAATCCTTCAGCTGAAGGAATGAAGCACGAATGGTGACATTACAGTTATATACCAGGACAGAGAAAATATTTGGAGAAACATAGGCCCTTCTTATTACTCTTGAAATGATACCAGAAGCTGTCCCTTATTTTGTCCTTGCATATAGTTTACCCAGTCTATAATTAACCTGGCCAAGATGAGTTATCAAATAGATGTTGTTCATTGATTTTTAGAATGAGAGATGTTTAAAAGTGCAGGCTTTGTGTGTGTGTCTGTGTTTCCTCCACCAAAAAAAAAAAAAAAAAAAAAAAGATTCACTTAAAGAGGAATAAATCTTATGTATCCTTGCTTTTTTATACTGATTCTTTTTTCATTTTCTATCCCAGGATTGAATTGTCATTGCTTGGCTCTCAAGAACCACGTTGTGTATTTTCTGCTGCATGAATCATTATAAACAACAGCTTTGGGAAGGCATTCTAGGGCCAGTAATTACACTGATGAAACAGAAAGACTGTATTCCAAGTGAGGTTAATTTTAGCAGAAGTCAGATAAAAATGTTGTCAACTAACAGCAAACATGCCGGCAATGGAGCCAAAAGCACTGGTAGCAGAATCTGCTTGTTTGGGCTGAGCAATTTCCAGGGTCACCACAGAGAGCCAGACCGGACCTCCTGGTAGCCCCAAGTTGCTTAAAAGTTTGAAGTAGACATAATTAGCTGATTATGTAATAATCCTGAGAAATTACAAATGGAAAGTTTTCTAAATTAGAAATGTAACCAAGGGTATATAATTCTGACCATTTTAAGTTATGGGTGTGAGGTGGGGTTGCGGGGTGGGTGGTGAGGCTCATAGATCTCTGTAGTTGAGAACTGATCCAAACTTAAAACATTTATTTCTCCATGGAATAAGCTATTCTGGGAAGAAAATCCCTGAATAGAGAAAAAGAATGTTGCATCTTATTAGGAAAGACATTTAGATGTCTTTTTTTAAACATCCATGCTTAAACTTTGTTAAACATTATGTTTTCTGCAAGGAATACAGTTTCTTTAAGAAATCACATAGGCTCCTTGTAGCCAGTATCTGTCTCAGTTCAGCTTACGGAAATGAGTTACTGGATAATCAAGCAAATGAGTCTTTCCAGAAAAGAAAAAATTAAGGCTAAAAATGCAAAGGCAATTGGTGAAGAAGTCTGCCACTGAAGAGAATTTTGGCATAAGGAGTTCAAAGCATGACTTAAAAAAAGCCTTCAACAAACTCAGAGATTGCCTTTGGAGGATACAAGAATACCAACTCATTTTAAATATAATAAATACATGGAAAGAATCAAGCATCTACCTTAATTTTCCTGTAAGAACTATAACTGAGGGTAAGCAAGTACTAGATAAAGAGTAGTTCTTCCTTAGAAAATGTTTTATCTAATGAGGAAGGAATGTTAGAATCAGGAGATCACCATTTTACAACCCTTAGTGAATTAACGGATCTGTGAACTGACCATCAACAGCTCCTGACGTGACATTTAAAAAATGCAAACAGAAATCATGTGCCTCCTAATGGATGTATACAGCACCACCAATCAAGTAGTCTTGCCAACAAAGAAAGAAAAATATCTTTATCTATCCATCATCTGTATATTTATCTCTATCTATTAATCCATCCTATTATCTAGCTACCCACCTATCTGTCCATCCATCTATCCATCCATCCATTCATCCATCATCCTATCAATCTATTATTTAGCTAGCTAGCTAGCTATCAAACTTCAATGTGATCAAACCTCTAAATATTACTATCAACTTATAGGAAATAAAAGAGACAGGGGAACAAGCTGTTCAAAGACACCTTGAGGATGCAAACAGCAGAAGTTAGAAAGATGGAAACTCCATAAGACAAACAACTTGGTATCTTCAGTAATAAAATCATAAGGAAAAAATATTAGCTATAGTAGAAACCTGTAGATTATTAGAGGCATAAGAATAATATTAACTAACTATGTTCCTTGGTTGAATCCTAGTTTTAACAAAAAAAAACTTAAAAAAAATTTATAAGCCAATTGTAAAAATATGAGCACAAAATGAATATTTGATAATATTAAATAATTATTGTTACTTATTAAAAGTAAAGTTTATATTTTAGATATATAGTGAAATATTTACAAATGAAATACTCGAATACTTAGGAGCTACCTCAAAGTAATCTGATGTGAGTGGGGAAGTGGTAAGGAGTTTAGAAGAAACGAAAAATTATATTAAAACATTTGAAGCTTTGTGATGGTTACATGGGGACTCATGATAGATTAAAGATACATTCGTCTGCTTTAATATGTGTGATGAGGAATCCAACTTCATTTTTTGACGTTTGACTGCTGAAAGCTTTTAAGCCTCACCCTTCCCTCATCCCCTTGGACCTCACATCTGGGCAAACTGATAAGAAAGCCTGGTGTTCCCTTCCTTGTCACAGATGGGAGAGCCAAATCTTGCAGGCCCCTTCCCAAACAGGCAAACCCTCCTCGTCTCCCCACCCAGGCCAATCTCCTTTCCTGGCTTCACCAAGCCATTTCAAACCTGCTTTAGAGGCCTGCCCTGCTCTCCCCAGACAACTCAATTATGTAGCCAGTTGGTCAAACATGTGGGTGGCCAGGGGACCCCCACTTGCAGCTGGTGTCTGAAGTAGTGGCAGTCTTGTTGGAGATGCTGCTTTTTAACTTGTGTGGTCTGCACTAAATCTGAGTGGCTAAGATCAGAATTCTGCTGCAGTCCACAGTATACTAGTTGGTGTCAGATAACTCTTCATTTACTCCTCTCTCAGAAACATCTAGGAGGAAGTCATAAAACCCATCTTCTTTTCTAAATATACCTCATTGAGCCACTGGGATGTCTCCTTTATACAAAAATAGGAAGGTTTGGGTAGATTGAAAATCACAAAAGCAATTAAATGATTCTAGAAAGCAAGCTGTATCTGAGGAAACAAGAGGCAATTTCTCAGCTATGAGAGAAAACTATTACACTGACTCCACTCAAGCGCAGATTACTCTTGTTGGGCCCTGCTTTCTTTCTGACAAGCCTAGAGCTATTTTCTGAAAGCACTAAAGACTTCAATGTTAAAAATAACTTCAAGCTGAAGACAGAGGAACATAAATTAATCCATTCATGCAACATATATATTTATTGAATGTCTACATATGCCAGGCATAGTTCTAGACTCTGGGCATCTATGGCCAAAGTAGACACAGTCTCTGCCCTTATAGAGCTTAGAGTCTAAAAAGGGCTTGGATGGGGGAGATAGACCAGAAAAGTAAGCAAATAAATAAATTAATGTTTAAAACTGTGATAAGTGCTTTAAAGACAAATTTAAAAGTTAGCTGGAGGAGAATAGCTGGAAATGATGATCTCAGTGTTGATGGGCAGCTATGTGAAGAGCAGAAATGAAAGTGGGTGTAGGTCTCCCAGGTGTAAAACCCAGGCATTGCACAGGGTCCTGTGCTTAGCAGAGTTTCATGCTTGCTGTAAAGCTCAACTGGCACCATCTTGAAATTCTTAATAATGAAAAAGAACATCCACATTTCAATTTTGCACTGAGACCTGCAAAGTATGTAGCTAGTCCTGTGGAAAAGCATTACAATTAGAAAGAATAGAATTTGCTCAGACTGAGACAAGGAAGAATTGGTTGTATGAGAAAAGTTGAAAGACAGCCAAGAAGGTTGAGGGGAAAGAGTGAGGAGTTGAGTGGCAGGAGGTGAGGCCAGAGGGAGGCAGAAGCTCTGACAGTTGTGGGAGTGTCCTCTCTGCTGTGGCCATAAACTCAAATGAGTCCAGTGGCACCTTTTTAGTCTATTTTCATGCTGCTGGTAAAGACATACCTGAGACTGAGCAATCTACAAAAGAAAGAGGTTTAATTGGACTTACAATTCCATGTGGCTGGGGAAGCCTCACAATCATGGTGGAAGGCAAGAAGGAGCAAGTCACATCTTACATGGATGGCAGCAGGCAAAGGGAGAGCTTGTGCAGAAAGACTCCCATTTTTAAAACTGTCAGATCTTGTGAGACTTATTCACTATCGGGACAACAGCACAGGAAAGGCTTGCTCTCATGATTGGCTTGCTCTCATGATTCAGTTACCTCCCACCAGGTCCCTCCCACAACACATGGGAATTCAAGATGAGATTTTGGTGGGGACACAGCCAAACCATATCAGGCACAAAGACCACGCCCTCCTGGGGAGCTCTTTCTGACAATCCATCCCTAAACTGGGGCTGAAGCCTTATGGCACAGGCCAATAAGAGACAATAAGCAGCTGGAAGAGAGCCAGCTGACTGGAGGCTTCCTGTTGGTGTTCTCATCTGGAGGCAGAGGGAAGTTGGATCTGGAGGTAGGGACCAATGGGGCCATTGCTGGGATGATGGGGCTTCTGTCAACCATCATCAGGGATCCAGGAAGGTAGAAGCACCAAGTAGAGGAATCTTCAAACACCTGGGAGTTATTTTTCTCTATATTCTCACTTTAAAGTAATATCTCAAATCCTGTATTCTTTCTTCGAAGAAAATCTGGCATTTAAAATAAAGTCTATTTTGATTTGATGAAACAAAGTCAATTTATAAATCTAGTTGGCTGTTACTAAGTTATGAATAACAAATAACGCCAACAAGTGGTGAGTAAAACTTAAATCATTAATAAATTTCAGGTATTTTCTGCTATGCGTAAGGTAGGACATTCTAGACTTTTTTATTGTGTGAGACAAGCAGCTATTTTTATTTCTCTCAAACCTTGAGATCACTAGATACTCAGGAGACAGGGGTTTAACAGAGCTATCTTCAAATTGATTGGAGACAGGAAATTGCTACCAGCTATTTTCTCTGCCATCTGAAAATCCAGGAGACCTTAGGAGAGAAGGCATAGTGCAGTACAAAGGTCATGTTGGAACCGTTATTTAAAGTGTCTAAAATGTCTACATCTTTTCCTCACCAGTGGGGGCCCTTAGGCCAACAGGTCCTCCTGACCAGGTCATAGTCTCAGACAATGGTGCCAGGGTGGGATGTAGTGATTGAACTGGTACAAGATGGCCTTGGTAGGTAGCTGACTTTATAGACCCTCGATACCCGCCATATCTGTTTGGGGATGAGAAGATGCTTAGCAGGTAGGTCTTCCTCTACTCACCTGAGGAATGAAGCTTATGAATTAGAATAAAGAAAGCGGTATCTGCAGTTGTTGAACACCTATGATGTGCCACACACTTTAAGTGCATTCTCTCACTTAATTCTCACAACAAATCAAATAAGCAGTTCTTCTACAGTTGCTAAAAGTGAAGCTTGAAGCAGTTATGTAAATTACCTAAGGACCGGGGTCTTAATGACCACGAGTGGAACCCTGGAATTTGTGCTTAAAGTCTCCCTGAAGTCAAAGTCCATTCTCCCAATGTTTACCCTATTCCTCCCCAAGGAAGCCTCTTCTCCCGTTTGCCACAGAACTGGAGCAGAGCTGGGTCTGCAGTCAGCATTGTGTCCTTTTCAGACTGACTGATTCCTGATTGGCCCAGTGCTTGCAAGAAACAGATGGAACAGACACTAGGATGCTGCTATGCTCAAAAGAGACAATCAAGCCCTGCTCCATAAGACTTTTCTACATGACATCTTGTTAGATAGTTTGAAATGTTACTGAAATCAGGGCACTAAAAAGCAAACAGCACAGCTTGGTTCACTGGACGTAGGCTGAGATTGGTTGTTATGTTAAAACTGAGAGATTCATTGTTATTATGTTTTTAAGATACTGCCCAGTTCAGCACAGTGGGTTTTGCTTTAAATACCAGATGGCTCTGAATATCCAGCCAGATTCTCTCAGGGTATAAGAAATTTCTTGGCAGTAAACTGGGCATTTGGGGAGGTGTATTAACTCTTTCTGACTTATGTTGACTATTGAAGTGCATCTTTAGTGTTCTCAAAGTGTTAAAGAGACTCATTCAGAGAACTAAAAACTACCTAATGCATATGAAAAACAAGACATTATTAAAGAGAAATTACTACCAACAAACTAAAAATGACGCATTAGATATAAGCAATACTGTCTCTAAATTGAGTTTAACTATGACCACTGAGATGAGTGAAAAGAATGATCTAGCCACCTGGCCTCCTTTCCCCCTGAATTGGTGAACCCTTTCCAGCCTTGGGACCTTTGCACATGTGTTCCCTCTGCCTGGAGGGCTTTCCCAACCCAGCTCCATAGTGTGATTGTCTTTTTCTTATCCTCTTGGCCTCAGCTTAGACATTACATCCTCAGAGGGCACTTCCTTAGCAGTTCTCTGCCACTTTGCACCAAGTTTATTCCTTTAGCAGCATTTCTCACAACGTGGCATTTTTTTTGGTCGTCTATGTGTTTATTTCCTACCTCCTCCTCTGGAATATAATCTCCATGAGGGAAGGATCTAGCATGTTTGCTTTAGTGATGTGTCCCCAGCTCCTAGATCACAATGCCTGGCACTTTCAGAGAATCAATAAGTATTTGTTAAAAGAATTCATGATTAACTATCCCTTGACATTTGACAATAATTTTGAATGCCAAATTTCTCTAGTAAAAACAAAATCTAAATTTTGTCTTTATAACTGATCTTCCTCTTAATAATTATGAATACCTTATTCCCAAAACAGAAGTTGATACACATGTAATACATTAGAAATAGCAAGCAGATGTATGGGACTATGCATTTTTTCCCTCTTTTTGAAGGAAAAAAAAATGATAGTACACTCTTACATGGAGATTCAGAGCGCAGATAGTCTTGAAGCAATCAAGGTATTGACTGGCCTTCACGTTTGCCTGGGAGAGAAAAGTATGAGCAGAAAGATCAGAAACAAACTTAACCTATTACTATGTTGAGAATTCATATTGAAGGACTTTTGACTGAATTAATAATAGCAGAGAGGAAAAAGAAAAATAGACTGACAAACATGATGAAACAAAGAGTAATACTGTGGTTTTTATCTAAACTAGGTTTGAAAATTCTTCATTGTCTAATTATTTCTAGAAGATGTATGCTGGGTTACATTTTATGAGACTTTAGCTAGATTGTTAGAAACAGGAAAATAAATGTATCATTCTGGTATAATTAGAAAAAAAGAGACAAAAATGATGGCACAAGACTTTCAAAGGATTTGGAGAGATAATATGTTCTATAGGACTTGGATTGAAAGCCTAAAACTTTGTACTAAGCTGGGTAAAGTAAAAGCATATTTAATTACCTAAAACCACCAGTTAGGGAGGAAGGGCACTAATTTCAGGCGGGAAAAAATTATGTGGCCTTGATAATACTAAGTACTAGATGTCTTTATTGTAAGTCTTTTCTCACAGATGGAATGATACTAATTGCATATGAAAATATTATGATATATGGAGAAACTGAGTTTTTAATTATCCCAAATTTATATCATTTTTTCTCATGCTCCTAATAAAAAACAAAGCTCACATTTTAAATTAATAAGCCTGCCTAACCCCCAGAATTTGGCATCTGCATCTATCTTGGTATGGATGAGAATACATTTTATTTGCAATATGTTGCTTGTTTGATTATTATTCATTTTCCTTTTGATTGTCAAAGTGCTTCACTGCAAACCAATTCCTCTCTCACACTTTTAAAATCCCACTGCAAGGCTGGGCAGAATCCTTATTTAGCCTTCTACCACATTATGGCACCTAACCTATGGCATTACCCTAGGCTACTATGATGTTCCCCACTACTTTGGCCTCATGGAGCTCATTCTCCTTTCTTTGGGTAACAGAACTCTCATATTTTCCTTGGGGACCCAGCTGTGACTGTGACCCCAACCTGGCCACATGGCACATCCTGCCCTCCTGGCTGCAAGGTTTGGTTGGGGCTAGGCACTTGATACAAGTTGATCCAATCAGAACTGATCCTGGGACTTTTACAGGAGCCAAAGGAAGAAGGCTTTTCCTCCCCTGGATTTTCAGCTATGACCATGTTAACTTGGAGAAAGGAAGCCCACCATAAGGATTGAGCTTGCTGGAAATAAAGCCACACAGAGGGTGATGGCATAGCCCTCAGATGGAGAGAGGCTCCTACCTGACAACTGTTCTGAGCAGGTGGATTCAGCTTGTGACTTGCCCTCTGATTGGATGGAGAGTCGTCCATCCTAGAGGTTCATTGTTAGTTCGTGGGCCAATGACTGTCTATTATAAAGTTATCGCTCATTCATGGTGAAAAGAGAAAAATCAGATTAAGGCCAAGAGTTTTCAAAGAAGTTAGCTTTTCAAGTTGAAGAACTGCTCCTGTTTCTAAGACTGTAGACTTTGTACATCTTTTAATGTTAAATAGTCCTTCATTTGTGATAGTAGATGGTATTTTTTTTAATGTCCATATTTGGAATATAAGTATGTGATGACAGCTGCTGTAACACCAGATATTAATAGATTAACCCAATAAATTAATGTCTTCCTCAAGTAAAATCTGAATATAGGGACTATCCCCCAGTTCACTCAGGGACCTGAGTTGGCTTCCATATTGTGGGTCTGCCCTTACCCATATTCCCCAAGGTCTCATCTGTCCAGCTGGCAATGTAGGAAGAGAAGGAAGATTGCTAGAGGGAAATTTTTATTGGTCAAGCCTGGAAATGTGATATACAATTACTGCTATTCCTATTCCTTTGCTAGAACTCACCACGTGGCCAAACCTAACAGCAAATAAGGCTGGGAATTACAGTTTAGCTGTCCGCGCAGGAGGAAGAGGAAGCAGGATTAGTGACAACTTAGCCAATCCCTCCCACATTTGGCAAAATTAAGTTTCAAGCCTTCTGTTATATATCTTCTTTTGTTCTTTGAAAGTTTAGTAGTCTACAAAATCCAAAAAAACCTGGTAACTACTGATCTAACTTCAATTCCTTTATTCCATAAATGAGAAAACTTAATTCTGAAAGGTAAAATAATCTGCCTAAGATAGCACAGCTGTAAGATGACACATCTGTACTTAAATGAACCAAAGCCAGGATGGACAGCTTCCATTAAGCCAGGGTTACCCAAACTTCAGTCATTCAAGTCATTCCTTTGTTATCAGTTTAACTGCACCACCCCTACAAAAGATATGTTGAAGTCCCCCAGTATTTCAGAAATGTGACCTTATGTGGAAATAGAGTTCTTGCAAGAGTAATACAATTAAAATGAGGTCATTAGGGTGGGCTGTGATCCATTATGACTGGTGTCTTAATAAAAAGGGGGAATTTGGACACAGACACACAAAGAGGAATATGACATGAAGACATAGACAGAACATTATTTACAAGCCAGGCATGTCTGAGGCTACCAGAAACTAGGAGACCTGGAACAGATTCTCCCTCACAGGCCTCAGAAGGAATCACCCTGCTGGCACCTTGATTTCAGGCTTCCCAGCTTCCAGAACTATGAGCCAACAAATTTCTGTTGTCCAAGCCACTTGGTTTGTGGCATTTTGTTATGGTGGCCCTAAGCAACTAACACAACCTTCATGATTTTTGCCATATTTGTGAACCTCTTGTGGTTATAAATTATGAGTTACAGGGTTTTGTTCTAAGATGACTCACCATTCAAATTTAAATAAATTTACTACCCTGAGTCCCTTGGCATACAGCTGGGCCTGTCTACATCTTCATACCCCCATGTCTTCTGCATGGGTTGAGAGCCCTCAGTTGGCCTCTTTCCGAGGCAGTTGGGTAGGAGCTGCGAGGGACCTCCAGTAATAAGAGAAATGCAGTATGGTGGTTGTTCTAATCGTGAGATGGTTTTGTTGCTGCACTCCATCAGAATGTCCTTGGTCTCTGAACTTACTTGGGTGCTGACAGCCCTGCGTGCTGTCTGAGCTAGAGATCACTGCAGAAGGCAGGAGCTGGGGAACGGGATTCCTTATTCCTCCCTGTTTGAGATAAGTCTAGCCTCTCCTCACCTGTGTGGTTTTCGACTGTTAAAATCTAAAATGATTGTCCTTGTATTAACTGAAATCATATTACATGGTCCACACTTTGGGAAATATTGCCCCAAGCTGACAGCTCTGGCTGCCTTTACTCATACTGACTCTTGTACCTGAGGTGTCCTCACCTCTTTATTCTGTTATCCAAATATTTTAATGCCCAATAATACCTCTTCCTTCATGAAACCTTTTCAGGTCCCCATGATCAGAGTACTTCTTCCTCCTGTTGACCCACAGCATCTATTTTTCTCTTCATTGTAAGCTAGTTCAACCATTGTGGAAGTCAGTGTGGCGATTCCTCAGGGATCTAGAACTAGAAATACCATTTGACCTAGCCATCCCATTACTGGGTATATACCCAAAGGATTATAAATCATGCTGCTATAAAGACACATGCACATGTATGTTTATTGCGGCACTATTCTCAATAGCAAAGACTTGGAACCAACCCTAATGTCCAACAATGATAGACTGGATTAAGAAAATGTGGCACATATACACCATGGAATACTATGCAGCCATAAAAAAGGATGAGTTCATGTCCTTTGTAGGGACATGGATGAAGCTGGAAACCATCATTCTCAGCAAACTATCGCAAGGACAAAAAACCAAACACCGCATGTTCTCACTCTTAGGTGGGAATTGAACAATAAGAATACATGGACACAGGAAGGGGAACATCACACACCAGGGACTGTTGTGGGATGGGGGGAGTGGGGAGGGATAGCATTAGGAGATATACCTAATGTTAAATGACGAGTTAATGGGTGCAGCACACCAACATGGCACATGTGTACATATGTAACAACCTGCACGTTGTGCATATATACCCTAAAATTTAAAGTATATTAAAAAAAACTAACTAAATAAATAAGAAGAAAACTAAATGTACAGATTTTTTGACCGTTTAGTAATTTTCCCAATCATTTTAAGTATTCAGTTCCCTACATGAAATAAAATGAACAGTAAATCTGCCAATTTTAAAAAAATCCATATTTTCCGATGGCATCAGTTGGGATGAAATAAAATACTGTATCTTTCAGCAGATTCTGGTTCTAAAAAAATGGCCCATTTCAAAGACAAAGTGAACTAAAGGACATTAGTAATGAGATAATAAGCCGGAGCCAAGTCTGTACCTCCTGAAAGGGAACAAGGTGAAATCTCTTCCTGCAGATCCTGAGCCATGTCATTGCTTGACTTTAGCCTCCTCTCTCCACCTGACCTTTAGAGCCACCTTTGAGAACCAAAGATAAATTCCCTGATTGAGCTGCCAATGAGCAAGGAAATGCTCCAGAAAAAGGATGAGGCCAACAAAACTACAAATTGAATAATCCACACATTTGGGAAGATGAACAGAATTACTTTATTATATTTCTAATTTTATTCCAATTTTTCTATATGAAGAATGCAATCTTTCTTAACCTACTATCAGCTATCTTTGACTTCTCTGTTTCTTGGAGCATTTTAGAATTTGTTCAGAGTCTTAATATATTGGAATAGTTTTGATCCGCATGGTATTTACCTATTTCGGTTTTCAGATTACTCACCTCCATAGTACCTTTCATCTTTATGAGTGTTGCATCTTTAAAAAAATAGATCAAGGTTGAAATATCACAGCTTTTTTTCTTTTGACTTCATTTATCACATCTATCATGCTCTTGCTCAATAAATGTTTAATCATGAAAACATACATAAGGATACAGAGATGTATATGACAAGGGTCAATGAAAAAGTAAATAATAATGCAAGACAAGGACATCCAACTGCCTGAAGCAGTGCAGTCCAGGAGCCCACCAACAGTGTAAAAGTGTTCTTATTTCTCCACATCCTCTCCAGCACCTGTTGTTTCCTGACTTTTTAATGACCGCCATTCTAACTGGTGTGAGATGGTATCTCATTGTGGTTTTGATTTGCATTTCTCTGATGGCCAGTAATGATGAGCATTTTTTCATGTGTCTTTTGGCTGCGTAAATGTCTTCTTTTGAGAAGTGTCTGTTCATATCCTTTGCCCACTTGTTGATGGAGTTTTTTTCTTCTTGTAAATTTGTTTGAGTTCTTTGTAGATTCTGGCTATTAGCCCTTTGTCAGATGAGTAGATTGCAAAAATTTTCTCCCATTCTGTAGGTTGACTGTTCACTCTGATGGTAGTTTATTTTGCTGTGCAGAAGCTCTTTAGTTTAATCAGATCCCATTTGTCAATTTTGGTTTTTGTTGCCATTGCTTTTGGTGTTTTAGACATGAAGTCCTTGCCCATGCCTATGTCCTGAATGGTATTGCCTAGGTTTTCTTCTGGGATTTTTATGGTTTTAGGTCTAACATTTAAGTCTTTAATCCATCTTGAATTAATTTTTGTATAAGGTGTAAGGAAAGGATCCAGTTTCAGCTTTCTACATATGGCTAGCCAGTTTTCCTGGCACCATTTATTAAATAGGGAATTTTTTCCCCATTTCTTGTTTTTGTCAGGTTTGTCAAAGATCAGATAGTTGTAGATACGTGGCATTATTTCTGAGGGCTCTGTTCTGTTCCATTGGTCTATATCTCTGTTTTGGTACCAGTACCATGCCATTTTGGTTACTGTAGCCTTGTAGTATAGTTTGAAGTCAGGTAGCGTGATGCCTCCAGCTTTGTTCTTTTGGCTTAGGATTGACTTGGCAATGTGGGCTCTTTTTTGGTTCCATATGAACTTTAAAATAGTTTTTTCCAATTCTGTGAAGAAAGTCACTGGTAGCTTGATGGGGATGGCATTGAATCTATAAATTACCTTGGGCAGTATGGCCATTTTCACGATATTGATTCTTCCTACCCATGAGCATGGAGTGTTCTTCCATTTGTTTGTATCCTCTTTTATTTCATTGAGCAGTGGTTTGTAGTTCTCCTTGAAGAGGTCCTTCACATCCCTTGTAAGTGGGATTCCTAGGTATTTTATTCTCTTTGAAGCAATTGTGAATGGGAGTTCACTCATGATTTGGCTCTCTGTTTGTCTGTTATTCGTGTATAAGAATGCTTGTGACTTGCACATTGATTTTTTATCCTGAGACTTTGCTGAGGTTGTTTATCACCTTAAGGAGATTTTGGGCTGAGATGATGGGATTTTCTAGATATACAATCATGTCATCTGCAAACAGATACAATTTGACTTCCTCTCTTGCTATTTGAATACGCTTTATTTATTTTTCTTGCCTGATTGCCCTGGCTACAATTTCCAACACTATGTTCAATAGGAGTGGTGAGAGAGGGCATCCCTGTCTTGTGCCAGTTTTCAAAGGGAATGCTTCCAGTTTTTGCCCATTCAGTATGATATTGGCTGTGGGTTTGTCATAGATAGCTCTTATTATTTTGAGATACATCCCATCCATACCTAATTTATTGAGAGTTTTTAGCATGAAGGGTTGTTGAATTTTGTCAAAGGCCTTTTCTGCATCTATTGAGATAATCATGTGGTTTTTGTTGTTGGTTCTGTTTATATGCTGGATTACATTTATTGATTTGCATATGTTGAACCAGCCTTGCATCCCAGGGATGCAGCCCACTTGATCATGGTGGATAAGCTTTTTGATGTGCTGCTGGATTTGGTTTGCCAGTATTTTATTGAGGATTTTTACATTGATTTTCATCAGGGATATTGGTCTAAAATTCTCTTTTTTTTGTTGTGTCTCTGCCAGGCTTTGGTATCAGGATGATGCCAGCCTCATAAAATGAGTTAGGGAGGATTCCCTCTTTTTCTATTGATTGGAATATTTTCAGAAGGAATTGTACCAGCTCCTCCTTGTACCTCTGGTAGAATTCAGCTGTGAATCCCTCTGGTCCTGGACTCTTTTTGGTTGGTAAGCTATTAATTATTGCCTCAATTTCAGAGCCTGTTATTGGTCTATTCAGGAATTCAACTTCTTCCTGGTTTAGTCTTGGGAGGGTGTATGTGTCGAGGAATTTATCCCTTTCTTCTAGATTTTCTAGTTTATTTGTGTAGAGGTGTTTATAGTATTCTCTGATGGTAGTTTGTATTTCTGTGGGGTCGGTGGTGATATGCCCTTTATCATTTTTTATTGCATCTATTTGATTCTTCTCTCTTTTCTTCTTTATTAATCTTGCTAGCGGTCTATCAATTTTGTTGATCTTTTCAAAAAACCAGCTCCTGGATTCATTAATTTTTTTGAAGGGTTTTTTGTGTCTCTATTTCCTTCCGTTCTGCTCTGATCTTAGTTATTTCTTGCCTTCTGCTAGCTTTTGAATTTGTTTGCTTTTGCTTCTCTAGTTCTTTAATTGTGATGTTAGGGTATCAATTTTAGATCTTTCCTGCTCTCTCTTGTGGGTATTTAGTGCTATAAATTTCCCTCTACACACTGCTTTAAATGTGTCCCAGAGATTGTGGTATGTTGTGTCTTTGTTCTTGTTGGTTTCAAAGAACATCTTTATTTCTGCCTTCATTTCGTTATGTACCCAGTAGTCATTCAGGAGCAGTTTGTTCAGTTTCCATGTAGTTGAGTGGTTTTGAGTGAGTTTCTTAATCCTGAGTTCTAGTTTGATTGCACTGTGGTCTGAGAGACAGTTTGTTATAATTTCTGTTCTTTTACATTTGCTGAGGAGTGCTTTACTTCCAACTATGTGGTCAATTTTAGAATAGGTGTGGTGTGGTGCTGAAAAGAATGTATATTCTGTTGATTTGGGGTGGAGAGTTCTGTAGTTGTCTATTAGGTCTGCTTGGTGCAGAGCTCAGTTCAATTCCTGGATATCCTCTTTCTGTCTTGTTCATCTGTCTAATGTTGACAGTGGCGTGTTAAAGTCTCCCATTATTATTGTGTGGGAGTCTAAGTCTCTTTCTAGGTCTCTAAGGACTTGCTTTATGAATCTGGGTGCTCCTGTACTGGGTGCATATGTATTTAGAATAGTTAGCTCTTCTTGTTGAATGGATCCCTTTACCATTATGTAATGGCCTTCTTTGTCTCTTTTGATCTTTGTTGGTTTAAAGTCTGTTTTATCAGAGACTGGGATTGCAACCCCTGCCTTTTTTTGTTTTCCATTTGCTTGGTAGATCTTCCTCCATCCCTTTATTTTGAGCCTGTGTGTGTCTCTGCACGTGAGATGGGTTTCCTGAATACAGCACACTGATGGGTCTTGACTCTTTATCCAGTTTGCCAGTCTGTGTCTTTTAATTGGAGGATTTAGCCTATTTACATTTAAGGTTAATATTGTTATGTGTGGATTTGATCCTGTCATTATGATGTTAGCTGGTTATTTTGCTCATTAGTTGATGCAGTTTCTTCCTAGCCTCCATGGTCTTTTCAATTTGGCATGTTTTTGCAGTGGCTGGTACCGGTTGTTCCTTTCCATGTTTAGTGCTTCCTTCAGGGGCTCCTGCAGGACAGGCCTGGTGGTGACAGAATCTCTTAGCATTTGCTTGTCTGTAAAGGATTTTATTTCTCCTTCACTTATGAAGCTTAGTTTGGCTGGTTATGAAATTCTGGGTTGCAAATTCTTTTCTTTAAGGATGTTGAATATTGGCCCCCACTCTCTTCTGGCTTGTAGAGTTTCTGCCGAGAGATCCGCTGTTAGTCTGATGGGCTTCCCTTTGTGGGTAACCTGACCTTTCTCTCTGGCTGCCCTTAACATTTTTTCCTTCATTTCAACTTTGGTGAATCTGACAATTACGTGTCTTGGAGTTGCTCTTCTCGAGGAGTATCTTTGTGGTGTTTTCTGTATTTCCTGAATTTGAATGTTGGCCTGCCTTGCTAGGTTGGGGAAGTTCTCCTGGATAATATCCTGCAGAGTGTTTTCCAATTTGGTTCCATTCTCCCCATCACTTTCAGGTACACCAATCAGATGTAGATTTGTTCTTTTCACATAGTCCCATATTTCTTGGAGGCTTTGTTCGTTTCTTTTTATTCTTTTTTAGTTTTAAAAATAATTTAGGTGGGGGAGTGAAGAAAGATAGCTAAGCATTTTTGACACACATTTTATGCCAGATACTGTGATTTATGCATTTATTTGTCAAATAGGCAATACATTTGATAGTTCACAATTTGAAAGACACAGAATGGTACACAGAGAGTTTCCCTCCCATCTTTTTTCTTCAGCACACCTTGTTTTCCTCTTTGGAGTTCATCAAAGTGAAATGATCCTTGTGAGTCCTTACAGATATATTTCATTCATATTGAACCTAATTTTTTTTCTTTAAAAAATGCACAAATAGTGATATATTACATACTCTATTTTTTTTTTTTTTTTGAGATGGAATCTTGCTCTGTTGCCCAGGCTGGAGTGCAGTGGTGCGATCTCAGCTTACTGCAACCTCTACCTCCTGTGTTCAAGTGATTCTCCTGCCTCAGCCTCCTGAGTAGCTGGGATTACAGGTGCATGCCACCACACCCAGCTAATTTTTGTATTTTTAGTAGAGACGGGGTTTCACCATGTTGGTCAGGCTGATCTTAAACTCCTGACCTCAGGGATCCACCCACCTTGGCCTCCAAAAGTGCTGGGATTACACGTGTGAACCACCACACCCTGCTTACATACTCTGATTTTATAGGTTGCTTTTTCCTTGAACAATTTATTTCGAAGATCATTCCATATAAGTATGCAAATAATTCTTTTATTTTACAGATTTTTGTTGTATGGATGTGAATTTTTTGAACCAGTTTCCTATTTTTGTTTATTTAAGGTTATTTGTAAGCCTCTGTAATTACAATCTTTTAATGAAAAACCATGCACATGTTATTTCTTACCTGTGTGAGACTGTATGCATGATAAATTTTTTGATGTGGTATTGCTTGTTCAAAATATATATCCTTTTTATGTGATAGATGTTGCCACATATCCCTCCATAGTTACTGTACCAGTTTTCATTCCCACTAGCAGAGAGTTATTAGGACCATAATAAAGTAGTTGAATTAATCTTTCCACAACCCTATGAGCCTAGTATGATTATCCTATTTTGCAGGTGAAGAAACTGAGGTTCCAATGAATAAACATACTTGACAAAGAAGGCCTAGCTAATAACAAGCAGTACCAAGCTTTGAACCCAAGCTTATCTGAACACAAATACATAAATCTACCTTCTTTCTGCCATACCATCCCCTTGTACCTTATTATTTGTATTATAGGCACAAATTTTTCCAGAAATGTTTGTTTTCAAATTCACATGATTGTAACAAAAATGCTTACAGCAGTATACATCGTTAGTGTAGCACTTAACTTTTAAAAATGCTCTCATGTTTGCAAGTATATACTTATAAAAAGACTCGGGAGGGCAGGTTATATATGTGAGCATTCTGACACTGGTAAATAAATTTTTTAAAAACCTGAATATTTAGTTACTTGCATAAGGTCACACAATGAGTGAGTGGTAAAAGAGGATCTAGAATCTTGCCTTTCTACTATTTAGCACCATGTTATACACGAGGTGTGCAGATGGCTGACCCCGCCCCAAGGAAAAAGGAAACAGACAGGAAAACAAGCAAGTGCACCCACCTCTCTCATTAGACAGTGATGATCTCTGGTTCTTTGAACCAGGATAGGCAATCACATGTGAGTTCAAAATGCTCTTTCATCACTCCTTTCTTTTTTTAATTTAGGACTATATAGTTTGATATTTTTCCCAAAAAGAAGTGACAGACTTGTAAAAACGGAGGGGGTGGGAGAAAATGGTTACAGTGTAAGATACAAGAAATAATGAAGTTCTGGAGACCACACAAGACTACAAGCTCAGTAAAGCAGAGATTGGTTGTTCTTTTATAAAATAAATATTTGATATACCAAAAAAAATTTCCAGCATAGTACATTATAAAGCATAACAATAGAACAATCACCTGGGGAAATATCACCCAAACCAGAACTCTGACACTACCCATACCACCGGGGCCACCTGTGTGTTCTTCACCCATCCTATCTCCCTACTTCCTCCAAAGGTGGCACTATTCTGAATTGTGTGGGTTTTAAAATCAATTCTATCACTTGTGTATATAGTTCTAAATAATATATAATTTAGCTTTTGATAGAATTTCACAAATCCTGGGACAAGGCAGAAAGAATGAAAGAAAGAAAGAGAGAGAGAGAGAGAAAGAAAGAAAGAGAAAAGAGAGAAAGAAAGAAAAGAGAGAAAGAAAGAAAAGAGAAGAGAGAGAAAGAAAAGAATGAGAGAAGAAAGAAGGAAAAGAAAGAGAAAGAAAAAAGAAAGGAAAGAAAGAAAGAAAGAAAAAAGAAAGGAAGGAAAGAAAAGAAAGAAAGAAAGAAAGAAAGGAAAGGAAGGGAAAGGAAGGGAGGGGAGGTAAGGGAAGGGAAGGGAGAAGGAAGGAAGGAAGGGGGAGGGAGGGAGGAGGAAGGAGGAAGGAAGGAAGGGAAAGAAAGGAAGGAAGGGAAAGAAAGAAAAAGAAAGAAAGAGAAAGAAGGGAAGGAAAAAGAAAAAAAAGAGAAGAGAGAAAGAAGAGAAGAGAGAAAGAAAAAGAAAAAGAAAGAAGAAAGAAGAAAGAAAGTGAAAGAAAGAGAGAAAGGAAGGAAGGAAAGGAAAGGAAGGAAGGAAGGAAAAGAAAGAAAAGAGAAAAGAAAAGAAAGAAGAGAGAAAGAAAGGCAAATAAGGAAGCTCAGTCCATTCTGTTTCACCAGCCATTGAAACAGGCAAAGATGTGGTACATTACTAAAGCCTCTTTTCCAAATAATGCTCTTTGGTATTTAATTATGAATATTGCTGTCAGTTATTATAAAAGAAATTCTTCTTATTAATAACCATTAGGAGAGTGGAACTGTTTAGACTAATGCAAGACCAGCTCTTTTTCATACTTTTCAGGCATGAAGATGGATGCTATTTACATTTGTGATCTCTGGGAGGATCCCAGAACCTATTAAAAATAAAGGAACTTTAGGCCAGGCATGGTGGCTCACACCTGTAATCCCAGCACTTTGGGAGGCCAAGGCAGATGAATCACAAGGTCAAGAGATCGAGACCATCCTGGCCAACATGGTGAAACCCCATCTCTACTAAAAATACAAAAATTAGCTGGGCGTGGTGGCGCATACCTGTAGTCCCAGCTACTTGGGAGGTTGAGGCAGGAGAATCACTTGAACCTGGGAGGTGGAGGTTGCAGTAAGCCAAGATCGCACCACTGCACTCCAGCCAGATGACAGAGTGAGACTCCATCTCAAAAAATAATAAGATAATAATAATAATAATAAAATAAAGGGACTTTATGCATGTTTTATGTATCTAACAAAAATCCTCTTTTGTGACACATTTTGGGAAAAGTAAATTATTTAGGTTAATTAAGTATTGCAACACCAGTACATTTCCCAAATAAAATAACTGGATGTACTGCAAACATACTGAATATATCAAACACAATAAACTTCTTAAAGAATAAAAGTTTAGGAACTACCAAAATCTCTAATGAATATCAGGTCATTGGCAAGTGTAGTTAATTTTATCCCATTGCTATCATGCACTCTTAAGCCGACAAGCTAATCACAGAGTGCTCTTTCATTCACTTGTATCAAGAACTGAAATGACTGTGTTTATTTCAAGGTCTTGGTTTCAGATGCAAAGTCATCAACCAGTGGCAGTATAATTAAGTCGTCAAGAAGTAAGAAATTTCTTTTGAAAAATGGTGTTAGCATGGCTTGTTCTAGCAAGTTAGAAACAAGACGAGTTCGCTGCTCAAGGCTAAAAACAAAACATTCTAAGAAGGTACTCCAGGCAAGTCAAGCCTTGACATTAAGGCTATTAAGCATTTAGTAGATATTTTTCTTGTGCTGTTTAAATGGAAAGAGGAAAACATATATTTGAAGTATATTCTTAGGTAAAATGTGAAGATAAAATCAAATAATGTAAGTAAAGAACAGCAATGAAAAATAATGACATTTAATATTTGCTGAACACTTACTAGGTATCCGGCATTATTCTAAGTATTCTGTGCATTACATCATTCAATCCTCAAGTAGATGGTGTTACTAGTCTCATTGTACAGATTAATACATAGGAAAAAAAAAGTTAGCCAACTTTCCCAAAGTCCCATATGTAGTAAATGATGGTCAAGATTGGAACCATGTAGTCTGTATTGGTTTTTACAGCTACGACAAATGGCTACAAATTTAGTGGCATAAAAAACATAAATTTTTTATCTCATATTTCTGTGTTCTGCAGGACACAAGTCTGACACAGGTTTCATTGAACTAAAATCAGGATTCATCAGGGCTGCATTCACTTCTGGAGGCTCTAGGAGAAAATCCATTTTCTTGCCTTTTCCAACTTCTAGAGCTGCCCACATTCTTTCATTCATGGCCCCCTTCCTCCATCTGTAGAGCCAACAAAGGAGAATTGAGTTCTTCTCATGCTGCTTTACTCTGACCTTCACTTTACCTCCTTTGCTTACTTTTAAGGGCCCTTGTGATTACTATTAATACATTGCCTACATATATCATCTAGAATAATCTCCCTATTTGAAGGGCAGCTAACTATTAATCTTCATTCCATCTGCAACTTTAATTCCCCTTTGCCATATAAGGTAATGCTTTCACTTTCCAACTTTAGGACATGTTTTAGAGGCCTGGGGGTTACACTTCTGCATAACACACAGTCTTATTCCAAAGCCCATGCTTTTAATTTCATCTACTGGCACTGCAGAAATGTTAATTAACATTTAT
Source organism: Homo sapiens (assembly GCF_000001405.40). Taxonomy (NCBI): domain Eukaryota; kingdom Metazoa; phylum Chordata; class Mammalia; order Primates; family Hominidae; genus Homo; species Homo sapiens. The sequence goes on along the minus strand of NC_000005.10, from coordinate 95,332,893 downwards.
TATTTTGAAAAACCTAGTTTGCAAATTTTTTGTTATGTATGATCCAAAGTGAATATATTTTAAGAAAAAAGCATTTGACATAATGAATTTGGTAATGTTACCTCAATATTATTTTATTCAGAAATGCTGATTTGTTGTAGGCATCCATGCATTAACTATTTTCTGAATGTTGTTTATGAAGTATAGGGATGGAGCCCTCACCACTAGATAGAAAGCCTGGGGCAGCCAGGTTCTTCTGTGGGAGAGGGTCCTGTTTGTCCATCTGAGCAACAGCAATTGTATGCACTGAGTTAGAGATGATCTAACTCTATACCTTCTCCTGGTTGGGCTGAACTGAACCCACCCTTGCCCTGTGGCCCCCCACCGCCTCACGCTTTGGACTTTGCTTATATGGTAGATCCTGCTTACATTGTAGATTTACTCCTGCAGATTTGTCCCCTCCTTGACTCTTTGGTAACTTCTTGGCAATCACCCATCTTCACTTGTTAGTTTTGGCAACTAGACCCTATTTAAATAGGGATCTCCTTCCCCAGTACTCCCTCCTCCATTCCCACATGCATTATTGCCTTGGAACCATGGTGATGAGGTCGTTTTCAGCTGGGTTAGTCTGCTACCTGGCTGAGCACTGAATGTGGACATGACATATGTAGACTATTCCCAGGAAGTATGAGTTTCACAAGGAAAGAATTAGGGCAATAACTTGAAGCTAAAGGGAAAGGAATTGGAATGAACCTGTTTATTGGCTGAAGAAAGGAGCCAGGGAAGAATGACAATGACTGAGGATACAGAAAGATCAAAATCTCAAAAGAAGCAAAAAGGGATTAGATTAAGAAGGGTAATTCTAAGAAAGACCAGAGGGTCAATGTAGCTATCTATATCACAGGGGAAGTTGAGGTTGAAGCCAATGGAAAGAAATGCTGGAGGGACTAGTTTCTCTGAAGTAGGATAAAAGATCACCTGCAAAAAGAGATAAGTAAAGAAATGGGAGAAGTTGAATAGTGCCAAGTAGGAAGTACTTTTGTTTCAGTTCTCTAGTGCTTCAGGACAAATCACCCAAAATTTTGTGGCTTAAAACCCAGCCACTTATTATTCATGATTCTGCAATCTGGGCTAGATTCACCTAAGCAGTTCTTCTACAAATGGTGTCCAAAGTGGTTCCTGCACTTATGTGTCTGGTGCCTCAACGAGGATGCCTGGAACAACTTGGACTCCCTCAGAGCCTAATGGTCTCAGGATAGTTAGACTTCTTACATGATGGCTGGATTCCAACAGGGAGGAAGCAGAAGCTGCCTCGGGCCTAGTACTGGCATGGTGCCACTTCCAAATCATTCCTTTGGTCACAGCAAGTGATGAGGCCAACCCAGAGTCAAGAGGAAGGAAAATAGGTTCCACTTGTTGAAGGAAAGAGCAGCATGCACATACAGGGAGGGAAGGATTGATAGCAGCCATCTTTGAAGTAGATCTACCACAATCTGAAGACTCCTCTGAGCCTGGAAACCGTCTAGTTTCCTATTGCTGCTGTAATGAATTACCACATTCTTGGTGCTCACAACAACACAAATGTATTATCTTACCGTTCTGAAGGATGGAAGTCTGAAATGACTTTTACAGGACTAAAATCAAGGTGTTGGCAGTGCTCTGTTCTTTCTGGAGATCCAGGGAGATAATTTGTTCCTTGCCTTTTCCAGCTTCTAGAGGACGCCTGTTTTACTTGACTCATGGCCCCTTCCTTCATCCTCAAACTACATCACACCAACCTCTGCTTCTGTTGTGACTTTTTTTTTTTTTCTGATCTTGACCCTTTTGATTACATTGGACCCACTTGAATATGAGGATAATCTCCTCATTTAAGAGTGTTAACCTAATCACATCTACAAAGTCCCTTTTTCCATGTAAGGTCACATATTCACAGATTCTGGGAATTAGGGTGTGGGTACATTTTGGGGGGCATTCTGTTTATGCAAACTTTAATTTGTGACACTGTCAATATGTAAAGTTCTGAGAGTATCTCCAATGGAACTCAACTTCCCAGTAGTAAGGGTACAGAAAATAAATTATTGAATTCATCCAAGTTTAGGGGTCAGTAGAGTAGGATTAAGGTATAAGGCAAAGAGGTAAGTGAATTAAGGAAGCTGATAGAGGTCATCGAGTTGATTGTTCCTAGGGCCAGGTAAGAAGAAAAGAAAACTCAAGAGGTCCTGATAGCCTAGGAGAGGATCTTGGTGAAGTCCAATAAGATTTTTTTGGACAAAGACAAAGGAGATGTAGAAGGATAAAAGAGTGGTTGTGACTCTTTCCCTTCATTTTGTACCTACCCATTTTCCTTTCTCCTTTCATTCCCTCCTTGTTTCCCACCCCCCTCCCTTCCTCCCTCTCTTTATTCTTTCTTTCCTTCTTTTCTTTCTTTTTTTCTTCCTTCAAAACAAATCGGGATATCTTAATCTTCTTTTAAGAAAATTCAACATCACTAAAAACAAAACTGTATTAGTCCATTTTCACACTGTTATAAAGATACTACCTGAGACTGGGTGATTTATGAAGGAAAGAGGTTTATTTGACTCACAGTTCAGCATGGCTGGGGAGGCCTCAGGAAACTTACAATCATGGTGGAAGATGAAGGAGAAGCAAGTACCCTCTTCGCAAGGCAGCAGGAAAAAGAGCAAAGGGGGAATTGCCAAGCACTTTTTAAACCATCAGCTCTCATGAGAACTCACTCACTCTCATGAGAACGGCATGGGGAAACTGTCCCCATGAACAAATCACTTTCCACCAGGTCCCTTCCTTGACACCTGGGGATTACAATCTGAGATGAGATTGGGTAGGGACACAGAGCCAAACCATATCAAATACTTTTAGACAGAACATTGTTTTTTCTTTTTAAAATGTAAGCTAATGCGTATCTTTGGATAGGCAGCTCCAGTCGTGTCAGCAATCTGATCTGTAACATTGATACCACCAGACAAATGTTTCAATAGGAAACCTAATGAAAGGGATCAATGGGTCTAAAAATAATGGCACTACTGATTTGACAATCAAAAAAATGCCAAAATTTATTAGTATTGAGCAAACAGAACAGTTTATGACTAGATAAATGTATTTTTAGCAATATTCCATTTTGACAATATTTTGGTTCCTTTTAATTTTCTAGAACTCTAGGTTGCAAGGATTTAAGATGGGATCATCATCATCCCAGAACAGTGTTTTAATCTACTGCTTTGATGGAGGCAGAGCTTCTACATTTATGATTTCAGAGGAGAAGTAGTTCTGGGGGATGATCTGGGTAAGATGTGACCATGAGATGGGATAGCTGATGTAGATTGGAGGGGGGAGGTCATTGGAATGAAGGGGACCAAAGAAGGAGCCAGTCATGCAGGAATCAGGAGGAGGCAGAAGCTCAGACAGCAGCAGGCAGTGAGTGCAGGAGCCAAACCCTTACTGACTGTCGAGGTTGTTTGAAGGAAACAATGAGGGGAGACAGGGAATGGAACAGTGCCTCAAACAGTAGTTTGGACAGATTAACAAATGATTAATAAAAAAAAGTTTTCTAAAAAAAAAAAAAAGGTTCTGTAGTCCAGTCCATTTGAAAACACTGAGGAAACTCATTTAAGTTGGCCTCTGCCACATGGTCTCTCTGAGCCTTTGATACAGTCATATGTATTCTGTACCCCAAGTTAGGGGAGTGGGGAGCTCACTCACAGTCTTCAGAATTTATCAAAATGATTTGACCAAAGAACAGCTGCAGAATGTCTTGAGGAATTTGTGCTTCCTGGGAAAATGCTACTGTAGAAATTCTGGGTGAATCCAGAGAGAAACACCATCTCTCTTCTGTGCTGGCCCACACACTGTGCTGTGCCCATCTGCTGTGTATCTTCCCCATAACTTTTGGAAGATTCTTCTTCAACTTTCCTTTTTTTTTGTTTTCTTTGAGGCTGGATATCGCTCAATTGTTCAGGCTGGAGTGCAGTGGCTTGATTGCGGCTCACTGTAGCCTCGACCTCCTGGGCTCAAGCAATCCTCCCACCTCAGCTTCCACTCCAGCCATGCGCCACCACTGCCCAGCTAATTTTTGTTTTTTGGTTTTTTTTTGGTAGAGATGAGATTTTACCATGTTGCCCAGGGTAGTCTTGAACTCCTGGGCTCAAGTGGTCTGCCTGCCTTGGCCTCCCAAAGTACTGGGATTATAGGTGGGCTCAGCCACCAACTGAGCCCAACTCCTTCAACTTCTTAACTCTATTTCCTCTTTGATATGGCTTTTGCATTCATTAGTCTCCCCCTTTGGAGAGTTGCTAAATTGCTGCAGTGAAAGGGCTTTGATTGCCATCACACCATCTTTTCTTCTTTATTGGTATCTTAGATGGCTCAGGCTGCTACAACAAAATACCATTAACTAGGTAGCTTATAAACAACAGAAATGTATTTCTTATGGCTCTGGAGGCAGGGAAATCCCCAAGGCACCAGCAGGTTCAGTGCCTGGTGAGGGCCTGCGTCCTCGTTCATAGATGGTGCTTTCTTGCTGTGTCCTCACATGGTGGAAGGGGTGAGTGGCCTCTATTGCAAAGGCACTAACTCCATTCACGTGACCCTCTTTTATAAAGGCACTAATTCCATTCACAAGAGCTCCACCCTCATTACCTAATCACCTCCCAAAGGCTTCACCCCTGAATACTATCTCATGGGTGATTAGGTTTCAACATATGAAGTCTGGGGAGACACAAACTTTCAGACCATAGCAGTTGGTAACCACTGCAAACCATTGCACAGGTTAAAGCAGGCTGTTTTTAAACTCATGGGTAGTTTCTGTGGAAGACTATGTAGGATGAGAGATTGTGTACTCTACCCAGGACAGATTTCACTGTGTTCTAAGAGGACTAATGAGTATTAGACAGGGGAACATAAGCTATTTTGCTGGACATGATGTTAACTCTTTTCAGAAAGTTTTCTTAAAGTAAGTGTTTTTATTCCTCTTAGGAGGAAATCCAGTGAAACTAGAACATTTTGACAGATGTCTTATGAATCATAAAAGATCAGTTTGCTGCCAGTTTCCGATAAATCTTGACCAAAATGGCCCTTACTTTCCCCTCAGCTTGAATAGACTTTAGACAGGCTTCTTTTTGACTCTGGGCCCCACACCTCCCTTCTTTTAGAGCATTTACTTTAGAAAACTTATCATTGCAAATCTTTCCTCAGCCCCTTTGAGATGTGAATTTTTAAAAAAGCCTCTTGCCAGTTTTATAACTCAGGAATGTCTTTTCAAGCACCAAGGAGCAAGCCATCCCCTTGAAATGTAATCATCAGTCAAGGAAGACAGCGCCCCATCTCTCAGTGTCTGTGAGAGGATTGGAGTCTAACTTTGGTGGGCTTCTTTTTTCAAGTTGTAAAATTACCTCCTTGCAGGAAGATATGAAAAAGTTTACTTTTCCTTTGGGGAAGGCAATTAGCATACATGAGTCATCTGTAATCTGCTCACCCCGGCTCTTAGTAACTCTTTAGCCCTTTGTCTCTATGAAAGGGGTACAGTCTTGCCCTGTACTTCCTCCCTGATAGCTGGCAATAGCATCAGAATAAAATCAACTTCTGTCTGCTCTTTTCTAATGGGAATTTTTTCTTTAGCAATCTGCAGAGAGCCCAGGCACGGTGGCTCACGCCTGTACTCCCAGCACTTTGGGGCGCTGAGGCGGGTAGATCACGAGGTCAGGAGTTCGAGACCAACCTGGCCAACATAGTGAAACCCCATGTCTACTAAAAATACAAAAATTATCCAGGTGTGGTGGCGCATGCCTATAGTCCCACCTATTCAGGAGGCTGAAGCAGGAGAATTGCTTGAACCCAGGAACTGGAGGTTGCAGTGAGCCAAGATTACGCCACTGCACTCCAGCTTGGGTGACAGAGTGAGACTTCATCTAAAAAAAAAAAAAAAAAAAAAAAAAACGAAAAACAATCTGCAGAGAAAGCTGATTCAACAACTATAAGGGATGAGGGTATAAAGAGAGAAAATGCAGAAGCTCTTTAGTTTAATTAGGTTGCATTTGCTTTTGGGGTCTTCATCATAAATTCTTTGCCTAACCCAATGTTCAGAAGAGTTTACCCTAGGTTTTCTTCTAGGACAAGCTTGTTCAACCCATGGCCCATGGGCTGCATGAGGCCCAGGACAGCTTTGAATGCAGCCCAACACAAATTCATAAACTTTCCTAAAACAGTATGAGACTTTTTTTGCAATTTTTAAAAACTCATCAGCTATCATTAGTGTTAGTATATTTTATGTGTGGCCCAAGACAATTCTTCTTCTTCCAATGTGGCCCAGGGAAGCCAAAAAGATTGGACACCCCTATTCTAGGATTTTTATAGTTTCAGGTTTTACATTTATGTATCTGATGCATCTTGAGTTAATTTTTGTATATGGTGAGAGATAGGGGTCCAGTTTTATTCCTCTGCATATGGCTAGCCAATTTTCCCAGCACCATTTATCGAATAGGATGTCCTTCCTCATTGTTTATTTTTGTCGACTTTGCCTAAGATCAGTAAGTTAGTTCAATCTCTATGGAAGACAGCATGGAGATTTCTCAAAGAGCTAAAAATAAAACTACTATTGAACCCAGCAATCCCTTTGCTGGATATCTGCCCAAAAGAAAACAAATCATTATATAAAAAAGAAACCTGTACACATATATTCATCGCAGCACTATTCATACCAGCAGTCATAGAAACAACTTAAGTGTCCATCAGTTGTTGACTGGATAAAGAAAATATGGTACATATATACCACGGAATACTATGCAGCCATAAGAAAGAATGAGATTATGTCCTTTGCAGTAACATAGATGGAGCTGGAGGTCATTATCCTAAGTGAAATAACTCAGAAACAGAAAATCAAATACTGCATCTTCTCACTTATAAGTGGGAGCTAAACAATGGGGACACATGGACATAAAGAAGGAGATAAAAGGCACTGGGGACTCCAAAAGGGGGTAGGGTGGAAGGGAGGTGAGGGTTGAAAAATTACCTAATGGGTACAATGTTTATTATTTGGCTCATGGGGGCCCCAGAAACCCAATCCCCAGCAGTATGCAATACGCCCATGTAACAAACATGCATGTGTATCCCCTGAATCCAAAATAAATAAAATATTTTAAAAATGGGAAAAAACATGTTCAAAAAAATAAATAAAGAGACCAAGTGGTTGGATTAGTTGTAAGTAGCAACTGGGCAAGGAAAGAGCTGCGATTTCTAGTTCAAGTTGCAGACAACTGCACGTCAATTTACTGCACCCATTAAAAGGGGAGGTGGAATATTGTGCAAATTGATGAGCATAGGCTTTGCTAGGGAAGGAGTAGCTATTTTGGGGAGATTTTTGAGAAGGGTGGATTTATTTAAAAGCATGGTAACGCAGTTAGGACCCTGGTTGCCAGTGAGAGAAACCTGACTCCAAATGTCTTAGCCATAAAAGGAAATTTACTGGTCTATGTAATTGGAAAGTCTAGGGATGATGTGTATCAGGGAATCAAATGATATGTTCAATAATATTTATCAAGTGCCTCCTATGTCTTAAACATTGTTATAGACACTGGTGATACAAATTTTTGCCAACCGAACATGTAGCATTCTGTGCCCTCACGGAGCTTAGAGTCTAGTGTCAATGTCATCAGGACCTCATCTCTCTCCATATCATTACGGCTTCATCCCTCTCCATTTGTTGAGTCAGTTCTGCTTCGTTTTCCTGTGTACTGTGGCTTTCACATCAGAACCCATGTGCTGGCAAGATGGCTACAAGAGTCTCAATCTCACATTACCATAGGTTCAAGTCTGGGTGAAAAGAGAGCAAGAAGCTTTGCCAGTAGCCCCTGAAAAGTTTCTGAGAGTTGCTGTGATTGAACTAGCTTGGGTCATGAGTTGGTCCCTGAACCAATCACTGACCAAAGGGTGAGACTGTATTTTGATGGGTTAGGCCTGGGTCACCAGTTTACCTCCAGTTCTAGGATAGAACCCTACCTTAACCATTTGGACTGAGAGTGGGTAGAGGGTATGGGTCCCCCACATGAAAGTCTTGGCAGTGGTACTATCACCAGAGGGGATATGAATGTGTGAGAAGTAAAATGCAAATAACCCCTGTAGGGGCAAAGTTGTTAAAAACACAGAATCTGGAATCAGACTGCCTGAGTTTGAATCCATCATACACTAGTTACATATTCTAGGGTAAGTTACTTAACTTGTTTGTGTGGCAGTTAACTGATCTGTAAAATAATGCCAACCTCATTGGGTTTTTATGAGGACTAAATGAGTTAGAACAAGAGCAGTCAGTTCACAATCTAAAAAGAAGGCAAGTAAAGATCTTCTCTCAAGAATTCTATTTAATAAATGGAGGAGAATAATAGTTTATCCTGCCTTAGTCATGTGCTTATCCCTGTGGCTTGACTAGGGGAAGGGTTGTGTGTAATATTCTAGTTTGGCAGCCCTGATACATTTAGCTAGTGGGGAGAAGGGAGGATTAGTGCCACCTCAACACTGAAATGGGCTTGAGTTATCAGCAGAAGGAAGGAAGGGACTCTGGACAGGTAAAAACAATAGATGCCTACTCTATTAAGTTATACTAATCTGTTAGCAACTATGCCATGAACTTTAAAAAACTCACTGAGTGAACTTGAGGACTGCTTGGGGATGTACTGCAAATAGACTCAGACACCACACCTAGGTTCTATCTAGACCTGTCCCTCCACTAAACCTCTCTTGGTCATGGTTTCCTTATGAATGAAGTAATAAAGTCAGGCAAGGTGATATTTAAGGTAGCTTACTGATCTAATATTCATTGAATATCCATATGCATTGTTTTAATTTTTAATTAAAATTTAAAAAATATTTTAGAAATCTAAGTCATGTGTGGATATAGTATAAGCAGTTAAAGAGTCCTACATTAATTGTTAGAAAAAATAGCCTCCTCCTTTCCTCTTCCCATCATTTCTATTCACTAGTGGTAACCAATTTTAACACTTTTACCTGATTATTGTGGTATTTACCTCTATATTTCTAATTAAGCATGCTAATTTTGCTGATTTATGATATTATAGGTCTATGTGCTATCCACTGATTTCCCGCTATGGAAGATGAAGATTTACTCCTCTTTTAGCAATCCCCTCTTCTAAATCCCAAATTATATACACTCAACCCACACATTATTTTTTCTGTTTTCCTATCTTCCCAAGAGTTTATAATACTTTCAGTTAAATCAATATTCAGTGTTTATATTACTATGACTAAGTAAATTACATAGTATATTTTGTTTACTTGTCCTTTCTCAAATAACTTTTTATCTTCTCTAGAATTAATTGTATTTTTTGTGTTGTCTACTTGCTTTGTTTTCTATGTCCTTTATACTTATTCAAACCCAAACACTCCCCTAATTTTTAAAATATCATCTTTTTTTTTTTAATTTTTTTGAGACAGGGTCTTGCTCTGTCACCCAGGCTAGAGTACAGTGGCCCAAGTGATCCTCCCACCTCAGCCTCCTGATAGCTGAGACTACAGGTGTGCAGCACCATGCCTGGCTAATTTTGTACTTTTTGTAGAGATGGGGTCTCCCTGTATTGCCCAGGCTTGTCTTGAACTCCTGGGCTCAAGCGAGACTGCCTCGGCCTCCCAAAGTGTGGTTGTAATAGGTTGTTACAGGCCATTGTGCCCGGCCTGAAATATCCTCTTCACGGCCAGATTCATTAGACGTTTTCTCCTCACCAGTCTGAGCAGCTTGCTTTCTCAGCCTGGTTCAGGGCTAACATTCTGTACTTGTTTGCCTCCCTCTTGAGTTGAATTATCTTTTTCCTTTACTTTAAATCTTCCATTCTCTTGAGACACTCCCTTATTTTGATGGAACACAACCTTAGTAACTTTCTGAGAAAGGGTGTATGAGAGGAAACTTTTTTAGATATTGCAGACCTGAAAGTTTTACTTTGTTTTTTTTGTGTGTGATCTGTTTTTTCTTTCTAGAACAAGAGTGCACAAACTTCTGTAAAGGGTGAGATGTGTGTTTCAAGCTTTGGGGGCCATAGACTTTCTCACCACTACTCAACTCAACTTGGCTGTTGTAGTGTGAAAAAAAGCCATCAGCAAGGTACAAACAAATGAGCTTGGCTGTTCTGATACAATGTTATTTACAAAAACAGGTGGTGGGGGTGTGGCCCACTAGCCATGGTTTACTGCCTCCTGCCCTAGAAGCTTACAGGATTTTCATTTGTGTCCATTGTCTGAGATGTCACTGAATATGTCATAAGATGGGCCTGTTGGGCTGGGCTTTAGTCACCCCATCAGCCTAGTAAGTCATGCCCTTTAGTCCTGCAGAAATTTTTTTTGAATTATTTCTTTGATAATTAATTTTTCTAACTTTCTCTCTCTGTAACTTTTATTATTCAGACGTTGGATTTTCAGGACTATTTTTTTTCTAATGTTCTTAGGTTTTTTTCTTCTATTTTCTATGTCTGTTTCTATTTCTACTTTCTGAGAGTTTCCTCAACTTTATCTTCTGCTTCCTCTACTGTACCTTCCATTTCTAAGGACTCTTTTTGTTCTCTAAATAGTCTCTTTGTGTGTGTTTTAAATATCACCTTCTTGTTTAACGGATGCAACATTCTCTTCTATCTCTCAGGGAATCTAAATAATAGTTTAGTAATGATAGTTTAACAATAGTTCTTTAAAAACCTTTCTTTTTTAAAAATTTATTTTATTTTTTATTTATTAGTATTATTATTTTATCTTGAGACAGAGTCTCACTCTGTCATCCAGGCTGCAGTGCAATGGCGCAATCTTGGCTCACTGCAACCTCCGCCTCTCGGGTTCAAGAGATTCTCCTCCCTCAGCCTTCCGTAGCTGGAATTACAGGCTTACGCCACCACAACCAGCTAATTTTTGTATTTTTAGTAGAGACAGGGTTTTGTCATGTTGGCCAGGCTGGTCTCGAACTCCTGACCTCAAGTGATCCACCTGCCTCGGCCTCCCTAATTGCTAGGATGACAGGCGTGAGCCACCGCACCCAGCCAAAAAAAAACCTTTCTTTACCTTTATGCCTTGGTTTCCTTCAAGCTGCTTTTTTCTCTTTGTTCACTCTGGTTTCTACCTTTCATGTCAGAGGCTTCCCTCAGCTGTCTGTGTCCTTGGCTGTCTGCTCATATCTAGCACTGGAACACAAAAATCTAATGGGAATCCCTGGCAATGCCACACTATATGGTTCTGTTGCTGGGCTATTTAACTGGGAAAAATCCCAGCGTCAGTAGTTCTTTTGGGCTGCTCAGAGTCCACGGAGAATTCTCTATGCTCCTGGCTGCCACTGTTCTGTGAGCCAAGTGGAAGAAGCAGGCTGGGGAGCTCCTGATGTCACTTCATTCATTCCCTGTTTGTTCAAGCTAGCCCTACTTTTACCTGTGCCTCTATCTCCCAATCAAGAGACCTAGTTTTACCCTCTCTAGACACTTCACTTCCAGCCTTCTGCTGTTATCAAGGAGAAGAGAAACTGCACTGTGCAGAATGGGGAAGGAGAGGCTCAGGAGCCCCAACTTCCTAAACAGACTTTCAGGCAGTCTTTCTGTCATTAGGGCCCCCTTTGCCTATTTCAGAGGTGCCTGGTGCACTTAATTCCTGAGACTTTGGGAGTCTCTGTGCTGTATAGGTGTCTGCTGTTTGGCTTTCCCCACTGTCGGTTCAGGATTCGGCTTGATCCTGTTAGGTCTGTTACCAATGACTCAGGTGCTTTCCAGCTTCCAAAAGTTTGTGGCTCTTGTCACTTCCCTTGTTTTTCCTTTGTTTTTGTAGGTTTATGCCAAAACACCCCCTTTTCTGTCATTTTAATGGGGTCTCAGGAGGGAATGAAATAAAATGCATTTGATAAATTTATTACTGTAATCAGGATGACCACTAATTTATTTTAGTAAAATAAAATGTATGTATTTAACTGATAAAAATCAATAGCTGCTTATTGTAGATAATATAGAAGGGTACAAAGAAAAAGAAAATGATCCCTCTTAGTCCCAGAAATGCCATAGTTATCTGATCACTCACATGCAAGCCTTAGGTTATTTTCAGTTTTCTCATATTACTGACAACACACATTGAACAGATTTATAGGGAAATCTTTGCAACATTCACAAATATTTCTTTAGAACCAATTTCTAGAAAAGAACCGCAGTGTAAAAGAGACTGCATAATTGTATTGCCTTTATTCCCTTTGGGAGAGAAAGATTGTACCACACATTAACTTCTAACGGTGGAATTTTCAAACCAACAGTGGAGGGGGTTGCATCAAACAACATGTAAGATCAGTTTTTATTTTTGAACAGCTTTTATAAAACTTTTAATGTGGCTGGTATATTTAAAAATTATACTGAATAGTAAAGAGGAAATTTCAAATGATTATAATTAACTGCAAGAAAGGAAAATATATATTTTAGTAGAAGCAGTTAAAATAGGAACATAAATGAATATTTCAGTTTTGGTATTTCAACTCTTTACTAATTTTTCATATAGTATGGGTTAGGAACATTTAATTAATATGTTAGCTTTTTTTTTTTTTTTTTTTTTTGAGATGGATTCTCACTCTGTCACCCAGGCTGGAGTGCAGTGGTGCGATCTCGGCTCACCACAACCTCCACCTCCCGGGTTCAAGCCATTCTCCTGCTTCAGCCACCCGAGTATCTGGAATTACAGGTGCGTGCCACCACGCCCAGCTAATTTTTGTATTTTGAGTAGAGAAGGGGTTTCACCATGTGGGTCATGCTGGTCTTGAACTCCTGACCTCGTGATTCACCCGCCTTAGCTTCCCAAAGTGCTGAGATTACAGGCGTGAGCCACCGTGCCCGGCCAGCTTTTGTGTTTTAATTCTTTACTATTTAGTATTCATATAGCAAACTTTATCCTACTTTAGAAAGTTATCTTTTGTTTATTTGAGGAGCAAAACTTCTCAACCTAGAGTAAGTACAGGATGGGTGGGATTTGTGCCCCTTGGTGGAATGTGAGTGTCATTTCTGAGAGAGCAGGGGCCGCGATGCTGCTTTCTTCATCAACCCCTCGTTGTCATCATCACTATTTTCAGCATTGCCCCTTACCATTTACTTTCACAGTCACCATCACTTTTTAATCTTCAGCACAACCTCATGATGGATTATTTTATAATTTCCATTTTATGAATGGGGACCAAGAGAGACAGAGGTTAAATGTTTCATTATCCACCTAGAAAGAAACAGAGGAAAGATTTTAATCTGAACCTTCCAGCTTCAAAACTCATTGCTATTTCTGTTATACAGTGTGTGTTCTACCTTGCCTAGCAGCAGGGCTTCAGATAATTATTTTAAATGAATGCATTTGAAAGGTCCTGTTGTCAGAACTGGTGTTGAAAAAGCAATAACCACCAGAAGACAAATGAAAGAGGGCCAAACCATAAACTGTACAATGTTTTTCCTGGCATCTCTGTTCCAAATGATTGTTTGTATTGGCTCCAGGAATAATATCATATTTCCTAATAAATGGCTAAAGCTGAAATTATTGCAAATTTTATGCAGAACACTATTCCTAATGGTGGGAGGAATGCATATTTTTCTCTTTCAGTTACATTTGTCCTTTTAAATTGTCTGGAAAGAAAATCCATTTTTATAGAGACTAACTGCTGTATAGGAGTTGATATGCCAAGTAATTTTTCTAATTGGTAACCAGATCCTAAAAGGTGAAAATATGCCAAGGATGCAATTCTCTTTGGGTTTGCACAGATTACAAAGAGTTTTTCATTCTTTACCACTGATTAATAGATTAATAGATTGGTGGCAAAGGATGAATATCTGAATTGCCACTGTTCACGGTAGGATTGGGCTCCACAATCAGTGTCATGAAGCTTCTCAAGGAACATAGATATTAATTGCCCATGTATTACCAGATAGCTGTTGCGCCATTATCAAATTAGTTAACATAGTGAACCGTTACTGCTTCAACAGGAATGCCACACTGTCTTCAGTTTGGTAGAAATGTATGCAATTTGAAATATTTCAGACTGTGAGAAGTTCCACACTGAAGACATGGTTAAGCAGGAGGACCTCTAGGGCTCCTTCCAACTCCAGAATTCTTTGAGTCTCAGTGGAAATCTTCCTTGAGCTGAGAGCCTCACACAGAAAGAAAGTATTTTGTGCTGAAAAACAAACAGACTTGATATAGGACAGACCTGAAATTGAATCCTGTCTATTCATTTACTGATTGTAGCCACACTCAAGTGCCTTCCTTTCTCTGAGCATCAGTTTTCTGTCTTTAAAATGGGTATAATATCCATCTCATTGTTTTGTTGGCAGAATAATTCAGATTATGCATGTAAAGTACATAGCAGAGGGTCTGGCACTTGGTTGGTGCAGAGTACATGTACCTCAAAACATGTAGACCACCCCAATTTTAGATGAGTGCTTGGGTCATGGTCAGGGGAAGGTCTGTAAGACTAGGAGTGATCTTGGAACATCCAAAAAGGACACAGGAGAGAAAAGAGAGAGAAAGAACAAGGGAGAAGGAGAAAGAGAGAAGAAGAGAGAAAAAGATGAGAGGAGAGGTGAGGGAAGAGAATAGGGAGGGGACGGGAGGAAAAAGAAACCTTTGTCTAGAGAGCCTTGGGTGGCTTTGATGAGAGGATACTTGGGAACAAGGAGTAGGCTGATGGGACTTGATTCAAGTTGACCTCCTAGTTTTTGCTTTAAAGTTGGCTCTTAGGAGATTTTTCATTACCATTAACTCATTTGTCAGCTGAAATAATTTTCAGATGATCTGTAACCAACCTTTGTTTCACTGGGAAGTAAAAATCCTTGTAAAACTGTGACTGCAGTTTATTCTCAGAGCAAATATATGATGGCAGGCAATGGATTACAGAAGCGTGTGGCACATAGCTGGGCTCCTGTCCAGGTCTGTTCTCCTCCCTGAGAGAAAGAAGCAAACAACATAAGCGAGATGGAACACCATCCCTTACTGTTGGGGTGGGGGGAGGATATTTTCAGCTCTGGAATGTGAGGATTTGCCTAATATTTCTAACTATGTATTTGCCAGAAAATGTGGCATCTAGGGAGATCAGGAAATGCAGTGACTGTGCCAGAATGTGGTGCCCTCCGCTTCAGTCTGGCATGTCAGCAACTGGCTGTGGCTGTTGGCTAATACTACTCAGTGGTGCTCGTGTTAATTCCCTTTCCAGTAGAAATTTCTTGTGGTTAATATCAGCAGCTACCATGTAGCAAGCATCATGCGGGCTTTTACATTTACTCTTTAAAACAACCATGTGAGGTAGGTGAGGAAACCAAGGCTCAGATAAATCCATTGGCTTGTATACACATGGCTATTGTCATCGGAAAGATTAAATATTACTCAAAAGGATGACCACAGTCACTGCATTAACATTCCAAGACAGCAATATAAATCAATTTCATGAGAGGAAATCCTATTTTTGGTTGTGTAAAGGAACCAACTACCAGTGAAGGATGGAGTCTGAGAAACTAAATTGCTGTGCATAATAAAGTAAAAGAAACATTTAGGTTGTCCGCTGGCGACTTGAGTAGAGGACAGGATTTCTGGAAGACTGAGGAAGGAATAGAATGGAGAGTCTTTTACAGGCAGAGTAGGCTGGCCACCTGGTGGCAAGTCAGAGCCTGAGGAAGAAAAAGACCCTCCTTTGATTGCAAATTATCTGTGTATTTCTAGGGACAGTGGAAGCTGTGTTCAATTCAAAGCTGGTTTCTGCACTGTGTGGGATTACTCTTAGTTGTAGTCAAAACTTAGTCAAACCTTGTTACATTTGAGAGTCTTGTGTTGTTAGCACTTTGGTTGTGGCCCATGTTTGGGGTAAAGGGAAGAAGAGAAAGAACAGCAGTTACTTCAGAGAAGATATGAGTAGTGATTGAGCGTCAGTCTGGGAGCAAGAATTTAGAGGAAGGAGAAATGGAAAAATGTATGTCCCTTCTCCTAGAATCCTCAGAAATATTGAGGAGGAGCTGGACTTCTCTCAGCACGTGAGTCATTTCATTTAGATTATGAAAGAAAGGATAAACCCAGAAAGTGAGTGATATGGTTTGGCTGTGTTCTCACCCAAATCTGATATTGAATTGTAGTTCCCATAATCCCCATGTGTCATGGGAGGTGCCAGATAGAGATAATTGAATCATGGTGGTGAGTCCCCCCATCCTGTTCTGGTGAGTGAGTTCTCAGGAGATCTGATGGTTTTATAAGGGGCTTTTCCCACTTTTGCCCCGTACTTCTCCTTGCTGCTGCCATGTGAAGAAGGGCATGTTTGCTTCCCCTTTAGCCACGATTGTAAGTTTCCTGAGGCCTCCCCAGTCCTGTGGAATCATGAGTTAATTAAACCTCTTTCCTTTAAAAATTACCTAGTCTCTGGCCAGGCGTGGTGGCTCACACCTAAAATCCTAGCACTTTGGGAGGCCAAAGCAGGCAGGTTGCCTGAGCTCAGGAGTTCGAGACCAGCCTGGGCAACATGATGAAACCCTGTCTCTACTAAAAATACAAAAAATTAGCTGGGTGTGGTGGTGCGCATCTGTAGACCCAGCTACCTGGAAGGCTGGGGCATGAGAATTGCTTGAACCCGGGAGGCAGAGGTTGCAGTGAGCTGAGCTCGCACCACTGCACTCCAGCTTGGGTGACAGAGCAAGACTCTGTCTCAATAAATAAATAAATAAAATAATAAAAATAAAAATAAAAGAAAAACCAGTCTCAGGCATGTCTTATAGCAGCATGAGAACGGACTAATACAGTGAGAGTCTTGGGGCTTTTTGATATTATTGAGTGACAGCAAAGATTTGGGGCCCAGATGTGCCTGACTACAAAGCCCAGCTCCTTTTTGGTTGCTCACTGCTCTGCACTGTGCTGACAGCATAGCACTAGTTCAACTGCACTAGTCTCAGATGCTCTGTGTTGATATCCCAGGCAGAGTGTACCCAACAGTGGGGCCTATCTTTTCCCTCTCAGCGTATAAGCATTATTGACCTTTTATCACCACTCCAGTGTCAGTTTTTATTAGAACAACTTCCTGTTGTCAAAGGAATTTTCAGTGGAGTATCAAGAAAAACTGAAGAAATAGTCATAACTTAATAGCCACAAACTTTTCAGATGATCTGAAAGTAGGTTTATTAGCTGAAATTACATTTCTTTTCTGTGAGAAAGGCCCACTTTGCCACTGAGTTTGTTCCATCATATTTTTAGTAAAATCCCTACATCTCAGTCAAATATGAACTGACACTGTGCTGTATAAAGGGGATGGTCCAAGAAGATGGCAATGACTTGACTGATGTGAGTATTGTGTGAATAACTAATAATTTCCCTAAGAGTAGGGTTGATAACAAATATGGGTTGGATACTATGAATTAATGTCACATCTTCATTTTCTTAATAAATAAATATCTCTTATATAGCAATGTTTCTAAGGCAATGTCATTGTAATCCTTTATTTAATTTTACAGATATATTTTAGAATACATGTTGTCCAAGTGACTATTACAGTTATCTCTCACTTATTTTATATTTATATGGAAAAATACCTTTTTACAGCCCAGTTGTGAGACAGAAAATAAATAAGCAAGGCATGTAAATAGTCAAAATAGATACAACTCAAGCTTTTACTTTATGTGACAGCTCAGAGGGAAACTCCAATACATGTTGGTTGAATAAACAGATGAATGAGTGAATGAATAAGCTTACTTAATAATTTATTTTAAAGATAATTCTAATAAGCTTGGATATTTATTTTTCCCAGTCAATAGGAAATTAGAAGAAACCCTTTACAAGGAATCAAAGAAATTAGTAAAGTAAGACTGTTAGGGACAAATACACTGATAAATGGAGTGGCAGTGTGGGGCAGTAGGCAGTTAGAACCCAATGGTCAAAAACTAGAAAACACGACACAAGAACAAAGAAAGGCACAGCTATCTGCGATTACCACTAAGTATAGTGCAGTGCTTCTCAAAGTGTGGTCCCTGGACCAGCAGCAGCAGCAGCATCACTTCACAATTTAGAAATACAGATACTCAGGCCCCATTCCATACCTACTGAATCAGGAACTCTGAGAGTGGGGCTCGTCAATCCATTTTAACAAGTCCTTCAGGTGATTCTGATGGCTACTACAGTGTGAGGGCCACTGGTCCAGTGGTATAAAATCTTCTAGATCTGGGAGCATCACTGCATTTCAATAGGGTGAAATGAGTGTTTGTGACTTGAATCAGAGTGGAAAAGTTACTTCATATGGAATAGCCCATCTGAGAACACAGGAAAGTTACTGTTGAGTGACCATCCATCTTGTTTTCAGGGACAGTCCTGGTTTAGATACATTGCCCTGGCAATTATAAATAGCATCCCTGTTCTGTCTTGAAAGTGTTCCCTTTTGGTTGATAAATTATATGGTCACTCTATTAGAAGTGTTAGAAAGATTATACTCAAAATTGTTAAAATCATGAGATATATTGGAATTTAAATGAAATAGTTAAGTTATTTGGTAAATTCCTTCCCATCATGCCTTGATAATGACAGATCATGAGGTTTTAGTGTCTTCATACTTTTTTGCCCAGAATTATAACCAATGTTCTTTGGCTAAAGGTAGATTTTCACCATTCTTCTACAAGCCAGGTTTTAGGCTATTCTTATCCTTTGCTGAACAGGACCTAGAAACCACCATGATACCCATGCTGTATCCCAGTGTTCAAACCTGTTGTCAGTGATAGAGAAGGGCTAATAATCAGAACGTCTTGCCCATCTCAGTAAATTCCAGATCCCCACATAGGCATACTTTCTTGAAAATAAATGCAGTCACTTAACTCTCTTGTCTTAGTCCTTCAATCTTTAATTTCCTCCTCAAATCTGATCAGATACATACTTCCTAACATCAAAATAATAGACAGACTAGATTAAAATGGGGTTGTTTCACTCAATTAGCTATTAAAAATTATTTATTTTAGTGCAATTTTTATAGATAGAAGGGTGGAAATTTGAGAGGATCAAGTTCAATTCTTTCACTTTACAGACGTGGAAACTGAGGCATAGAAGGGTTAAGTGACTTGCCCATGGCCACACAGATGGTTATTTCAAGAAATGAGATAAGAACCCAGGTCTCCCAACATGATTTCTTCTATTACTCTTACCTGGATGCCCCAAAGGAGTGGGGGAGCAATTTTATGGTTACCTCAATTCTGGTTTAGAACAAGAAATGGGGAATAAATCATTGAAAGTGGAGATTGAGGGACAGCTTTTATGGGTAAAGATATGGGAAGACTTTTCTGAAGCCTCTTTTGGAATGATAAAAGTGGAAACACCATTATATAGAAACTTATTTTTAGTAAAAATTTAAAAAATCTGTGACTGTTTTAACAGAATATACTCTGTAGTGCAGTAGCCTTTCATGTTCAAGTGAAACAATAGAATAAGTTTCTTTACACACATTTTTTACATCTCCCTTTATAGTAACAGGATTCCTATTTTAGTCAATTTTTTTTTTTTCAAATGAATGAGCAACTCTTCCCACTTCAGGTGAAAGGAAGGCTGCCCATTTCATAGTCAATGCTGCAAGGAGGCTCTTGAGAAGGCAGGATGGTTTTGTACTTAACAATAGCGATGCCAAATAGCAGAATTTCTGGGTTTTCTCCACCTGCTGCTGGAAGGAGGCTCTTGAGAAGGCAGGATGGTTTTGTACTTAACAATAGCGATGCCAAATAGCAGAATTTCTGGGTTTTCTCCACCTGCTGCTGGGTCTGGGAGGAAGGGCAACTGTTCCTCAAGAGAGCTGTCGCTTTTGGTATTTTCTTCCCCAAAGGTAGGAATAGATGGTGCAAGGGCATCATTCCGCACTAATAGAAAACAAAGAACCAAGAGCAAGGACGAAGACAAAAATATGGCTAAGGTGCGAAGTTCCTTTTTTAAAAGAATTATTTTATTTTAGGGTCAGGGGGTACATGTGCAGGTTTGTTATATGGGCATATCGGATGATGCTGGGGTTTGGGCTTCCAGTGAACCTATCACACAAATCATGAACACAGTACCCAACAGGAAGTTTGTCGATCCTTCCTCCACTTCCTCCCTCCCCTGCTTTTGGAGTCTCCAGTATCTATTTTTTCTATCTTTATGTCCATGAGTACTCATTGTTTAGTTCCCATTTATAAGAGAGAACATGTGGTATTTGGTTTTCTGTTTCTGCATTAATTCACTTAGGATAATGACCTCTAGCTGCAACCATGTTGCTGCAAAGGACATGATTTCATTCTTTTTTGGTGGCTGTGTAGTATTCCATGGTGTATATATACCACACTTCCTTATCTAGTCCACTGTTGATGATCACTTAGGCTGATTCCATGACTTTGCTATTATGAATAATGCTGTGATAAACATATAAGTGCGGGTCTTTTTGATAAAATCATTTATTTTCCTTTGGATAGATACTCAGTAGTAGGATTACTGGGTTAATGTTAATTCTATTTTTAGAATTTATTTGTTCTAAAAATAGAATTAACATTCTACTTAACATTAAATAGAATGTTTAACATTTGTTCTTTGTGAAATCTCCATTCCGTTTTCCATAAGGGTTGAGCTAGTTTCCATTCCCACCAACAGTCTATAAGCTTTCGCTTTTCTCCATGTCCTTGCCAACATCTGTTATTGTTTGACTTTTTAATAATGGCCATTCTGACTGGTGTGAAATGGTATCTCCTTGTGGTTTTAATTTGCATTTCTCTGATAATTAATGATGTGGAACATTTTTTCATGTTTTTGGACACTTACATGTCTTCTTTCGAGAAGTGTCTTTTCATGCTCCTTGCTCACTTTTTAATGGGGTTGATTTTTTCTTGTTGATTTGTTTAAGTTCCTTATGGATTCTAGATATTAATATTTTATCAAATGCCTAGTTTGCAAATATTTTCTTAAAGTGTGGAGTTCTGTATAGCAACATTTTCTATTTAGTTCTATGAGAAAATATAGGTGTTGGATTGAAATGTAAAGTATTATAAAATTTATATCCCCATTAATGGATGAAAAATATAATTATTAAAGTGCTAACACTTTATTAAGTCTTAAAACATCAACCACCTAACAAAGTATATCTAAATAATTATTTAATATTAAGGGAGAGAAATGTTTCTTTCAAGGAAGTACGTTTTTCAACTAACATTTTTCAATAGAGTGATCACCAGTTAAAGTGTATTCTATTTTATTACTCTATGCTATTTTTATAACTCCTTATAAATACCACAGCAATATAATTGGTTATGTTTATAGCACATATTCAGTTGAAGACTGAATTTTGAAGACTGAAATTTTGCATTTGCAAGGAAATTGAGAGTTCATTTATTCAACATCTTTTTATAGAAAACAAAACAATCACCAAGACCCAAAAGCGTTGAGATTTACATGCCCAGTGTTGGCGAGATCAAGAGAGAACTGGGATACATCCTAAGTTTGTGGCACCCAAAGATATAAATGGAATTTTATTCCTAACTTGGATTGCTAGAGTTCCTTTTGTTCCTATTGTTTTTATTTCCAAAAATTAAGAATAACAATTTATTTAAATTTAACTATAATTTCTCTATTTAAAATACATTATAGAGAAGTATATGAAAACAAGAGTAATAACAAGAAGAAAGATAGTGAAAAGGCAGGAGAACCAAGAATTTCTCAGGATCTAGGTTACTGGCAACAATATAAACAGATTTCTTATTTCTCTCATAAAAATCATTTAATTGTATCAAATGTAGGGGAAAATAGTGAAGATTAGTTCTTGTAGTTACAAATGTTGAAGTAACTCAAAAAACATTTTTTAAAGATGAGCAAGTAGTAAAAAAGAGGCCAGGATGCTACAAGCAGTAGGAGAAAGAAATCAGTCCCTAATATCCATTCCGGTAAAGAAAAAGTCAAAGGACAAGAAACTGTCTCTTCAAGGCATCACTCACCATTGAAAGGTCATTTCTCATTGGAATAAACTTGAAAAGGAAAGGAAAAGAAAACCCTAAGATGTAATATTTATGGCTTTAAAAATACCCTAAAATGTGAATTTAATTTTACTCAAGAGGAGAAAGGTAGCTTTTAGGATAAATATTTGAAATAGTCCCAAAGTAATAGAAGATTATTCAAAATAAAGATAACTTATGAATCAGTATCATCATATAAACTTTATCTTGCTGACATATATTATGAAACCATCATAAAAATAGCAAAACAGTAACCAAGGAAGAGTAGCCTATGTCAAAGTTTTGTATTCTTCAGTTTGATGAAGATAAATAAACAGAGAATTGAATTATATATACCAAAAACCAATCTGAAGAAGACTTGGAAATGTAATAAATCAATTAGTATGCTTTGAGATAGATCTGCAATACCAACCAAGTTTATTTCCAACAAAGAAGATTGAATATCCTGTTTTAAATCATTTAAAATACTTAGTGAATGGCTAATGTGTATTGAGTATTTATTATATATATTGAACATTTATGACATATTTATCAAAGGCATTGTTATATATGTTTTACATGGACTATCTCATTCAATCCTTCTAACAATTCTTTGAGATAGTTACTATTATCATTATTATCCCTATTTTGTTAATGAGGAAACTGAGCCCCAGAGAGCTTCCCTAACTTGTCCAAAGATGACACAACTCATAGTAGTAAACTTGGAATTTCAACTAGGCAGCCTGACTCAAGAATCTAAATGTTGAGCCATTGTTCTATCAACGCTTTGCTAAGTGATTCCTATACAGTGGTGAATAAAACACACATGTGCCCTGGCCTCCTGAAGCTTAAAGTCTAACAGAATTTTTTTGAAAATATTGAATTAGATTTGCCCTTTAAGACAAAAGAGTAGAAATTAAAGCATGGTTCCCTTATAGGCATTTTTCATATTGAGTAGAGTGGAGACTATATCTCAAACTTCATGGAAAGGACAAGTATTAACCCTGATGTCAGTGGAAACACAAAATCACCCAAAAAACAAGGAAAGAAAATCAGTAGTCTACAATCTACAAAGTCCAGGGAACTCAAGCAGCTATAAGTGGTCAACAAGTTGGTATTCCAGGAGATGCGTGAGATTAGTATCAGTGAATTACTTCTACTGTGGTGTACTGAACTGCAAGGGATGCTAGCTGGAGATTATATTGTCAGGCAGGTACCTTAAGTGAGGCCAGTTGACCTCAGCTGAAGTGGCTCATACCCGCTGTGTGGAAAAAACTCAAACTGCTTTTCCTCTGCTCTCCTACCACAACAATCAACACAAAAGACATCTGTAACCAAATGTGTGTGGGTTTTCCCATACACACCAAGCAAGCAATTCTGCAGTAGACACCAGCTGTATGTCCTCCAACCCATTTTAACTCAGTGACGCTATCCACCTGGAGCTAGTGTCAGATCCTATAGGTTGAGGGTTCATTCCCATAAAATCTTCCCCTCTGCACTTCCAATGCCAACTGCAAGCCCAGGTTGTTTTACTTGTGCTTCTGACTGATCAGCTATAAATTGGGGTTCCCTCAACCCCTTTTGGGGTTCAATTAATTTGCTAGAATGGCTCATGGAACTCAGGAAAACACTTATGTTTACCGGTTTATTATAAAGGATACCACAAAGGATATAGGTGAAGAGATGCAGGGCAGAGCTTCCATGCCCTTCCCGGTTGTGCCAACATCCAGGAACTTCCATGTGTTCGGCTATCTGGAAGCTCTCCTTACCTCGTCGTCTTGGGCCTTTTATGGAGACTTCACTGGATGGGCATGAGTGAAGCAGGGACGACCATGCAGAAATGTGACTGGACAAAAAGAGTCTGATCTAATCTAATAGGCTGAGTGGGGAAGCCCAGCAAGGCCTCTCTGTTCAGATTCTTCTTGGCCTCTCTTTGCAGCATTCCTTTCTCCAGGGCACAGGGCAGGACCCTTTCCAAAATGGGGGTCTTATGACCTACAAACAGAAAAGATAGTTTATGGCCAGCTCCAAGACAGAAAGGCAGGGGAAGATTCAACCGTATCTTTAGTGTCTGTGGCCTCCCTTGGGGAGAAAGGGAGCAGGCGAAAGGAGGGCAGGAGAAGGTCAGAGAGAGGGTTTCTGTTTTCCGAGGCTCGCTTCTGAGGTCTAATGCACTCCAGCATTATAACAAAAGACTGCCTCCCGCCTTTATCTCTCTGAAGCTGTTCTAAAGCTGCTTCAGGAGCCAAGGACAGAAGGCTAAATACTTCAACAAAAGATATGCTTACTGTTTTAGTCACTTAGGAAATAACGAGGGCTATGAGAGTTATGAGGCACCGGGAACTGTGGACGAAAACCAGTATACTATAACTATGATAGTAGCACACCTGCCCATCCTCTCTTTCCTGCTGGGTTCCTTCCCTGAAGTCCTTGTCTTTACCTCCCAGGCACTGGCACTATCCTTTCTTTGTTGCTTTCCTGGTGTCAGAAAGACTTATTTGGAAGACGCTGAACTTTCTCACTGACATTTGTCCTGTCTCCTTGGGCCTCCCACAAGCCAAACTGGCTTCTTAAAAGGAAAATGATACTAATTTATTAAAGGTAAGAAACAAACCTAAGGGAACTTAGTGATCTTGTAGACAGTTGAATATATTAGAAGCTTTGAGTCATTTTCTTCTCATACTTAATTTGACTAAAATGCAATTAGTGCGGAATAAATGCCAAGATTGTGGTGATATATATTTTAGCCTCACTTCTCTGAAGCACTTTCACTGGATTAAAATACTTTGCTGAAGTATTGTGAATCCTAGCTCTTAAGAGCTGGGAGCATTTATTTTCCGTTAGTTGTTTTAGATTATCCAGATAAATTTAGCACTTAATGCTATTTGCTTGGGCAATTGTAACTTACTTGTAAACGCGCTGTGCTTTGTTGGAATCGGGAAAAGCAAAGGGGCAATAATTATCCTCAAAGTGTGAAGCAGACACTAATCATGATTAAGGGCATTTTGTTTTTAATTGAGAGGGAGATGGGGAACTGTGTTTTATATATAGTGGGTTCTCGTTTGTTGATTTAGATTGATGGAATTTACATGCCAAAAGAAGGGACTACAGCCCAAAGAATTATGCTTACACCAACGCCCTTAAGTCTTCTGATATCCAATTAATATGCCCCAGAAACACTGGTCTTATGAGTTCAGAGCACGTCTTCAGTCTCAGAGAGATAATTTCCTTCATGGAGCTGTTTTGGCTGGTGATTTTCATGATCTATGGCTGGAAGATACCTTATTATCCACTTGACTGTACAGAAGAAAACAACGAATAAAATATAAAACTTTATGTTTTGCTAAATTAACATCTGATCTTTATCAGCATCAATATAAAAGTTTTTCATAGCCATCCTTGATTTCTTTTTGTTTTAAATTTTTTCCCTAATTTACATTATCTTGTTATATGTTATATATCCTTCTGAAAAAAGTGGCCAATTTATTTATATTTTTTTAGAGAAAGGGTCATGCTATGTTGCCCAGGCTGGTCTCAAACTCCTGATCTCAAGTGATCCTCCTGCCTCAGTCTCTCAAGTAGCTGGGACTATAGGCACAAACTACCATGTCTAACTGAAGTAGTCAATATTTTTTTTAAGAAAGTAGAGCTTAAATAAATTAATTACTAATTTAAACAGCATGTACATTATATTTTGCAGTTCTTTTATGAACATCATTTTGTATACATGTCATTTACAATATTAGCATAGTTTCCATCTCTGTAATTTTAATGAAAATGCTGCATTTGGCTGGTTGATATATTGTTATTTGTTTAACCATCTTCCTCCATCTCATGTTAAAGCACATCTGCATTTTACAGATTTGGTGAAAAGAATGACCATCACCACTAAGAGTATTGTGTATCATGTTTTATTTTGAATCATATACTTGAACATTTTCCCATTATGACCTAAAAAGTAGAGCCACTCGGTATAGATCTTTGGCAAGGGAAAATAGAATGCTTCTATGTGCTCCTTTAGACAGGAAAGGTCCTGTTTCAAATTATAAAACATGGACATGTGTGGTGTAATAGAATTGCAGACAAAAAGAAGTGAAGGATAAAAGTACAATAAAATTCCTGGGACTTTTTCTCAGAAGGAAATTATCACACGCTTGTAAAATCAAACTGGGGAACTTGAAGGTCTAAAAGTGAATTTATACACTCCTGAGAGAAAGATACAGCTTATTTATCTTCCCTGAAATGTATTTGAAATTTCTTGATGATCTACGATAAGGAGAGAAAAGATTTCAAAGAAGATGAAAATTATTTGGAAATTTTTACCATGGAGAAATACTTCATTCAGTGCAATATGGACTTACACTTTGATTCCACATGGGTTTGTTTCATTAATTGTTTTTATCTTAGCACCCATCCACACTGTCTTTGTGTTGCTATATAGAACTATAACATAGTTCCATTTTATATTAAGGGAAAAGTACTGTCCTGTGCTTAAATAAACGATATACCTCAGGGGCAGAAAGGAGATTTGTGCTGGTTAAAACAACAACTATTGCCAGGTCAGTTCTTAGCTGTGAAATCAACAAAGATGGTTGTCTCCTTTTGAACTGACATACCTACCATGCTATCAATCAAAGGCTAAGATGTAACCAGAAGGAGACCTGGGAGAGAGATCACTTTTATGCCCAGGAGAAAGGGAATATTTGCTTGTCCTCCATACCAACTATCACTTTTCATGCCTGGTCATTTTGGCATCAAGGACTGGGAGAGGCTAACATTTTGGTATAAAACAATCCCATATTCCATTATATTAATTTGCTCATTAATGTTCAAAACCTTCTCCAACTTTGAACTCATAAAGTTATTTGGTATTAGTTACCTACTTTCTAACCAAACTCTTACTATTAGAAAATAAATAAACAGCTTCTAGAACTTTCCTGTTTGGAGGAAAGACCATCCTTCTCCAGTAGGAGTTAAGAGTGAGTGAGGCCCAGGGGCCTTGAGGGAGAGGATGTTGGGGAGATGTTGGTCAAAGGGTACAAAGATCCACTTATGCAAGACGAATAAGTTCAAAAAACCTAATGTACAGCATGGTGACTATAGTTAATAACAAAATATTGTATATTTGAAATTTGCTAAGAGGGTAGATCTTAAGTGTTTTCACCACATACACACAAAAAATAGCAACTGTGAAGGCGATAGAGGTGTTAATTAGCTCAATTGCAGTCATCATTTCACAATGCATGCATATATCAAAACATCAGTCTGTACCTGCTCAATATGTATGATTTTCATGTATCCAGTATACCTGAAAAAAAAAAAAAAGTGAGGCCTAGGGACTCAGAATAAGCCCATCCCTTCCCATACTTCCAGACCTCCATCTGCAGGAGTGAGGAAAGGACTCCATTTTCTTTTATCCCCTTTCTATCCTTATATTCTTGCAACACTCCCAGTCTCACCACTCTCTGCCTTATGACCTGTAGACCACATGCAATAGAATCGCCTTGGGTGGTTGTTCCAAACAGATGCCCAGGCCCTTCTCCAGACCACTGACAGAATTTCTGGGGAGGGGTCTCTGGTATCTGCATTTTTACCAAGCTCCCCAGGTGATTCTTTGGCCCACTGTGGTTTCAGAACCATTGTCCCCAGCGTCTGAAAGACAGAGAATTTGCAGATTTCTCCTTGTAAGTGTATAGTACTTTACAGTTTGCAAACCACTTTTATACATCATCTCATTAGATCCCTAGGACCATCAAAGGAGATAAGGTGAGTATTGACATTTTTTAAAAAATAAATGAGACAATGAGTATGTGGAATGCCTGATGCCCTGGTCAAGCCATAGCTGAATGAAAGAACTAGGTTTTCTTAACACAGCATGCTGCCTCCAGGTAATATTGACCCTAGAATGAAGAGATTTGTAGTTTACGCTTCTTACATTATTTCATTTATTCTCCCCAATAAGCCTGTGAGGTAGATAAGGCAAATGTTATTAAACCTGTATCTGACAGAAGAGAAAACTGAGACTCAGGGAGTTGAAGTGCATTACCCAAAGTCATAAGTTAGAAAGTGGCAGAACCTGAAACTCAGGTTTTTGCAAGTACAGATGCTGCCTGCCCTCTACTTTTTACTGCTACTCAAGAGGCCAATAAATGAAGAATTTTCAATGAAGTATAAATATTTTAAGATTTTTTTATTGCTTAATATTTAATAAAGATTGCTTATACTATAAAATGTTTCTTACGCATGTTTGGCATTCTCACTTAGCAAATAAAATCTTTTCCTGAGTCCATCACACTATTTTTATAACCAGGCATTGTAAAACTTTTTATGAGATAATTGCTTTAATAATTATTCTATTGAAGGTCATGGTAGCTTTCGAAATGTAATCACCAAATCCAGTTATCATTTCTCAGTTCTTATCCTCCTCTTTTCTTTACAGCATTTGACACTGTTGAACATCCCCTTTCTTCTTGAAAACCTTCCTTTCTGTGAAGTGGCATGCTTGTGATTCTGAGCTCTCCAACAATCCTTTGTATCAACCTTTTTCATTTTCCTTCTACACCCAAGCTTTGTCTGTAATTGCCTTCTTTTGCCTTCATGGATTTCCCCCTGGCAATACATACATATATATTCAGCTATTAGGATTATTCTGATGGCTCTCAAATATAGCTTTAACTTTTCCTTCTAGCTCCAGATTGACTCAGAATCCTGAATATAACATATACTCATTAAATATTTCTTAAATTAAATTTCTATCTGTTAAACATCTAATTTTTTCAGCAAATATTTATGGTGAAACTTCTATGTGCCAGGCAATGTTCTAGGAGCTTGGGATACATCAGTTACCCAACAAAATTACCACTCACATGAACCTTACTATTTATTTATTTATTTATTTATTTACTTTTACTTGATGAAAATTGTATATATTTATTATGTATATTGAGATGTTTTGAAATATGTATATACATTGTGAAATGGGAAATTGAGCTAACTGACATATGCTTTAACTCACATACTATTTTTTGTGGTGAGAACACTTAATATCTACTCTCTTAGTGATTTTCAGCAATACAATGTATTGCTATTAACTATAGTCACCATGTCGTACAATAGATCTCTTGAACTTAGTCTTCCTAATTGAAGTTTTGTATCCTTTGACCAATATCTTCCCAAACTCCAAGACCCTCCAGCCCCTATCAGCCCCTGGTAACTACCATTCTACTCTATTTCCATAAATTCAACTTTTAAGTTGACCCTGTCCTCTAGGGTCATCCATTTTGTTGCAAATGATGTGATTTCCTTCATTTTAAAGACTGAGTAGTATTCTATTGTGTATATATGCTGCATTTTCTTCACCTATTGATCCACTGATGAACACATAGGCTGATTTCATATCTTGACAATTGTGAATAATGCTACAATGAACACAGGAGTGCAGATATGTCTTTGATACTCTGGTTTCATTTCCTTTGGATATATACCCAGAAACGGGATTGCTGGAACTTACTTTTAGTGGCAGAAGGCAGACAAGAAACCATAAACATAAAAAATGTAAGAATTAGATTTTATGTGAGAAACAGTATGAAAAGGAAAAGAAAAGGAACAGGATGAAGAAGATCAAGAGTGCAGTTAGCAGAGGTCGTGATGGGAGGGGAGTTCTAGTTGCTGTTTTCTATAGAGTGGTCATGGTTGGCCTTGCTGAGAAGAAAACACTTGTGAAAGTCTTAAAGGTTGTAAAGGAATTGGGCCTGGAGATATCCTGAGGAAATGCATTTTAGATAGAGGAATGGCCATCGCAAAGACCTTAAGGCACAAGTGGGCCTAGTATATTCAAGGAGTAGTGGTAGAGAAGAATCAGAGAAAAAATGAGAGGTCAGATTATGTAGGGTCTTGTCAGCCCTTATAAGGACTTTGACTTTTACACTATGTGAAATAAGTAGCTATTGGGAGTTTTGGGCATAAGCATGACATGACGTATTTTACATCTTTAAAAGATCATTCTAGTTACTGTGCTCAGAATAGGCTCCAGGGTGATAAGAGTAGAACTGGAGAGAGCAATTCAAAAGCTATTGTAAGGCTGGCGTGGTCAGTCACACCTGTAATCCCAGCAATTTGGGAGGCTGATGCAGGAGGATTGCTTGAGCCCAGGAGTTCAAGACCAGCCTGGGCAACATGATAAGAACCCCGTCTCTACAAAACACCATTTTTTTCTAATTAGCCAGATGTGGTGACATGCACCTGTGGTCCCAGCTACCTGAGAGGCTGAGGTGGAAGGATCGCGTATGCCCAGGAGTTGGAGGCTACAGTGAGCCATGATTACATCACTGCACTCCAGCATGGGTGAACAGAATGAGACCCCATCTTTAAGAAAAAAAGAAGGAAAAAGCTATTGCAGTAATCTGGGCAAGACATAAGAGTGACTTGGACCAGAGTGGTAGTAATAGAGTTGATGAGAGTTGGGCAGGTTCTAAATGTATTTTGAAGATAGAGCCATTGTAATTTTCTTATGTATTAAATATGCTTAGCCTGAGAAACTAGAAGGATGGAGTTGCCATCAACTGAGGTTGGGAAAGCTGCAGATAAATAGATTAGATGGGAAAGATCAGAAGGTCAGATTTGGACATGTTAAGAAGCAGCTATTTCTCCTCTAGCCCTTAGAACATATGTCATTTTTTATTAAATACTTATTTATGCATGTGTCTTAGCTTCCTTTCTAGAATGTATACTCTGTGAGGGCAAAGATTAGGTTTCATTCATTTCTATGTCTGCTTAGCCCCTAGGACAGTTCTCTGCATTTTGAAGTGCTCAGAATGTGTATGCTGAATTGAATTATTGGTTCCTCTTGTTGCATTTTTTTTGCTTGAAAGTTGAAATTATTGCCTTAAAAGTCACTCTTTTTACTTTTTATCTTCTTAGTTGTTTGTTTACTTAGTTTGGATTATTCTTGTGATTTATTCTTACAAGAGAGAACGAATCACAAGAATAATCCAAAAACGCTAAAAAACAATGCCTTGGCTGAAAAAAATGCAATCCCTCTTTATCACGTCTACTACAGTAAAATGGAAGGGTTACCTTTAATTCAAGTTGACCACCTGGTTTCCAAACTGAAATGTTTTTCAGTCATTACATATACAAGTTATATTGATAGTTTTTTTCTGGACAAGGATCTGAAAGCACAGGCAAAAAGCAAAAATAGACAAATGGGGATTTGATCAAGATAAAAAGCTTCTGCACAGCAAAAAATAAAAAAAAAAAACAAAAAACAGAGGAAAAGGAAACCTACAGAACAGGAGAAAATATTTGCAAACAATACATCTGACAAGGAGTTATTTAGAATATATAAGGAACTCAATAGCAAAAAAAAAAAAAAAAAAAAAATCTAATTTAAAAACGGGCCAAAGTCCTGAATGAACATGTCTCAAAAGAAGACATACAAATGGCCAACAGATAAATGAAAAATGCTCAGTATCACTAATCATTAGGGAGATGCAAATCAAAACCGCAATAGTTATCACCTCACTCCAGTTAGAAAGGCTATCATCAAAAAGACAAAATATAACAAATGCTGGTGAGGATGAGGAGAAACGGGAACTCTTATACACTGTTGGTGGGAATGCAAATTAGTACAATGACGATGGAAAACAGTAAGAAAGTTTCTCAAAAAATTAAAAAAAGAACTATCATACGATCCAGTAATCCCACTACTGGGTATGTATACAAAAGGAATGAAATCAGTATGCCAGAGATATCTGCCATAAACTCCCTTGTTTATTGCAGTACTGTTCACAGTAGCCAAGCTATGGGATCAATTAAGTGTCTATCAACAGATGAATAGATAAAGAAAATGTGGACAATAGACAATGGAATACTATTCAGCCATAAAAAGAAGAAAATCTTGTCATTAGCAGGAACGTTGATGAAACTGGAGGACATTATGTCAAGTGAAGTGAGCCAGGCACAGAAAGACAAATACCACATGATTTCACTCATATGCAGAATCTTAAAAAGCTGATCTCATAGAAGTAGAGAGTAGAATAGTGATTACCAGAAACTGGGGAAGGGAGAGAGGAATGGAGATGGAAAAAGATTAGTTTAACAGGTACAGGGTCTAAGTTAGCTAGAAGGAACAAATTCTGGTGTGCTGCTGTGCAGAAGAGTGATTATAGTTAACAATATTTTATATTTCATAATGGCTGGAAGAGAGGATTTTGAATGTTCTCACCACAAAGAAACCATGAATGTTTGAGATGGTGGAAATGCTAAATACCGTGATTTGGTTATTACACAAAGTATATGTATATAAACATCTCAGTGTACCCGATTAATATGTACAATTATGATGTGTCAATTTAAAAGAGTTGTATTAATATAAAAGCAATTAACTTTACTGTTCTCAATGAGGTCAACGTAAATATTAGCTATTCTCTCTTTCCCTTCATATTCTTATTGATCTCTTTTCACTGTCGATTTAGTTGAGCAAGTCAATGAAAAATAATTGCTTCAAAATCATTTGCAATCATATCATAAATAAAGATTGTTAGAATACATTTAAAATAAATATTTTGAAATCAAAGTCAGGTTAGTCAATATTTGAGCAAAATTATGGAATGCCAATTTTGTCATTTTGCATTTATAGATTCAAGCTGGGAATTCCACGATGTGAACCTGGCAAATAATGAGCAAATCTGATCACATCTCAAAAGCTTTCTTCTTGTGATGACATATGCCAATTTGATATATCAAAACTATCTTTTGCTCACCGGATCACTGACAAATTCACTCAAATAAAGTAATATTTCTATCTTAGCTGACTCTTAAAATGGAGCAATATCGCCTCGGGAAATGAGTATATGAGTATTGGTATCTATCCATCATTTATTTTCAAACAAAAGTAGTTTTGTTGTCTTTCAGTTTTCACCAAGAACCCAGAGTAGTGAAGTCAATTGTGACTGTACATACTTCACATTCAGCAAATATATATTATATGCTTATAATATGATGAGTACTAGCTTGGTGCTTTCACACATGTTAACTCATTTGATTTTCACAATAATCTGGGAGGTGGTCTTTGCTATTTCCATTTTTCAGATAGGGAAATTGCAATCTAGATAGGTTAAGTGATACACTAGTAAATGGAATTATTTGCTTCATGAGGGAAGTGTCTGTTCTGTCTCATTCACTGCTAGAATTCCAGGAGTTGGCACGGAGGTACTAGTATCTCAGTAAATATGGGTTTCATGAATGAATGAGAGTAAGTAAGGGTAAAAGCTGAATTTGGACACAGCCCTTCTAATGCCAAGCCTGTGTTTATCCTGCTACATTGTGCTGTATAATAAATTCATTCTATATGTTAGCAATGTTAAAGCTTTTCTGTATCATCTTAAAATACAACCAAAAATCCCCCCAGTTTTTAAGAGGTTTTTCTTATAAAGCCAACAAATGGTTGTTATAAAAATCTGACAGCTCAAAATAGTGTGATGTGAGAAGTCCTCTGTGCCACATATCAGAGGAAGCCACCAACAAGCTGGTGTGCTTTTTTCCAGATGCCTCAAAGACACACATGGGTTATGTATATATTTTATGTATGTATATAAATTTTAAATTAGTGATGGTTTTCCAGAGAAACAGAGCCAGTGGTTTAAAATTTTTTTAATTTCACAAATTTTAAAGTTTAAAACATTTTTGAAATTTTAAAAAGTTCTAAAAATTTCTAGTATTTTGATTGGGATCACATTGATTTAATGGATTCAAGTAGAAATGGCGCTGATTCAATATTGAGTCTCCCCATCCAGGCGTTTTTCATTTACTCGAGTCTTTTTCCATGCCCCACAATAGAGTTTTAAACCTTTCCTCATATAGCTCTTGGATTTATCTTAACCTTTTTCACTTGTTTTTTATTTTTTGGTTATTTTTAATGTTTTTTTTTCTATTTTATTTTATAATCTTTTTATTTGTAGGAAGGAAAGCTATTGATAAACTATTGACTGACTTTTGTAATTTTGTTGCTGACTCCCCTACTGGCTTTTCTTATTGTTTCTATATTTTTTTCTCTGGAGTTTTTCAAGTACATATGATATCATCAATAAGTCATGAAAAATTTTCCTGTTCTTTCCAACATTTACAAATCTTACTTCATTTTCTTATGTAAATGCATTGGCTCACTCATGTAGACACTTTTAAGTAGCCATTTCCTTATTTGACATCTAGTCTCCCTAATGATATGTCTTGTTCTTGACACGCACAAGATTGCTTCTCTTATTGCTTTGCTATGAAGGATATTACTGGCTTTGGGGTCTTATACATATATTATCATATCATGTTAAGGAATTATCCATCTCTATCTACGAAGATTTTAAATTTTAAATTAGGAAATAATGTTGAATCTGTTCCATGTCTTCTGAGTATTACTGGATATAATTTGAGCAATTAATAGGGGATATTATTTTAATAAATTTCCTAATGTCGAACTATTTTGCCACCGTGGAGATGAATCTCAATGTGTTCTGGTGTATTATTTTTTATTGTACCAATAATTTCTCATTTGCAAATTTATGTATTTATTAATACCAGTGGGCTATTAAAATGTAAATATCAATTTGTAGCTTGCTTTTTTTGGCTCAACAATGTTTTAGTAAACATTTTTATATAAAAATATCAAACCATCCCTTTCTTTTTGACTGCTACATAGAATTTTGTAAATAAATCCCAATTTGTTACATTTCTGTCTTGAAGAGCATTCATAGTTCTCCCTTCACTTTTTGTAATTATTAACCCTTGCTGCTATTTCTAACAATGCTGCAATAGAATCCTTATACATATCTCCTAGTGTTTGTGCAGTGTTACATGGAAAAGATATCTAGCAGTAGAATTGCAGTCATAAATTATGTGCATTTAAGTAGATGTTGCCAAATTGGCCTATTAAGTGGCTGAACAACTCACGCTTCCATAAGTAATGACCGTGACATCCATTTCTCACCCCTATACCAACAGCTGATGCTAATCAAAGTACTTTATATCTTGTTACTCCCTGTGAATAATTTTTTTAAACTATATTTTAGTGGTGTTTAAATTCTCATTTTTTTCTTTTTGCTGGTGAGATTTCACTTTTGCAAATTTCTTGTTAATATCCTTTGCCTAATTTTCTGTTGAGTTATTTGTCTTTTTCTTATCAATTTGAGTAGTTCTTTATAATTTCTGTATTTAATCTGCCTGGTATATATTTTGCAAATATTATTCACTGTTTGTTTTTTACCTTTAAATTCATTTATGGTGCCCTTTGTTGTATATTATTTAAAATTTTGTGTAGTTACACTTACCAGTCTTTCATTTAATAGTTTTTTTCCTACATAATATTAGAAGTCTTCCCTATCTTTAAGGTAATAAACCTATTCTACCCTAGTGGCATCTTTTCTTAGTATCAATTTCTAATACAGTAAATATCAACAGATACGACAGAAACAAAAGCACTTTGGGATCTTCGATAGTTTTTAAATGTAAAAGGATTCTGTTGGAGAGAGGACATCTGCCAGGACAGACAGCTCTGAGACAAGGATGCTCCTCTTTGACAGATCCCAACCTGAAACTGGAGGGTTAGGGAGCTGCTGATGAGGTCCATGCAGATCTCCCACCCCTGCCAAGAGGAGTCTGGACAAGGATGGGGAGTAAATCTTCCAGGGGCAGATGGAAGATACCCTGAGCCCTTTAGGCTCGGTTGTTGACATATTAAAGAGAAAATAAAAGCCTATAAAATCTTCTTAAAAAGTGGCCTGGTAAGCAAAACTATTTTTCTGGTGTGTAATTCTATTTTGCACATCAGCAGCTAAAAAGTAAACTGATATTTTTCTTTCTATTTCTACTATAACAATTTCTAGTCTTCCCTGGCTCTCTAGGCAGTATAAAGAGAAGTTTAAAATATTTATGTATTAGTTCATTAGATATATCAATAATAAAACCATTACATGTTAACATGAATAACTTTTTTTTTTTACAAAGACTATTTTTCAAAACAAAAAAATAGAAGATTGGGATTGTTTTATAATTTTACTTTACTGTCTGGTTTATAAAAGACAGCTAGGTTCTCATATCTGCTTCTGCATTCAATCTTTTGTGATATTACATGTGCTGTAGCCTCTGGAAAACTCCCCTGTACACTTATGAGAGACTAAAAATAAAAAAGGCAAATGACATCTTAGTATTATTATAAAAATAGTTTTCACCTTGCAGATCCCTGAAAGAGTCTCAGGTCGCCAGACGACATTCTGAGAGTTACTGCTCTAAACTTTGTCATACCTTTGAAAATAATTAAACATATCAAATCTTCTTATTTCAATGTGTCTTATGTTTCCTGCCGTGGCCCTGAATGATAAACCCATCCTGTCTGGATACTAAGGCACAGTCTTAGGGGATGGAGGGAAGGTTAGGGATGGGGGATGAGGGGCGCACAGCATGGAGGGATAGAGATAGAGAAGAGCAAGGATTCCAATTGTCTGTTCCACCAGGACACAGCAGTTACAAACCAATTTAGGATGTAACCACATGACCAAAAACTAGGTGGTGCTCTGTAGGTGGCAGGAAGAGCCCCTGACATTGGATGTTTAGATTTCCTGAGCCTACCTCATTTCTAGTGTTATGGATGCTGAACTGACAGCCAGTAGGCCTGGGTGGCCTTGCAGCAGAGGCTCAGTTATAGGTACCTGATGGGGGGCAGGGGCAAAATAAGGCAAATGACAGATGTCTGGGGTGACAGACAGTTGGAGCCAAGGAAAGGCTGAATCATCTGGAAGTCCCTGGGCTCTGATCAAGGTGAGAGACCAGATCCTGTGAGTGCAGACTTGCCTATGAATGTTAGCAGTCAAACTGGGTGAGTGGACAAGGGACAAGGGACATCTCCTCCAGACCAGCAGAGGCAAATGGCATTGTCCTCCTCAGACTCGGGCTCTTTCCTGTTTCCATGAGGATATGAAAGTCATGTCCTTTCTCCACCCATCCATATACCTTCTTAGAAAGAGAAAGCTATCTGAGAGACAAACATTTTGTCCTGTAAACCAAAAATATCTGAGAAAGGTCTCAATCAACTTAAAAGTTTATTTTGCCAAGGTTAAGGACATGCCCATGACACGGCCTCAGCAGGTCCTGAAAACATGTACTCAAGGTGGTTGGGCTACAGCTTAGTTTTATATGTTTTAGGCAGACATAGACATCAATCAATACATATAACAAGTACATTGGTTTGGTCTGGAAAGGGGGGTTTTCCAGGTCATAGGTGGATTCAAAGATTTTCTGATTGGCAGTTGATTGGAAGAGTTTATCTAGAGACCTGGAATCAATAGAAGGGAGTGTCTTGGTTAAGATAAAGGGTTGTTGACCGGGTACAGTGGCTCTCACCTGTAATCCTAGCACTTTGGTGGGCAGGTGGATCACTTGAGGCCAGGAGTTTTAGACCAGCCTGGCCAACATAGTGAAACTCTGATTCTACTAAAAATACAAAAATTAGCTGGGCATGATGGTGCACACCTGTGGTCCCAGCTACTCGGGAGGCTAAGGCACGATAATTGCCTGAACCTGGGAGGCAGATGTTGCAGTGAGCAGATATGGCACCACTGCACTCCAACCTGGGCAAAAGAGTGAGACTCTGTCTCAAAAAAAAAGAAAAAAGAAAAAAAAAGATAAAGGGTCATGGAGACCAAGATTTTTATTATGCAGGTGAAGCCTCCAGGTAACAGGCTTCAGAGAAAATAGATGGTCTTAAGGTCTCTGTTTTAATGTTAATGCTGGTCAATTGTTTCTGAATTACAAAGGGAAGAGGGTATGATGAGGCATGTCTGACCACCCATTTCCATCATGGCCTGAATTTGTGTTTCAGATTAACTTTGAAATGCCCTTAGCCAGCAAGAGGGATCCATTCAGTTGGTTGGGGAGCTTAGAATTTTATTTTTGGTTTACAGTCCCAAGAAGATACTAGGCATTTCCTAAAGAGACTTTCTAAATGATTAAATCTTAATTGTTGTTAAAATTGGGTTGGATATTTTGTTAATTTTTCTCTGCTAACCTCTGGTTGAGTGGGGTTACTCTCAAGGAAAACCAGATTAGCGACAGATAACCTAAAGGAGCTAAATATTTTTTTGCACATCTGCACAAAAATTAGCAGGACTGATTTTTTATCCCAAGACACTGCTATTGCAATATGAAACTGTCCCCACAGGTCTTGCCATATATCCAATATCATTAATGCTCAGAGGTCTTATTTATAGATAACAGTCCCCATAAATGGCGAGTACAATTTTGTTTGTTTATAGCAGCAACTTTATTGCCTAAAATTAGTTTCT
Source organism: Homo sapiens (assembly GCF_000001405.40). NCBI lineage: Eukaryota > Metazoa > Chordata > Mammalia > Primates > Hominidae > Homo > Homo sapiens. The sequence continues at coordinate 95,294,648 of NC_000005.10, read as the reverse complement.
TAACCAAATGCTGAGAGAAAAGTGCAGAGTGCCCATATGCTCTGTCTAGCCAGAGCCAAGGATGTAAAATTCCAGACCTAATGTCTTTGGAGTTCAGGCTATCATCTGATATAGCCTCACAGAGACTAGCAATTCTCTGTCTTGGAGCGTTTAAATCACTGTTGGATCCAATCTGCCGAATTGTAGAATTGAATGAAAAACAGATCTGCAAACACTGAGAGTGGTGGGGAGTAAGGATGGCTTAAGCCTAAGGTCCCCTAAAAGATGGTGCTACCTGTAAATACCTCACTGGTCCCACCACTAACTTCATATGGTCCAAGTCCCCTCATGCCTTGGTTTCCTAGTTGCTCTATCTATCAAAAGTGGAAAACAGTATCTGTAATGTCTACATACCCTCATGGCCAGAATTTAGAGATTTAACTGTGGATGAAGGCAGAAGTTGAGATTGAGAATAAACCTGGGAGATGGACTTACAGGCTAATCAGGATCCGAGAAAACTTTTTAGCCAATAACATTTTATCAAAGGTAATTTTCTGCAGAAAAGACATTTGCACTTCATTCTATTTTTCCAAGAATATTTGTACACATTTTGCTACTCTTTCTTTCCATTTTCTCTTGTACACATTTTGCTACTCTTTCTTTCCATTTTCTCTTGTATTTTCTAGGCAAGTATTTTTAAAGTAGGGTTTGCTAGAAGGCAGCTACATTTTTAGGCACTGGTTTGAAATCAATAACATATGTATTTAAAATATGTATTAACTAGTTTTATCCCTCTTAGAGAAAAAAATGTGTAAATTAGGGGATTGGATTTGAAGTAAACAAAAAAACCCATTGCAATCTGGTCAGAAAGCATCAGGTTAGGAGAAAATGAAGGAGTAGTATGATTTTAAGCAGCAAAATGGCCAGATTTTGCAAAATAACACAGCAAAGAAGAAAGGTCTCCCCTATTATTTGGGCCAGTTTCCCAGTGTCCTTATTATTTATTAATATTGGTTTGTATTAATTCTGTTACTTGCAACACTGAGCCAGTTCCTTTAAGTTCAATACCCCATTGTGAATGAGGCAACCTAGGCAGATATAGCCTTTCTCTTAGTCTCAATGAGGATGTGTTCATCAGGATGTTTTGGGCTCTAAGAAACTTATGGTAAGCAGATTTCTAAAGCTGTCCCCTAAATATTTCTGTCCTCTAGTGAATCAAATGCTAGTATAAAGAAAGCTGTGAAGGGACATTGTGGATATAACTGTTTCCTAATCAATTGAACTCAGTATAAAGACACTGTCCTGGATTATCTAGGTGGGCCCAATATAATTCCATGAACCCTAACTAGAAGAAGGCAGTAGAACCAGTAAGAGACAAGAGGCAGGTGGGGAGGCCTGAGAGATTTGAAGTGTGAGAAGGACTCCATCTGCAATTGTTGGCTTTGAAGATGAGGAAGCCACGAGCCAAGAAATGCGGGCAGTCTCTAGAAATGAAGTATGGAGCAAGGAAATAGAGATTAAATCCTAAAAGGGTGTAGAACAATTTGGCCAATAATCTGAACAAGGCTGGAAGCAGATTTGTCTCGAGAGCCTCCAAGAAGGAACACAGCCCTGCCAACACTTGGATTTCAGTCTCGTGAGACCTGAAGTCAAGGAACCAGCAGAGCCACACTGTGCCCAGACTTCTGACTTCTGACCCACAGACACTGTGAGAGAATACATTTTTTTTAAGTTGGACATTATATTTTAGAGCAGTTTTAGGTTCACAGCAAAATTAAGCAGAAGATACAGAGATTTCCTATATACCTCCTGCCTCCACACATGCATTGCCTCCCCAGTTATCAACATTGCCAACCACAGTAGTACATTTGTTACAATTGATGAATCTATACTGACACATCACTATCACCCAGAGTCCCTAGTTTACATTGGGGTTTACTCTTTGTGTTGCACATTCTATGGGTTTAGACAAATGTATAATGACATGCATCCACCATTATAGTATCAAACAGAGTAGTTTCACTGCCCTGGGGGTTGTTTTAAGCAGCTAAGTTTGCGACCATTTGTTTTAACAGCAATAGAAAACTAATATAAAGTCAACAGAAATTTACTAAAAAGCTAGATAAAGTAACTTTCTAATTAATAATTAATAAGTACATAATAGGATCTGAGTTCAGGAAAGCCTCAGGGTGGATTAATTCTGTAGCACAATGACATCATCAAGAATTGCTGTTGTTTTCATCTCTCTTCTCTGCGAACTGTGGTGTTTGCTTCATCCTCAGATTTCTAACAAGATGGCTGCAGTAGTTCGAGGCATTGCACCAAACATGTAGATAAGGAAAAGAGATCATCTCTTTTGTGCCTCTTCTTTATGAGTGAAGAACTCCGTCAAATGACTACACTTCTGTGTCTGAGTTGCTTCTTATCCCCCAATATTCATCTTCCCTTTCTTCCTCAAAAAGCCCCATTTCTTGGCTGGACACATGACTGCCCAGGATAAAGATGTTGTTTCAGTTAATTTTGAAATCATGGGTAGGAATGGCCATGTGCCTGAGTTCTAAGCCCTGAGATACAAGAAGACTTGCAGAGTAACTGTAAAGAAAGGGTCACTCTCTTCTTTGCTTTTTCTTCATTTTTGCTGGTTGGCTGGAGCTCCACTGACAATCTTGGAGCATGAGGTGACTTTGGGAATGTGTGGTGGGTCAACAAAACAGAAGGAATACCACACAAGGTCTGGGCAATGACCTTCAGACTTCTTTAACATGTTTAAGGTTTATGTGTTACTCACGGGGGGACCCAGTCCCGATTAATATACCCTCCAGTTAATAGTTTCCTGATTGGTCACATATCTGACAAAAAGGATAGAATGGCCATGATCAGTGGAGACTAACTTTCCAGGGTATAATGGATGCTGAGGAGTCTACCCTATTGTGTATTCTAGGAAGTCAGTGGACTACATCAAGGAAGTAAATCATAGATTAATACTCTGGCTCTCAAGGGGCCTCACTTTTAAGGAATAGATTATAGGCTCAGATAAACTTTGTCTTTATAATTCCCTGTAAAGGCATTGTATGATTCAAAGGACTTTTGCTGGAGAACACTACTTTATTCTCATAGAGTGGTGAAGTTGGGAACCTCACTAGCTAGGAATTAAAATGTCCATTTTAATGTGTCTTAGTTTGGATTCCCTCAGAAGCTGATTTATTGACAAGGACTCAAATGCCAAGCAATTTATTTGGGAATCGCAGAGACCAGCTTTAGTGGAGTGGAGCAAGTGGGAGAGGGAAGGAAAGGAAGCTGATAGAGGGCATGTTACCAAGCCAGTGACCAGGAGGTGCTGGACCTGGGGGAAATACAGAATCCTTTCCTCTTTCTTATCACGCCTGGTCCCTCACTGGGCAGGAGGGAGCTAGAGATACCTCAACTCTCATCAATGCCATCACTCATTGGTTGAAAGCTGTTCCAGGCACTTGGGGGAAAGGGTGCAGTATGAAGCCAGCCCTGAGGAAGAAAGATGCAGATACTCATACTGGAGTTCTGGGGCCTAAGAGATAAAAGTAGGGGGCCCTGACGGCTTCTGCTACATGGTGTACATTCAAAGGGGATTATTAGATGACCATCTAGTGCTAGTGGCCTTTTTGTACACCATCGAAAGTAGAAAGTCAGATCAGGAATGAGTAGATGGATTATATCATATATTGGAGAATTGCTTCAGAGGTTTACACAATTTTTAAGCTGAAAAAGACCTTAGAGGGTAACTAGTTCTATTTCTTTATTTTCCTAACAAGAAACTGAGGCCCCAAAAGCTTCCTGTAGTTACAGAGCACTTGGGTGCAAAACCAAGGCAAACACCCATGCCTTCTGACTTTTCCAGCACAGAATTGGCATCAAGGCTTGAGTTGGAAGAAACGTTTGCTGTCTTCTGATCTCCACTTAACTCCTTTCTCTCTTCTTTGACATGGACAATTGATTACCAAAAAAAGTGTTTTTTAATGCAAATATAGTTTCAAGTCCCCTCCCTCTCTCCTTCTGGCCACATGAACGCTCTTATGCCTCTCCTACATAGAACTAGAACTCAAGAATTTCAAAAAACACTTTGATTTAAAAGAAAATGTGATATGGCTTAGGTTAAACAGAATAAATAGAAATATCTCCTTTGAAGTTACTTAAACATTCAACTGAATTTGAGAGCTCTGCTGGGATATCTTTCAAGAAAGAAATGACAAAAACTAGTTTATAACCAGAATAGGAATTCATTCTCTTGAGTTAATCGTATAGTTAGCAGTCAACTCAATATGGTGAATTGTGATGACTGAGTTCTTGGTTTTGAATGGTTCAAAATGCTTCATTCCCCACAGGCAGGGTTTTTCCATGTAAGATGGAACGAATCAGTCTGGTAGCTTTTCTTGTTTTTGGTTACAAAGTGATGATAATGCCACTCTTTTGGACAGGCTTTACTCATTAAAAATGCTGCTTACATTTGTCTTTGAATTGGGTCCTTGTGAGATGGGTCAGGTGGACAAATATTATTATCCCATTTCAGAGACTGGGAGAGAACATGAGGGCCTGAAGATATCTGACCTAGTGCTGGGAGCTGGGACAGCAGCCAAGACTGCACTGACAGTGGGGCTCCTGAAGTGCCGTTTAATTGGCCTTTAACTCAATTAGTTCCAGAAATGTTGTTTTCGTGCTTGCATTTACATCCTTGATCTCATTGAGTGTAAGTTTTGGTTCTGTCCAAGGTCATCTTATTGCTCACCTAGGGCAAGGGCATGGATCAGTTCATCTTTTGAGGCTTCTTTCCATTATTTATTCTATTTATGCATATATTTTAAAATTAAAGAAGCCATGTGGCTTTGGAAGCCCATGGACCTGGCTTCTATTGTTGGATCTGCTAATTACTCAATGAGTGACCTTGCAAGTCTCTTCATATGCCTCAGGGTTGGTTTCTTCATCTATGAAATGGGGTTGCAATGAGAGCTATGTATGATAAATAATGCAAACAGTTTAACATAGTACTTGAGTACCCCATGTCCAAACTATGGTAAATCCTCTCAGCTCTATCTTTAATTTTATGTATTTGTTTATTTCTGAGACGGGGTCTTGCTCTATCACCCATGTGGAGTACAGTCACACAGTCATAGGTCACTGCAGCCTCAAATTCCTGGGATCAAGTGATCATCCCTCCTCAGCCTCTCAAGTAGCTGGGACTACAGGCAAGAGCCACCATGCCCAGCTGTCAGTTCTGTCTTCAAAATGTCCTGTATCTAGAATGTCACTGTGGTCACCACTTCTTGCCTACCACCTGAGTGGAAGCCATCATTGTCCCTTTTGTACGGCTCCTATCCAAACTCTGTTCCCAGAATGGGCTCCTATCTAAACTCTGTTCTCATCCATACCTCTCTACTCTATTGTCAACAAAGAGGCCACAATGAGCCTTTTAAAATGCAATTTGATTATTAAAAAACTCTACTCAAAGCCCTCTAATGGCTTTCCATTTTAGCCAAGTCCAAAGTCTTTACTGTCGCCTACAGAATCCTGTATCATCTGGCCCTGAGCTTCTCTGCAATATTTTCTCCTCTTATTCCCCTCTTGCTCTCTTTCTTTCAGCTACTTTGCCCTCCTTGCCATTGTTGAAGCTGAGAATGTTCCTGCTCAGCCTCTTTGCACTTCATGTTTCCTGTTCCTGGAAAAATGTTTCTTCAGATTCACTATTTGGCTGCTTCTCTCACTTCCTTTGGGTTTCTGCTCAAATATTATACATTGTATAATTATACATTGTATAAATATTGTATAAGTGGCTTATACATCACTTCAACCTCCTGAATATCAATGTTTGAAGCATATTTAATATTAATCTAAGCAATAAATATCAATATTCGAGACAGTAAATTGTATTAATGAAAATAATAAAAAGAATAGCTAACATTTATTAAAGTCTTGGTATATGGCATGAATTTTGCTTTTCCTTGCTGGTGGCAATCCATCTTCTTGTTATACCCTGCCACCTGCACTAGATCTTAGCTCAGATGCCTCCAACAAGAAGTCCTCCTTGGTTAGTCAAGCCAGAAGTAATTCTTCACTTCCTCAGTGATTAATTTGTACCATTCACTTTCTGCTTGTGTTGTAGGGTTCTTATAAATATCTTCTCTTAAATATAATAAGACATTTGACAGAAGAGACCTTATCTAGTGTAGCTTTATATGATATACAATCTGTAGGACAGTCTCATTTTATAATCCACTTCAGATATTTAGGAAAAGTTACATATGCTTTTTCAAGATATGTAAATGAATTCATATGATGGATGTGTTATTTGGGATTATAGATTTCAGAACTCAATATCTCAGAGTATTTTAAGACAGGTAGAAGAGAAAAATAATATTAAAAAGTCAATTAAATGCATTGAAGACTAAATGAATTTAAGGTTGAATTGTGTAGCATTATCTCCAGTCTACAATTATAACAAACTAGAAACAAAATATTTTTCCTCTTGTTCTCTCTAGAGAATAAGATTTCTGGGTAGTCCAGTTTCTTTTTGTGCTTTCAGAGCAGCTTTATATTCAGGTAGTTTTTTGTGGTCTTGGTGCTTTCAGCTTGATTGGTGTAGAAAAGACAGTTTGCCTTGGGCTTTTGAAAATGATCTCCATATTGATTTAATAAGGGATTGATGCAGGTTTGGAGCGAAAGCCTCTGAAGTTGGTGTGTAGCTCGCTTTGTAAGACTAACACTACCTTGAATGGCCAAGTCCTTAATGAAGGTTTCTACTTATTTTGATGGAGATTTTCAGTTTTATAAAGCTCCCATATATAAAGCTCATAAATACTCCAGAGAGAGTTAACACTTAAGCCACCACCAGCTTACACAGTTAGACTTAGCTATGATATTTATAATTTAGCTGAAGAGTTTTAACTGAAACTTTAAAAGGTTTACCTGAAACTTTGAAAAGTAAGGACTAACACAGAAATAAAATACAGAGAAAGGAAACTGGAGTGAAGAGGAAGGAAAAGCCAGTGAAAAATGCCAACCCTTCTGCTTTCACCCGGTGGGGAGGTACCTCCATAAAGGCAAATGTGGTTGGCTTTTCTTATTCTGTGTGGAGAGTGCTTCACAGCCTCTGTGTTTACCTTTGCAGTTGTGAGCTTGCCCTAATGTGGACTCTGCCTCACCAGTCCTGACTTTTCCCTCATTTGCTTCTCAGAGGCTTCCTCAGGAATTAGGTGGGGTTGGCCAGAACAGAGCTACAAAGAAAGGGTAGGCCATCGTAGCTCTAAGACTGTTTCATTCTCTAATTATTAAGGTTCCAAAGGAAAACTTTCAGCAGCACACAATTTTTTCAAAAAAACATGCTTTATTATTGTTTGCTTTTATTTATACTTTAAATTTTAAAATAATTATGGACTCACAGGAAGTTGCAAACATACTACATAGAGCTCCTGTGTGACCTTCACCCAATTTCCCCCAATGATATTATCATACATAACTATAGTTCAATATTAAGACCCAGGAAATTGCCATTGGTACAACTTATCTTATTCAGATGTCACGTTTTTATGTGCATTCATATATGTATGTAGTTCTATGCAGTCCTATCCTGTGTATAACACACATTCATGTAACCACCACCACAATCTAAATTTGTCTCATCATAACAAATAAACTTCTTTATTCTGATCCTTTACATTTGCCCCACCGCTAACCCCTGGCAACCACTATCCATCTCTATAATCTTGTCATTTCAATAATATTATTTAAATGCAGCCCAGTGTTTCTCCATTCACGTTGCTCTTTTTCCAAAGCATAGTATTCATATACTTGGGAAATACTGGGTCTACCAAATAACAATAATATCAACTATATACAGGCACTGAGCTAAGTCCTTTTTCCACTTAATCTTCAAAATAGCCCTGTGAGGCTATTTATTAATACCTGGCATTAGTATTAGTAAATCACATCACATTACCCTCACGATTAAAAAAGACCTCTAATGTCTCCCAATTTCATTTAGAGGAAACATGGACTCTCACTCTGGCTATAGGACCCACTCCCTTAGCTGACCTTTTGTTTCACTACATCTCTTACCAACCCCACCCACCTTGCTCTACTCTATTTGGAGTGGTATCGTTCTGTCCTTGAATATGCCCAGTCAAGCTGCTTCCTGCCTCAGGACCTCTGTATCTGCTGTTCCTTCTACCTGAAATTCTACAGTCAGATCCGTCAATAGCTGGTTCTCTGTCCTCATTAAGTCTTAACTCAAAATTTTATCTTCTCAGAGAGACTCTCCCTGTACACATAATGTAAAAAACCAAAAACCTCTCCATATGGGGCTGCCAGATTTAGCAAACAAAAACATGACACCCAGTTAAATTTAAATTTCAGATAAATAATAGTATTTTAGTATAAGTATGTCCCATGCAATATTTGGGACATACATATACTAATATTATTCATTGTTTCTCTGAAAGTCAGTTTAATTGGGTGTCCTGCATTTTGTCTGGAAGCTCTTCCTCTGTAGCCACTCTGTTATGTGGTACCCTGCTTAACTGTTTCCATGGGACTTTTGCATATTAGAAATTCTGTTTATTGTCTCGCATCACCTCCCAACCCTCACCCTCACAATAAGCTCCATGTGGGTGGGACCCTGATGCCCTGTTCACAGCTGCATCCCCAGAGCCTATCACAGTGCCTGGTATATAGTAGGTGCTTAATAAATATTTGTTATAAAGGTAACAAAAACAAAACAAAACAAAAAACTTAGGTTGGTAACACCTCCAAAGCATACTGCTAGCTAGACAAGACTGATCAGTGTGCTACCGCAGCTTAGGGAACTCTCCCGTTTTCCCCATTTAGGAGGACGAAAGAGGCATTGTGTTGCTGGCCTTTCAGAAGTCTCTCCTAGCAGAATCAGAAGACCCTGGCTGAGCAGCTTTGGGAGAAGCAAAGTCTGAATGAGCTAAAAAGCCTTTTCCGTTTGCCTTGCAACAAGCAAATGAAGTAACCAAAGAAAAAATGCGCTTGAATGAAAAGAACAAGATTCTGTGCGTGCCGAATCGGATCAAAGGCAGTGCGCATCACCCATCTTCGTCCACCGTAAACTCCCTGCAACTTAAGGGCTGGCTTTATCGTCAGACTCCGGAAATGCTAGAACCTGATCATAAGAGACCAGTGCAGAGGCAAATAAAGAAAAGGGAGGGGTGGATGGGGATGAAGTCAAGACAGAAGAAATTAAACTCTCGTCTTGGACCCAGGGAGCGCAACGGGGCGGGGGCAGACGTCTTCAGCTTTAGAACTCCGTCGGGTTCATCGCTCAGTGTGGACGATCGGCGCCCCCACGAGACCCATCGAGGGCACATAGTTTCCACTCCAGCTCGCTTCATCCGACCCAGACGATCGCCAGCGCGGCCAGCGGCCAGCGCACAGCGAGCTGCCTGGGCAACTGTGGCCGGATCCTAGGGAGCAAGCTGGCTTCGGGCCCTACCTAGCTCCACCCGGCTCCTACCGGCCCTCCCACCTAGGAGCTGGAGGATGGTCCCGGGGCGCCCCAGGGGGACTGCTGGTCCCCGGAGTCTCCAGCCAGACGCGCCTTGTTGTGTGAGCCGCGTGCGCGCCCAATTTGGAGGCAGCCGCCCCCGCCGCTGACAGGTGCTGCCCAGAGGGCGCCGGGTGCGGTCCCTGGCGCAGCTGGACGCGCACGCCCCGGTGCGTGCAGCTTCCCGAGCTCGGTCAGAGAGAAGAGGGAGCCAGGGCGCGGCCTGGGGGACGCCAGTGGACTGGAGCCGCGGAGCTTCGAGGGAAAAACTTTGCAGGCGCCGCGGCCGGGATTCGGTTACGGCTCCAGCCCACCCCAGCAGGTGCGGGAGGAAGAGGCAGCGCCGGAGTCCCGAGGCCAGAGAGCCTCGGCGGCGGCGGCCGCTTCTTTCCCCCGAGCTGGCCTGAAGTCGCTGGGCACTCCCGGTTTCTGCTGCTGCGCCCGCCGCCGCCGCCGCCGCCACCGCCAGCGCCGCGGGGACCCGGGAGGAGGTGCAGCCGAAGAGGGAGGAGAAGCAGGAGGAGGAGGAGGAGGAGGAGGGGAGAGGAGGAGCAGGGGGTGGAGGATGGAGCCCCGGGCTGCCGCGGCGGGCGAGCCAGAGCCGCCGGCGGCGTCCTCCTCCTTCCAGGCCCGGCTCTGGAAGAACCTGCAGCTGGGGGTGGGCAGGAGCAAGGGCGGCGGGGGCGGGCGCGCTGGGGGTCCAGAGCGCCGCACTGCGGACACCCCGTCGCCCTCCCCGCCACCCCCGGTGGGCACAGGGAATGCACCGGCCAGGGGGAGTGGTGCAGGCAGCAGGTGGAGCGGCTTCAAGAAGCGGAAGCAAGTGCTGGACCGAGTCTTCTCCTCCTCGCAGCCCAACCTGTGCTGCTCGTCGCCGGAGCCCCTGGAGCCCGGCGGCGCCGGCAGAGCCGAGCAGGGGTCCACGCTACGCCGCCGGATCCGCGAGCATTTGCTCCCCGCCGTAAAGGGGCCCGCGGCGGCCTCGGGAGCAGCGGGAGGGACGCCTCCTGGCGGACGCTCCCCCGACTCAGCTCCTTCCTCTTCCTCCGCCTCATCCTCCCTGTCCTCCTCGCCCCAGCCTCCCCCGAGGGGGGACCGCGCCCGAGATGAGGGTGCACGGCGTCAGGGCCCCGGGGCGCACTTGTGCCACCAGAAGAGCTCCTCTCTGCCGGGCACCGCCTGCCTGGAGCAGCTGCTGGAGCCGCCGCCTCCTCCCGCAGAGCCGGCGCGGAGTCCCGCGGAGTCTCGGGCCCCGGAGACGGGCGAGGAGCACGGCAGCAGCCAGGTGAGTGCCGGTGGCGCGGCCGGAGACAAGGTGCGCGGGACCACGCCTCCCTCTTCAGGCGTTCACCACCCGGGGAGCGGGGGGCGGGGGCCGGGAGGCGGGAGGAGAAATGCTATTAATTCTAAGTAGATGAAACAGTCGAAAGAAAACATCTCGCTCTGGTTTAGCAAAGATGAAAGAGTTCTGACTTGCACCCGGACTTTACTTTTGGTAGAAATGATACCTGTCACCAGAAGCTTTCTGAGTAGTCAATGAAAAGTTAGACCTAAAGTGGGTACTTTTTAGAGTTCTCCTGAAAGGAGATGTCCAGCCAAATCTCATCTTGGCAAAAGAAAAAACTAACCCAATAACTTAAAAACAATTACGATCACGTGTGGTGGTGTGGAGAGGTACCATTGGAAGCAAATGGCTGGCGGGAAGAAATAGAAACGTGGAGAGGTAAATTATGGCACATGTGAGGTCCTGTGCCAGGGAAAGCATCATCTCAGGCCTGCATCCGGCACCCCTTTCTTAAACCTTCCTGCTGCAATTGGATCACCGCCCTTCAAGTGGACAGCGGGAGCGTCTCCTCCCAGTTAGTCAAATGCATATGTTCCTATGAGCCTTGTGAAGTTTTAATAGTCACCTGAAGCACTTGCTTTTTAAAGTATGCTGCTTTATACATCATGTTGATTGCTCAGACAAGAGTCAAGGTTTGTAAAAGTGCTTTTACTAGAAATTTTATGTGTGGGACCCACAATGTGTCCCACTGAATAGCCGTTTTTACTCCCTCAATTTCGAAGAGGCACTGCTCTTTTTGTAAATGTTTATCAAATCATTTTAATTCTAGAAAATATTTTGGAAGTTTCACTCTGCCAGAGACCTAAAGAACATTTTTCTCCCAATATATCTTAGTTTACTTACACTTTCTCATTGTTTTGACTCTGATTAATTATGTTAGATGAATGACACTTGCATTAAAACTTTAGTTATTAGTAGATTAAAAGCTCAGCTACAAAGAAACAGGCTGTGTTTGAAGGGTAAGATACGGGAATAGATAGGCTTTCAGTTGGAAGTTTTTATAGTTCATGGACTGATTTCTTAGTGTAGCTCCAGAAAGTAAAGCAGAATATGAATATGTTTTGTTCCTTAATAAACAAAATTGCTTGCTGTAAGCAAACACCTGATGATCCAGAAAAATATTTTATTCTCAGAAGAGTAAGTAGAGATAATAGTGACAAAAAGACCAAATACATTTACCTTTCCTGTCATCTTGAAAGTGAACTGGATAGAGCCCCTGTTTTTGGTTTTAAAAGTAAAGTGATAAATGGTTTTAGAAGAATGTTTTAAATTCAGTATAGATGAATACTATATATTAAAGGAAGTATTTATTTTTGAGCGTGTACATAATCCTAATGTAGAAGAATTTCAGAGTTGGGGAACTTTACATTTTTTTCTTTCACTATCAAGGATAATAGAATAACAAATAATAATTGAATTATTTTGAAAGGTATATATCATATTACCGTGAATGTTAACTTATTAAATCACATTACAGTTCACTGAACCAAGATATTTTTAAAGCAAAAATAGATAACTCTGAATTTTTTATGTTCCTTTTTGCCAAAAAGTTTTCAGAAACTGTCAATCTTTATTAAAAAAAACACTACTATGTAAGTATGAATTTTGTATACAAAAGATATAAACTTATTCTGGAGAAGATACTAAATTAACACTATTATGTATGCCTTCACCATATGCTGGGCATTTTATAGCCCTACATAGTTTAACCCTCACAGCAGACCTATGTGATTGTCACTTTACAGATTCGTAAACCAATGCTCACATAGGTTAAATAAGCTTTCCAGGGTCACGTAGTTAGTAGATGACAGAGAGAAGTTTTGTACTCAAGTCAGTCTCCAGAATCTTTTTCCATTATGACAGCTACCTTTGACAACTTTTAGAACTTGTTCCATTTTTTAGATGTCTTTGGTCTTACTGATGAAAGTAGAGCCTTGCAAGTTTACGTATATTCTGGAGATTTTTCCCCATCCCTATATACAATCAATTCTATGATGGATTAGCTATCATAATTTGTAATTTGTTCTGTGATGTATTGTTGCATGTATATTTTGTCACGAATGAGATTATCATGATCTATAACTCTGAAGAAGCTTTTCATTATAGAGAATCAGCATTTCGACATAGACATAAGAGAAATAGAAAAGCTAAAATATCTTTCAAAAAATAAGAGAAAGATGGGATATAGGCAGACAGAATGGTAAACCCTGAGGGACTTGCCCAATGCCAGACACAGTCCCAGAAAGAGATACCATTTTTGGTCCCTAGCGTCTGCTGCTCATGGGGCCTTGTTCTCTGGGAAGTGGAGAGATTTCTCTGTAATGAGTCACAAATAATGGCTTTCAGCAGCACTCTCTGACCAATGTAAAAGAGAGGATTTCTCAGTCCTGGAAATACCTCTCTGCCCATCTCAAAGGAGCCCGGCTCACCTCTGAATGGGAAAGAGGAAAAAATGGAATTGGAACCTGGAAGGGGATGCATTCAGCTGCTCAGGAGTCAGCTTAGCTTTGCAGCACTCTTCCAAGCTTCCTGAATATCTCAGAGATCTTTCCTTACTCTCTCAGCAGCTCATCTCCAAAGTGACCTGGGCATGGGAAAGGGGTGTGTAGCACATACAGATTTCAGCTTTATTCACAGTTCACAAGCACAGTACTCAAGAAAGAAACACAATAAAAGTATTTAATACATCTTTAGAGTGCCTAGATGAAAAGACTTTTCTTTCAAGGCAGAAATAAAATGTATTGCAAAAATAGGCAAATTGTTTAATTTTTTCTCTTGTTCTCTGCTTGATCCTGGCATAAGCCATGTTCTCCAACACACTCTCCACGTCTCCACCTCCCTAGCCCAGCACGAGGCCCCAACAACATATGTGCACGTACTCTGACAGTGGGTGGAGATGTTAAGCAAAAGCAAAGAAAAAAAAATCAGTTTGGACGGCTGGGGAAAGAGATTTGGGAGTCACGGGTATATATGAGTAAAAGTGAACAAACCAGGCTACTTTCCATGTGCCTGCTGGTCCTCTTGCTATTGTGTTTTCATTAGCCAAACACACTTTGCAATATGTATTAACAGACTTAATAATGCCTTGCTGTTGGGGGATGTGCATTATTTCAAATGTTCTGTTTTGAGAATAAGGAAAAAAAAATATCCCTTTCTTCCCACTGATTCTGGTTCACGTGTTGGGCCATATTGTCATACCAGATGCATTTCATTTTCTGCAACACAGTTGGAAAAGATGCTTTCTCAATTTGTGTGCATATCAAAAATATGCCAATTTTATGTATTCTGCCTTGACGAGTTACTAAAATTATGTTTTGCTAGGATCAGAAAGTCAGTATTTTAAGATAAAGAGTGAGGAATGAATACGTTGCATTTTTTTAGTATTTTAACAAAAGCATGTAGTGTTTATGAATGCTGAACTTTTATTTTTTTCTCTTTAAATAAATTTTGTTAAAATTGCTTTCACAAAGGATAAACTATTTTTGAAAAGAAGTAGGAAAATTATTCAGTGTATGTTAGATATGTTTTGAAACATAGCAAGAGGAATCTATTCATTGGGATAAGATTCCTACAACATATCTGTAAGCCCTGATAAAAAGTGGAAAAAAAATTTTCTACAATTAAGTCTATACATGAAGTGTATCTTGCTTTATTAGCTGAGCTTTTAAATAAAGCACATATTTAACAAAATGATTCAAAAACATGACTTGGGTTGATTTTTGCAATTTTTCAGATGTTTTTACTATGACTTCAAAGAACACAACTCCATCTTAAAGAAGGCACAGATTTAAAAACATAATTCCTATTATAAACGACTAAAGTCACTGAAGAAAACTAATAATATCAAAATCAAGCCCCTAAAACAATGTTAGTAGCTTTATACTGGTCTAGCTTCAGAAATGACCCCTTTCATATTGAAAGTGAGAGAGGGTAGATGAGACCTTAGGACATTTTGGAGCAGGGTGGAAAGTGGAGTTTGATGTGTGATAGCATTCATGAAAAGTGCTCGGATCATCAGCTTATTCCAAAGAAAGGGAGTAAAGAGGATGACATATTTCCCTTTAACCTTTACTTGCTATAATAAGTGTCTGGCAAATTTGAGTTGAACTATGAATCTTGCATAAATGGAAGTGTTAGCATGTAGATGTTATGAGAGATTGGCTTAAACTATAGCAAGTGTTCAATAAACATTAGCAATTGCTGCTGTGCTTGTTATTATTATTGGAAAGTATACTGAAGTTTTGCAATTGCTGCTATTACAAATAAGTGTGTGGTTGAAAAAAATTAACAGGGTGCTTTGCCATTCCTTCTTATTTAATTTAGGATATGAACTATGTTACTTGCAGTGTTGGAAAAAGTAGCCTGTGACAAATCAAGGTAGTACTGGTGACATTACAATTTTATACAGCAATGGAAAAAATCTTACATTATTTTTAGCAAGTATGTATGCATTATCATGAAGAATGAATATGTTATGTTGAGGGAAAAAAATGGGATTAGCAGATTCATTTAAAAATAGAACATTCTTCTTCCTCTTTCTTTTACCTCATTGTTTGAAAATGATTTCACAAAATAAAGGTTAATAATATATTTTTGATACCTAAAGGAAACATGTAATATGATTTCTTTGATCATAATGCTTATTAAATCATTTACCAATCCTGGTTAATGGAGTATAAATAATATGTCCACATAACTTTATAAGCATTGACAAAATCTGCAGATTTAGAAGTTAGGTTATATATATTTTTTCTTCTTGGTCTATATCTATTTATAATATCGTAGCAGGCATCTGCATTAGGTAAGCAGAAAATAATTTTTTTTTTTTTTTTTGAGACGGAGTTTTGCTCTTGTTGCCCAGGCTGGAGTGCAATGGTGCAATCTTGGCTCACCGCAACCTCTGCTTCCCAGGTTCAAGCAATTCTTCCACCTCAGCCTCCCGAGTAGCTCGGATTACAGGCATGTGCCACCACGCCTGGCTAATTTTGTATTTTTAGTAGAGACGGGGTGTCTCCATGTTGGTTAGGCTCGTCTCGAACTCCCGACCTCAGGTGATCCGCTCACCTCGGCCTCCCAAGGTGTTGGGATTACAGGCATGAGCCACCATGCCTGGCTTGAAAATAATTTTTTGAAACAGAAAGTTCTTTGCTTTAATTTCTTTTTGCTACCGGAAAACTTACTAAAAATCACATATTTCCCTGCCTCAGTAAGTCAAGCGTTCTAAATAAGACCATTTCTTGATAACTGAGGGTCATTATTTGCATACTGGGCTTTGTTTGTTTGTTTGTTTAATGTGAACGAAGTAGATATTATCCTAGAACTTGCTTTATATAAACGTGCATGTTTTTATAAAACTAGAGTATAAACCATACCTGTTTATGACATGCTTACCTTTCTGTAAAGCTAATTATTGAATCAAAGAAGAGGCACCTTTTTCTCAAGTCATTTGTTCACTTAACAAATAGCCTTTACAGTTTTTGTAAATTTTGATTTGTCGGCACCATTGAAGATACAGCCTTTTTCTACATCATTAACTTTATGTGCCATTTTAATTTGCTCTTCACCATCAACCTTTTCTTCTAACTCACAGTGCTTTTTATGAATCAGAGGTGAGAAGTTTATCCCTAACAATTCAATATTTTATCCAAATACATTTTCCCCTCTAATATGTAGCAGTTTCTTACCATTAGAAACTTTTTTTTTTTTTTCTGGCAGAATATCAGGCTGCAATGTCCCTAAAGTCTCCAAATATTTGTATTTAACTGTAGTATGGAATATTGTATTCCAAATACAATATTCCATACTACAATATGGAAAACTGTATTTGTAACATAATGAGATTGTATTGCAATATGGAAAACTGTATTTGTAATATAATGAGATTTAAAAGTCCTGCTTACTGCCTTCTTGAGAGAACAATTTTCTTCTCTTCAGTGAAGTCTTTTCGAGATATTTTATACCAGCCTTATTTCCTGTTCTCTTGGGTCCTAGCCAATTTGGAAAATTACAACAAATATAGACAAGTGGACCTCTGGACATCTTAGGATCTTTGTATCCTCCTAATCCCACTGGGTTCATTTAGAGAGGCCCCTTCAGCATTAACAATCTGAACTTATTTTGCTTAAGCCTGAACCACCTTCACTTGCCTCGCCAGCTCTGCTGGAGTGGAATTTGGCAATCCCTAGTACAATTGACCTAGTGAATCAGCATTGTAAAACAGTTCAGGGGAAGACTACTCAATAAATGGTGCCTGAATGAATGAAGGGATGAATGGGTGGGCTAGAACTGTTCAGAGATAAGACCTCTGGAAAAGCTTCAAAATCGCTTTATGTTTGTGAAATGATATTATTGCCTTCTCAATTCCAAGTCCTTTTAAGCCTGGCAGATATATTTGATGTTCCCCTCTTCCACCAGCTGGTAGCTTGGCTTTTGCCAGCCTAGACTTTAATTCTGGTTCTTGGGCAGACAAGAAGCAGAATTAAAGCCTGGTGAGGGGAGGATGTGGTACCTACTAAGTGGCTGCCATATTGTGCTCCCATGGAGGATGGAAAAACATCCTACTTCTGAGGTCTCCGGGTCAGGGATGTAGTTCTTGGTATTGGACTCTGACTCTGGGTATCCATTTTTCGCACCCAAGTCTCCTTTCTGGCCTCTGACATTGCACCCACACATCTGGATTTCTGATTCCTGCCTATACATCCTCACTTAGCTATGCCTCTGAGTCTTGAATTCTGCCTGGATCTTGGCTCAAGATACTCTCCTTCCCTTCCTTCTTCACTGCTACTTCTCCTTGACCCATCTCCTTGACCTGTTTTTTGTTTGTTTGTTTGTTTGTTTGTTTTTTGAGACCGAGTCTCCCTCTGTGGCCCAGGCTGGAGTGCAGTGGCACGATATGGGCTCACTGCAAGCTCCGCCTCCTGGGTTCACGCCATTCTCCTGCCTCAGCCTCCCGAGTAGCTGAGACTGCAGGCGCCCGCCACCATGCCCGGCTAATTTTTTGTGTTATTAGTGGAGACGGGGTTTCACCATGTTAGCCAGGATGGTCTCAGTCTCCTGACCTTGTGATCCACCTGCCTCAGCCGCCTCCCAAAGTGCTGGGATTACAGGCGTGAGCCACCGCGCCCGGCCTGACCTGTTTTTTGTACCTAGCACTTCTTCTGCATCCCAAGCCCATTATCTAAGAAAGTCTCTTATCTTCCCTTTACTTCCAGCCATGACTCAGATTAAAATCCCAATATTGGCTGGGCGCAGTGGCTCACGCCTGTAATCCCAGCACTTTGGGAGGCCGAGGCAGCGGATCACCTGAGGTCAGGAGTTCAAGACCAGCCTGGCCAATATGGTGAAACCCCATCTCTACTAAAAATACAAAAATTAGCTGGGTGTTGAGTAGGTACCTATAATCCCAGCTAGTCGGGAGGCTGAGACAGGAGAATCGCTTGAACCCAGGATGCAGAGGTTGCAATGAGCTGAGATAGCGCCACTGCATTCCAGCCTGGGCGACAAGAGTGAAACTCGATCAAAAAAAAAAAAAAAAAAAAAAAAAATCCCAATATTGACCAAGAATCCTGTCCTCACTAGCCTGGTTCATTCTGTTGCCTCTTAAATACCAAGTGTGTGAAGTGGAGTTCACACAAGTGGCCAAGTGATATTTACATTGACCCCTCCTGTCTAATGCTGAGCTTAGTTAAAAAACCCCAAATCCTCCCTCCAGAAAGTCTGCATTGCCCATCAACTGCATTTGCTTATAAAGGACGTTTTTCTCCCATGGAGGACTAGACTAGAGCAGATTTTTTCACTGAGCATGGTTCATTGTCTCTGTGTCCTTGTCCCTTTCCCTCCTATTTTTAAACATCTCACATGCCTATTCTTTAACATCCACACCCACTTTCTTAGTCCTGCCAGCTTTCTTCTTTCTCCTTAATATTCTCTCTCATCCCGACTTTCTCTGCTTGCAAGATCTGATTCTTGTAACAACCATTTAGCATCCAGAGATGTGCTGTTCCATGTGGCAACTGCTACCCGCATTTTGCTATGGGACTTTGGAAACATGGCTAGTTAGAATTGAGATGGGCTATAAGTGTAAAATGCATACATGCACACTGAATTTTGAAGACTTGTACAAAGAAAAGAATATGAAATATCCCATTATTAAACTTTTTATATTGATTGCGTGTTGGGATAACATTTTGGATATATTAGGTTAAATTAAATATAATATTAAAGTTAGTTTTACAAGTAAAATTACATATGTGTCTCATACTTGTATTTTTATTGGATAACACTGATCTAAAGCAGGGATTTCAAACTCCAAACTCCAATGCCCACAGGGGCCACCAAAGTAAAGACAAGGAGCCAAGAGGGTTTGGTGGGGCCATGGTGGACCAGGGAGCCCCTGCCCTCTGGAAGGAGCAGCTGCTTCTCAGCTGAATACTGGCACCTGGGAAAGAAACCGTGTTGCCAGAGCTTCTAGATTCTTTAATAGAAGCCAAATCCCAGATTTTTGTGTGAAGTCTTTAGATTCCTGAATTTTTGTCAAATAAATAATATATTTTTAAAAGCATCATAGGTTAAATAAAATATATCTCTGGCATGAATTTAGCTATCAGTTAGAACTTCTGACTCAGAGAGGTCATATCTGGTTTCTCCTCTCCCCACTTCCCCTTCCCCCAAGTGCTGGGCAAGTGCTAGGCATGTGTTGTCTGGGGCAATACATGTAAGCATCAATATGACATGTAGGCGTCAATACATTTTACAAACTAATGGGATGAGTTCACCAGCCAGGAGAAATGAGTGGTGAGATGAAGGTGAGGCTGCAGTGGTTGCGGGGGTATGTGGAAATTGTGGAGGTGGGGACAGGGAGAGTGGCCAAGCAATTTGGCTCTATACAGATGATAAAACAAAACAGTAGCCTTTGGGAGGCCGAGGCGGGCGGATCACGAGGTCAGGAGATCGAGACCATCCTGGCTAACATGATGAAACCCCGTCTCTACTAAAAATGCAAAAAATTAGCCGGGCATGGTGGTGGGCGCCTGTAGTCCCAGCTACTCAGGAGTCTGAGGCAGGAGAATGGCATGAACCCGGGAGGCAGAGTTTGCAGTGAGCCAAGATCACACCCCTGCACTCCAGCCTGGGCGACAGAGCAAGACTTCGTCTCAAAAAAAGAAAAAAAGAAAGCAGTAATTGGAGAAGGAGAAAGTGTTGGAAATGGTTCATGGGAAGGTTTTTATAAATGGAGATACCTTGAGTGAGTTGATGGGGCAGAGCCTATGGAGAGGGAGAGGTCAAAGATAAAGGAGAAAGGGGGATAATTGATGGGAGAAGGTTCCTAAGTACATGGGTTGGGGTGGGTCCCACAGGCCATGGGAGGGAGGTCTCCCTTAGCCTTTAGCCAGAAGAAGCACCCCTTTTCCATTGCAGATGGAAGGAGACAGTGTGGACGTGGATGCAGGGAGGTCTGTAGGCTTGGTGGTAACAGTTTGAGGGTGTTCTGTCTGGCGGCCACTTCCTAGTTTTGAAGTGTGATTAGGATTTGGACATAGGGAGATATTGAAAGACTGTTGCCTAAGCACAAAGGCAAATAAGTGTCCTGTGTATGCAAAAAATGGGAAGTCAGTAGCGGGACTGAAAGCTAGGGTGTGGGCAGAGGGGTAGTGAGAATGAAGGTGAGAGTGAAGGTGTGGCCAGATATGAGGGCTGAGACGTGTACTCTCCAACCCTGGAGGCAATTGAGCAGGGTAGTGACTGGGTCAACCTGAGCCTTAGGAGGGCGAAGCTGATGTGGAAACAGGAGAACATGTGGAGGCCACAGTAGTCTCAGTGAGAGCTTGCAGCTGGGCTGTGCTCTGACCTTGGTGACAGAAAGATGGAAAGATTTGCGGGATCAGGGGATTGGCTGAATGTCCAGGGAAGGGGGAGTAAAAAGAGTTCATCACAGCGTATTTTCCCCTTTTCTTATGTTTTTGATTTTTCCTAGTTCTGTTCAGAGATGCTTTTATTGAAACATCTTTTTTCCCCCTGGGTAGGGGTTGAGTTTTGGGTTTGCATTTCTGCAGAATGGCTGAGGGTGCCAGGCTCCTAAGTGTCAGATTGTCACCTATGTACTCTAATAGCTCCTATTCTTGAAGTTATTTGAGTTCTTCAGAATAAAATGGTTCTCTTTTTTGTGCAGTGTCAGGCACTGAAAGTAGTGAGTGTTAATAGAGCAAAAGAAAGGGTAAATAAAACATGTTAGTTTAAAAAATCAGGCAAAACAAGAAAACCTCCTACATATACCTGTTAGCTGAATCTTTATGGTGCTTGATGCCAGGGTGGCTACATATTTGGAGAAATAGTTATAATGAAGGAGGTTGGGATCCAAGGGCTCTGTTGGAAATTTTCATTCTTAATCAAGGTAGTGTGCTGCAAACATGTTAAAATATGCATCCTCTCTCCTGTGCAAGGCTGATCTGTGCATGGCAAATGGTCCATTTCTGAAAACTGCCAATAGATATTCTCTCAAAATAGAAATGATATTCTATCCATTCCTGTTCTTATATTGAAATGTAAAATTGATTTTGATACAAGAATAATTTCGCTATTTTGATAGTTGCTTTTGAATAGTATTTTCACCACACCACACTGGGACTCCAGATGTTTTCCAAAATATCTTTTGGGATTGGAAGAGATTTTAGAGACAAGCTCTGGGTCACCACAGAACAGTTGCCTCCTGCGCCCTGTGGGGCCAAACCCCCAAATCAGCAGGGACCACGCTGTCTCTAGCTGAGAGCAGACGTGGGCTGCACCTTCTCTTTTCTTCTTTGTTTTCCTCTACTTCTAAAGAAAGCTTCAGGTGAGGAACAGTAATGGGGTTTGGCTGTGATTGTGACTTTGCCCAGTCCTGTCTGACCTTGTATACACACCAGTTCAACTCAATAGCATTTCAAGTGGAAAAAAAACTTGACCATTTGGGTCATCCCCTCAGCCTCTCTCTGCTCCCTTTGGCCCACTATGCAGCAAAATGTTCTACACTCAGGCTGGTGCTTTTGTGATTTCCTTGCTTTCTCTGTGGGAATCAGCAGAATAAGACAGAAGGGAATAGTCAGAGATGGGAGGGAGACCTGCAGTTGGCAGAATTTCTCAGGCCTCATGCTCTCTGCCTCTGGGCTTTTCAAGGAAGATAGAGCATTTTAGAGTGTATTTATACCTATTATTTATCTGACATTTTCACTTTCCTTGACTTCAACTTTTTCCTGCTGAGCATTTGCCAGGAATGAGGAAGAACAATATGGAATTTGCCATGAGAGGATCTTTGTATAACTTGGATGACTTGGATAACTTTGTATAACTTGGATGACTTGGATAACTTGGATGATTAGCCTATGGAACTGTGTTGTGGGACTATCCAGGTGGTATATTATTTAGGTCTTGGCTCTTCCTTCTCTGCCCTCTGGCTTACCTTTCAGCTATAATGTCAGTTTTCTTTCTTTGCTTGGAAAGTGAGCAGGGAAAATAAAGAAAGGACAATCAGGCAATTTTTTTATTAGTAGCTTTTATAATATATTTTTTCATGGCAAAATTTAAATAATTGACTCCTATGATGTTTGTGACATTTTGTGTTGCTTTGACATATGCCTTATACACACGTATGCACACACAGAGAGGATACCTTTACCAGGCATGGTTTATGCACATGCCTACTCTTTCATGCATATCATATTTTTCACTGGAGTCAAAGATAACCAGAAGAATGCCAATATTCTTCCACTTCTAAATTTAATCATCCACTTTAATAGTAATAAAGTAATAGTATTACATTTAAATGATGAAATAATTTTTACAAATGGCTTTAGTTTATCTAGTCTGAATAGATGTACGAAAACTAGTTCAGCAAAAGAGAAAATTATAAAACAATTGGAAGACGGCATTTGTGGTTAGTAAACCACTATGGTATGTGTTCTACAAAGGAAATGAATAATCTTACTTTGAATTTAAAATATTTTATATCTATCTATCTATCTATATAGCTATATATGGAGTGCCATATATAAAAATATATATAATGTTTTGTAATTAATTATAACATATGTAAAATCTATAATATATAAGGAATGCCTTTTCTTCAGTAGAATAATCATTCTCCTGTAAGTGTGTATCATACTTACAGCCACCATGGAAGAGCACTCATTGAATTAGTCCCTTAATCCTTTCAACCCCAGATGTCACAATAACTAATATCAATCATTAGTGTTTTCAAGCATGGCCTGACTTAACTCTCACAAAATGATCCTTACAGGTAAAAAATAGGGATGCATTTTGGTGAGTTTCTCTATTGATATAGTTCATTTTTTTTTTCTAATTTGAGGAAGAGAAATACTTTTAGGATCATAAAAATATATTCTCATAATCACAAGAATCTCATTTTTTGAGATCACCTCAAAATGAGAGCTGGTGAATAACTGAATTAGGAACAAATGGATCTGAGACAGCAGAGCCTTCCTATGTCGTGGGTGGCTGCCTAGTGTAATGTCTTATTTTCTGTTAATGTTGCCATGCTAATGTCTCGCAGTGGCTCTATTTGAAAAACATTTCTTACACTATTTTATTACTTTCTTCATCCTCTTAATTATATCTGGATTATATCCTGAATGGTGTATTTACAAATGCCCATTTCATATTTTAAAATCTATTCTTTTTCTAGGAGCATATATCTGATGTGAGTTTCAGATAATTTCATTTGTATTTGGTACCAGAAATTTGTTGTGTGAGCTGGTTTTGCATACGTGTACATGAAAATATTTATTGTGTTATCTATTGTGGTAGGGCTTGCTCTTTACTACCCTGTCTTTGAATTAGCTTTTGTTAAATCACAATGTGCATTTTTTTTTTGAGAGAGAGAGTCTTGCTCTGTCGCCCAGGCTAGAGTGCAGTGGCACAATCTCGGCTCACTGCAACCTCCACCTCCTGGGTTCAAGCGATTCTCCTGCCTCAGTCTCCCAAGTGGCTGGAACTACAGGTGCCTGCCATCACACCTGGCTACTTTTTATATTTTTAGTAAAGATGGGGTTTCACCATGTTGGCCAGGTTGGTCTCGAACTCCTGACCTCAAGTGATCCACCCACCTCAGCCTCCCAAAGTACTGGGATTACAGGCATGAGTCAATATGCCCGGCCCGCAGTCTATCTTCTAAAGCTGCATTAGGTGAGGTCTGACTTGCTGATGAGTTCCTCCCCAGCCTACCCTGAGCTGGCCTCTCTCTGCTCAGTTGTGCCATCTCGCCTCTGGCCTGAGGCCAACCAACATGTGGAGCTTCTTACCCAGTGCCATTTTAAAATGACACTTCATAACTAATATTAATAATAGCTAAACATATGTAACATTTATTATGTATAAGGCACTATTCTAAGTGTTGTATATATATTAACTGATTTATTTACTGCAACACTTAGGTTGATGTCTTCTGCATTTTACAAATGAGGAAACTGAACCACAGGAGATTAACTGACTTGCCCAAAGTTATACATCTGTATGATGGACCCAGGTCTATGTCACCAGAGTCTGTGCCTTTAAACACTACAGAATAGGCTGCCTGAAGTAGGTTGTGCCTGAGGAACCCAGTTTAGGAAAATATAATCCCAAGTAACTAGCAACTTTTAAATGACAGTTCTACTTAAAAAAAAATTATTCCTTACCAGGCACCCTACTAAATCACCATCATTATTTTTGTTATTGATATTATTATTAGACATATGTTATACGTTAAAAGTCCTATAATTTTTCATTTTCTATATTCTATAGCCTCATCTTATTTCTGTCATTCTGCTTTCTTGTCCCCTGAAAGGCATAGTTTTAGGGGAAATAAACGAAATATATCTATCTCTTAGGCATTCTATGTACAGCATCTCAAAGAAACATTTATAGATTATGTACATTGTCTCACTTAAACCTCACAGCAGTTTTGACAAAGAGATAGTGTTAGTTGCATTTTATGTATGGGAAATTCTTAGAGAGGCTAAGTAACTTTTCGGCAGTCCTGGTTTTGTCCATAGTTAGTAAGTGGCAAAGCTAGATATTGACAGACATCTGATTGCTACCAAGGCCATAATTTCCAGGCTACCCACTGCTTCACCATTAGTGAGGCCACATCACCACGCCAGTGCTAAATACATGCTTGGTACCCAAACCCATGATTTGTGATTGAGTCTGACTGTCCCTTATCACCAGCCTTGCTGATAGGTCTTTCCATTGTTTTGGAGAGAAGGCTAGAGGAAGGTGCCACCATTAGTTGAAGAAAAGTTTCCAGTGAATGAGAGTGGGTTAGTTTGTTTATTTGCAGGCTCAGTTTTGAGACCTCATAAGTGAATATTTTCAGATCTTTCTTCTTGTGAGTTCTATACATGTATCATGACTTCAAATCATGTTGTTAAACTCCTCTGAAAAATAATGCTATACATTCCATATTTAGTCTAGGAGTTATGATCTTTGGACAGGAAAACAAATTCTTTTCTGAACATCTAGTTGTTTTGTAAAGATGTCCATTTGGGGTATATTCCTTTAACAAGGAGAAAGCAAGGTGTGAGATAATGTCTTCTGAATTTGGCACAACTTCTAATGTTTCTTAATAATAATAATACCAGCATGGAAATCTTAGTCTTACGTCAGTTGCTGTCTTAATTGATTTGCAGACATTACTTCATTTAATCTTTGTGACAACAGTAAAGCAGTGGGAATTCTTAGCCTCATTTTATAGATAAATCAGTGGAGGCTTAGAAAAAATGAGGACATTTCTCAAGGTCACAAAGCTGGTAAACAGCAGAGCTCAGAACTGGCTCCAAAACTCAAGAGTCTAACTGCTATGTTATAGGTGGCTTTCTTCAATATTGAAAAGCTGCTAGGTCTGCTTGCCGGGTCCAACCCACAGACCCTGACCCAGCGATGGATGAAAGACATACACTGACACAGGTATTTTGCCTCTCAGTGCAGCTAAGGGGCTCTGCTGTCTGAGTCCGCAGCTTTGGCCCCAATAAGCTGGTGAAGTTCACATTTATTTAGGACAGATTAAATGACAAAGGTCTCCAGTAAACACCACTAAAGGGTGATTAACGTTGCCGACCTCCCTAGTAGAGAGCAGTCATGTGCCCACAGATGATCACAGGTTGTTGGTCTTAGGACCACATGAGTAAGCTATTTAGATAAACTCCTCTACATTCCTGTGTATCTATACCCCAAGCTTTTAAGAGAATTCAGCTGCCTTCAGCCAAATCTTTTACTGAAGCTATGCAAACCTCCTGGCCTTCCAAGAAGGTTCGTGTCTATTTCCTATAACTTTATCTTTATAATTACTCCCACCACCTTGATCGATCCCCTACATCTGCTCATGAGTATTGTCTTGTAGCTGTTTTCCAGATGTCTTGGAATGGGGAGAATATTCAGTTAAAATGTTCTATATAATAAACCAACCCCAAATATGTATGTGTAGCTGGAAGATCTCCTTCCAATTAAGTACCAACGATTTTAGTAACCATCTTTCTCTTTCTCCCTTCCTCAAATATTTATGAAATATCTATGTTGTGGTAGACATAGTATCTTGTTAATACCTTGATAATAAGACAGTTCCTGCTCACATAGAGCTTACGATCTTATAGAAGAAACATCCATTACATTAAAAAATATGCAAATTGTTACCAATTACAATTGTGATAACTGAATCAGAGGAGTACAGAGAATTGTAGGAATGAATTGTATGATAAGAAGTCCCAACCCAATCTTGAGAGAGGGAGGATCAGATCAGGTTTCCCTGAAGAAGCATTTAGGATCGAATGAAAATAACTAATAGGAGTTGGTCAGATTTCTTCAGGGTGGAGGGAAGGCAGGGATGTGGCAGACAGTTCTGGGCAGAAGGAACCACAGCAGGAAGCACTTAGAGGAAGATTGCCTGGGCAGTGGGGATTTGGTGATTAAGAGGGAAGGTGTGTGTGTGTTGGGGGAGATGGGTCTGGGATTAGTGGCAGGGACCAGATTATGCAGAACCTTGCAGATCTTGGGGAGATTTTGGACTTTAGCAAGGACTGAAGCAATTTTGAGAACCCAGATGCTCAGCCTTGAAGGGAAGAACCATCTTCAGGAGACTTCATGTCCTTGGTCTGGGAATAGCTTTCCTTTGCTTCTATGTGTGGAACCACATTGTACTCACAAAGTTGTCTTGTAAAGAGATAGGGAAGTAGGTTGGAGCTATGTTTTCCTTATTAGGATATGACATTTTAAAAATGTCGACAAAAATAGAAATACCTAGAGGATGAAAGTGTCTTTCCCCCTGGAAAAACATGCCATTTCATTGCTTTTTTATTGAGTACTATTGGAAAGTAAATGAAGGCAAGAAATGCAATCTGATGTCTCATTATCAGTGCTCAGGGGAGAGATTTCTCCTAGACAGCACATTTCCGAGCCTAGGTAGAGATGAAAATTAGATAAAGCTCAGTGATCCAGATGTTACAACTGTAAATTATAAAAAAATACATTTTCAGGAGATTTAAACTTCTTTCCTGAAGTTAGGGTGGGAAAAAAATGAAAAACTTTGGAGAGGGTTCTATAAGGAGGTGTACATTTAAAAATGTGTATTGTTTGTTAACATAATCATGGGTTAATTAGGAAGACTTTCCGTTGAACAGATCTAAAGCATGGTAAAGGGGATTTAATTTGTTCATATTTTCCTGTATATTTTCTCAGACATAAAATCTAAATTTTATATTTCCATGTATAGCCAATATTCATATTTATGAAACAGATTTGCAGCAATGTTCTCAAGCAAGAAGGAAAAGTTAAAGTGTGTTAAAGCTCACCATTACATTTGTTATACAATGTTATAGGAGGGAAAAGAAGGCAATGTCAAAATATTTCATGGAGACTGTAGTCTGTCACACAATCAAAATTGAAGTGGCGACATAAGCCAGCCTACTTGCTATTCTGAGAACGCTCAGGGTATGGATTCTAGCACATCTAGCAAATATGAGTGATCAGAAATTGTACCAAGCCCTGCCCGACTGAGGTTTGCCAATCTCTGCTTTGACCTCCCCAGCCAGCTACTACAATGACCAATATGAACATGGACTGCTTTAAGCATCCAACCATTACTGCCATCTGGACTAGGAAATAGCATCTAGTAAAAATTTTCATGACAGAAGCCATGCCCAAGTCTAAAGGGTATCAAGAACCTATGTATTCTTTTATCTGCTATTATGGAAAAATGTGATGTAGTCTTTCTGTTGTTCTTCATGTAGTATTTTACTGGAGTCATGACCAAGTAAACATTATACTATTCAAACAGTAAACAGATTTAAACAGTAATTCTCGTTCTATTTGGGTATCATAAACCCTTTTCAGAAACTAACAAAGGTTGTGGTATTTTCCCCATAGAAATGTACACAAAACCAGAATTGTGCATTCTTCCTCAAGGAAGGAAACTCATGACTTTCAATCCATGGACTCCAGAACCCTCAGTTAATACCCTTGGGTAAAAGGAAGACTCAGTAACAATTCTTATGAAAATTAGATGGCTCCATTAGCATTATAAAAGTTAAAACTTGAGTCTCTGAAATTTCAACCATGGCCTGCATATTTATTTATCCTAGAACCTTGCAGGGCACTTGGATTGATTTTTAGGAGGAAAAATCTGTAGACTGGCCTCCTAACAGTAGGTCTAGATATGCCCAGAAATAAAAAGGAAGCTGTAGCCTGCAGCATTTACCAAAGAGACCAGGGTGTGAGGGGAACCCAAATTTGGAGTTTCTTGCTAATATGGGGTTCTGTTTCCTAGAAGTTGATTTCTGTTTCCTTCTTATGCATTCTTATATGAGACTCTTCTTTGGGTCTGGGCCTTTCAGAAGCGAGATTCCTTTGCCAGAGACTGAGATATCTAATAGAAGCTCTCTCTGATTATCCTCCTCAGTTGTCAACATTTGCTGACTGCCGCCTACACACATAAGGAATTGAAAATCTGTTCTAGATTCTGGGAACCCAATACTCCTGCACTCCAGAGATTTTTTCTCTTAGATGGGGAGGTAGCATATATATGTAAAAGATAAATGTCACTACCAGGTAGCACAGACATTCCACTTTTAAGTAAATAAAACCATGGGAATCCCTGTGTCTTGGGAGATAAATACAGAGGCTTAATGACCTCATTTGCGACAACTGCTTGAACAATTGGTCTGGTTTGCACCAGCAGTAGTGTACTCTCAGCTCTCTGTTCACTTCTTCTCATTGATTTCATGGCCATCTTATAAATGTGCTGGGAAATGTAGAAGCCTGCAGTCTGAAATCACCGTGAAGAAAGAGCTTTGTTAGAGGGCAGTTCTCAAACCTGAGAGGTGGTGGATGATTCAGAAGGATATGGATCTGTGCTTGTGCACTCTGGGCTTTGATAAATGGAAGCACAAACGATTGCTTCCTTTAAAATAAGCCAACCACAGGCCTAACTTATAGCTCCTTGCCTGGAAGCCCGATTCTCTGCTTGGGGCAGCAGCCTATGAAAAGGAAGCTGGGTAGAGCTGAGGGTGGAATGTGAACACCTCTTGGACTGAAGCTTGTTGTACAGAAGGCCAAGGAGACTGAGCTGCTGCTGGGGCTGACTCCTCATGTCCTGCCAGCTGGGCCATGCTTGGGAGCTAAAAAGGCACACAGTAGTTCCCCACATGATACTGGGAACATTTGAGGAGTGGTGGGTAGGAACGGAGATGTCTAATAGGATGGATGGAGTAGAGCCCAGGCACCAGGGACGGGCTGTTCATGAGCCTTTCATTGCAAGATACAGGAGCTCAACTCTTCCTGGATTAGGCTTCAAAGGAGAGTGTATTGGTCACACCTGAAAAGACCCAGAGCAGGCTGGATCCAGGCCTCAGTCATCAGGTCTCTGTCTTTACCCCACCACCCCCTGCCACCTTTCTTTCTTTCCTTCTCCCAGAATTGCTTCGCTTTGGACATCTCTCTCAGGCAGACTCTCTACTGGTGGCTGTCAGCATCTCTAGGCACACATCCTCCTCACAGCTGTGCCTGCCTGTGGGAAAGACCATGCTTGGCAGTGAGTGACATTGGGAGTGATTTGGACCCTCACTCTGTCCACTGTGGCCAGGGGGTGCTTTGGACAGGTCATGTGTGTCTTTTGGAACCCAGAAGTGAGGGGCATTCAATCCAAACACTGTGGGCTGAGAGTGGGAGAGAGGTGGGTCTTTAAAGGCAAATCAAATTGCTGTGGGCAGGCAGATATTTCCAGTGCCCGCGTGGGGTTTGGTCAATAAGCAGCAGTGGGGAAGATGAATAATCAGCCATCCAGAAAATCTATCTATGAGCTGCTGGACTCAGCTGCTGGTCTGAAGCACTGCCTTGGAGAGGGAGACTGTTTTTCTGTGTTTTTAATATAAAACGAGCATAGAGTATGGAATTTTAAAGTGTATATCAACTAGGTTTTTAATGCTTTTCTTCCTGAATGGATTTTAGTATTTGAAAAGCCATGCTAATGAGATGACTAGTTTTAAAGTTAGCTATGGTACAAATAACAGCACCTGAGTTAACCTAAAGGCTATCACATTGATGAAGTCCTAGAATTTTAGCAAAGAACTTAGAAAACATACTTTAGAGAGGTAGATACTGACGCTCAAGGGATAAATCCACTTACCATCCTCTTTTCCTCCTTTCAGAGCCTAGAATATAAGCAGTTCCTGATCCACACTCCACTTGCAAGCAGCTTCATTATACAAATATGCTTTAGTAGTGTTTACCCATTGCTGCCTCAGCTTCTTTTACTGTCCCTGTCATCACACTTTGCAAGAAGATGGTTTTTTAAGGGGATCTGTGGTTTCAATACAAAGGAAGAGAAGAAACAGTGCAAGGGAAGAATGGCCTAGGAGAGTTGCCTGCCCCTGGGTGGAGACTGGACTGGTTGACTTTGCCCATGGGGAAGAGAGGTGGAGGCAGACTGTCTTCCAGAGCTTGAGTAAGTCTTAACCTCTCTAAACCTCACATTTCTTTTCTGTAAATCTGGGGGAATAACATACCAACCTGATGGTGCTGTTAGGAGGGTACAATGAAAGTTCCTGGCACATGGCAATGCTCAATACACATTCTTTATTCTCCTCCACTCCATCACTTCTGATAGTCGTTCATCTCCACTTTTGAGGCAGCAGGTATCTTTAAAAGTTATACTGGTGTCTCTTGGAGCCTTCAGGAATGACCATTTATACTTTAGCATGAATTAACTCAGCTAGGTTCTTGCCTTCTAATTTCTGGATAGAACATTGTAAATTTTGAGCAGTGGGCGTGGGTGAGAGTGATTTAGCTCAATCTGTAGAATTTGTGGCAGCAACCTGGGCCTGGATGGGTGCCACAGGACTTAGTATGGGGGAGGTGACAAGAGGCTGGAAACTAGTGGAGCTTTGAATGGAGGTGCATGGGAAGGGAGGCATGAGATGCTAACTACAGACTTGCTTTGATCCATAGCTTGGCTGAAGAATGGCTCTGGGTCTGGCAAGGGAATGGGAAACTGCCCTGTTCTCCTCTGCCACCGTCCTGTCCCTCATGATTTCTTGCTCTCAGAACTTGGGCTGGAGCTGCTAGAAGTACATTAGGAGGTCTCATCTGGAAACCAACTCCCATTAGTGACATTGCTTCTCTGGGCAAATGAAGCCAGTAAACATAGCTTCCTAGTGAACTCTGGACCTTCCCCAGTTCAGGAAGCCAGAGACTGCTTGCACTGCATAGATAATGTTTTCATAAGGCTTAGCCTTCGTACACTTGCACAATTTTTCTGTCACATCTTAAAATGGAAGGTCTAAGCAGGAGTCACTTGTAGTCACTCCCTTTGCTTCATATATGCTTTGCACATAGTAAATGCCCCATAATGCGAAATCAAATTGAATAACAAATATATGATTTGTCTACTGATTGAAAAAAGCTTTTAATTTTTAATGTAGTATATAGAATAATTAGGGATAGATGACATTGTTTGACATAAATGAACTTTATTTTTTATTTTTTTAATATTTATTGAAGAGTTTTGATATTTTGTTAAAGTAATATCTCGAGGGGCTAATTAGCCACAATTTTTTGAGTTTTTAGGTTTTTAAATTAAGCTACTTTGTAATCCTGCTGAGAATTTCCCACATTGCTACAATTATGTTTACAAGGAATTTATTTTTCAAGGTTAAATAGAGATAATCACTTTCTCAAATAGAGATATTCTAACTTGATTTCTAATCTTCTAAGCACACAGCCCTCCATGCAGTCCTGTCTCAGATTTTAGTTCTGAGAACTGATTTGGGCATCTTTATCTCATTATTGGTCCTTTTATATTATTTTTATGTCTGATTTCCTCACATTTCCTAAAAATGGGTGTAATGCTTAAGAATAATGATGCTTTTGGTATCCTTTTAAGGTGTTTACAGAGTGTTTACCTTATGGGAGTTACTGTGCTTGGAGCCATGGGTAGAAGGTGCTGGCTTGGTTAGCCATTTCACGCTTGAAATGAACTATGTGCTCTTAGAAATCACCTGTGATCCTGTGATCAAAAAAATGTGTCTGTGGATTGTAGGATTGATTTTCAAGAGTTAGATTCCCTTAATTTCAGCTCGACTCATGAAGGTAAATGAACAGGCAAAGAGTTAGTGAAGGCTGACCTGTCTCTGCCCAGATCCCATCATCTCGAGATGGGCCCATACTCTGGCTGCTGGGACATGGACTGTGATGGCTTCACAGCTGTGCCCCTACTAGGCATTGCCGTTGGCCTCAGGACACAGCCTCTCCCAAAGTAATGTCCCTCCAAGTGGCCAGTGGCTGGTTGATGGGGGGCTATAAAGGCCCAGCCCTCTTGCCTCTATGTGGGGAAACTCTGCAGTCCCAGCCCCAGAGCTCCCTGTAGGACTGAAGGAGGCCTCATTTGAAACCACATTGTGGGTTAACTTCTCCTTCTGTCCAATCTTGATTCCTTACTTCCTCATGGGTGTATCTCCCAGGGCAGCCCAATCCACCCCCAATAAATTGGCTAGATGTACATCTCCATTGCAGAGAACATTTACAAGAACTCCGTCTGATTGACATCATTGTTGAATTTCTTGAAGAGATCTGTAAATTTTAGGAAGAAACAATCAGATGTCATAGAAACAGTGGCAACAAATTTTGAAGGGCTTGGTGACAGATGAACATTTTGAAGCAATCAGGGGAAGTTTTGCTGGTAGGGTTACACCCAGGCTTAAAATAACATTTATGGAAGGATGAAGAAACACAGATGTCCCAGAGAAGATGAGCGTTAGGTGGCACCAGAGTGCAACAAAATTAAATGGAGATTGCAAGTACTACAAAAAATCATTTATTACAGAAAAGAAATTAGATTTTTAAATAAGCATTTCAAAAAATCACCAAATGCTAATGTGGGAGGAATCTTTTTTTTCAGCTACAGAATCACACTGTAGCCGGGAGATTCAAGTGCTGCAGAAAATTATTATAAAGCGC